>NC_000005.10:159397687-159700717 GCF_000001405.40 Homo sapiens
AATTTTTTTAAGGTAGTGAAACAATATTACTTACTATGTGGAATTCTTTGTCAGATTCAATTCACTACCACAGGTTCTTGCGTGAAATCCTGGGTGTAACCAAATTTCTCAAATAGTAAAGAAAATGGGCAATCCATTTTCTTCAAATGAAACCAAATACCTAATAACCGTCTTTCACTATCTGATAGTCGGAGGCTGGTGAAAAGATCTTCGAAGAGAGTCTGACAGGTGGGCTAAACTCCTCTACCGCTTCTTTACAGAAAAGAAATGTCAGTCATACTTTTTAAAATAGAGGGGCTTCAAATTGCAAGGAAGTAACAAGGAGTGGAACAATGACTTTGCAGGTTCTATGTGTCAGGTACTTCTCATTTGGAGTGAACAAAGATAGAAGAATTCTGGCAAAAGAAAAAGTGAAAAAATCAATTTAAGAAAAAATTTTCATGGCAATGGAATCCATTTTTCAGGATATTATTCAGAGATCCAATATGCAAAAGAGAGAAAATAGAAACTGTTTTAAAAGCCGGAGGGTGGGATGGGCGTGGTGGCTCATGCCTGTAATCCCAGCACTTTGGGAGGCTGAGGCGGGTGGATCACCTGAGGTCAGGAGTTCAAGGCCAGCCTGACCAAAATGGTGAAACCCCATCTCTACTAAAAATACAAAAATTAGCTGGGTGTGGTGGCAGGCGTCTGTAATCCCAGCTACTCATGAGGCTGAGGGAGGAGAATGGCTTGAACCTGGGAGGTGGAGGTTGCAGTGAGCTGAGATCATGCCATTGCACTCCAGCCTGGGCAACGAGAGTGAAACTTCATCTCAAAAAAAAAAAAAAAAAAAAAAAAAGGGAGGGTAATTAGGGCTCATCCTGTTGTCATCCAGCCCATCCCAGGTAAGTTCTGGAGCTTTAGTTCTTTGATGCACGTAGTTGGGACCCTATTGATTTAAACCATGATAGAGAGCAAAGATTGTGGGAATCCTTTTTTTTTCTAAGCTAAATTTTATTTAGAATATATCATATGGTAGGACTCTTTGCTAACAAAGCCATTTACATTCACAGCATTATGTTCAATCCCATGAAATAGGTGTTGTTATACCTGTTGTCCAGATGAGGAAACTGAGGCACCAGGTGGCTAGATCATGTGCCCAAAGCTACACCGTTGCTAAGGGCAAATCTTGGTGTCACACTCAGAGCTGCCACCAAAGTTCTTGCTTTGAACTTTGAACTCTACTTTCTCTCTCTCTTTGACAGGCTCTTCAATTCTTATCAAAAGTAGAAGGGTTTTAGGAATGCTTACAGAAATGAGACGGGGAGGAGAAAAAGGAGGAAGAAAGAGTAATGTGGAGGAGGCAGAGGCAGAGGGAAGGGTAGGTCTTAAGCTAGTGACAAAGAGGAAATTAGTGTAAAGTGATAAAAACCCAAGAACCAAATGCTAGAAAGGAAACTCCATGGAAAATCCAAAGAAAGATAATATCATGAGGAGAGAAGAGAAGAAAGAGGCGGGCCCAGATGGAAGGTCACTGCTTACTAGAGACCAAAATGCCAAGATTTCAACGGGAGCCAGCCACCCTGGTTTCTATTTTGATGTGATTACTTAGTCATTTAAAGTCAGGTTAATGTTGGCCAACAACAGATGGGGTCAGGACACAGGAGTTCTGCAGCTCACTGAAACTGGACAGTCTTTTAGGGCACCCAGCTCACAAGGCCACACCGTGGCCCGCCCCTGGATGGTGGCTTTTTATGCCATCAAATGATCATTTTACCCCCATTGACTGAAGTTTTAGCTAGGTTGCTAAAATGACAGACCAGGTTGGAGTCCATGAACCAACAGCTGTCAGATCCAAGGGACAAGCTAGAGGCCAATAATCGGGCTGAAGGAATGTTTCGTTTGCCAAAAGAAAAAGCAGGGAAAAAAACCAGTAAGCAAGCTGTTGGCATATGTGTGATGACTGGTCTCTGTTAGCTCATTTGTGTGGAATTAATTACCAAGATGAGTGGTATCAAGACCATGCACCTCCACTGCCCAAGTTTTGGGTGGGTTTGGTGACATAGCTCCAACTGCCATTATGGGCTAAGTGGGTGCCTGCTGGATGGAGGCGCCTGCCCAAGTGATGAAGGACAGGTAACTTTCTCTGCCTCGGCTCACCTCTCTGGAACACCCTGATCATATATGCTCCTTACCTAGTTTATTAGGTAAGGGCTGTGGAATCATGAGGCAAGAGTGTTGGAGAGAGCATGTTGAGTCTTCTGGGAAGGAAAGGACTGAGACATTCTTTAAAGACCACTGTTTAAAGGACAGGAATATTCTTTAAAAATAAGAGAAGGCAATTCACATGCTTTCTCTGATCAGGTTCTCCCCAACTCTAGGCTGGGCAGTATTAACCCCATTCTATAGGAGATATTCAGAGATTTCTGAGATTCAGAGACATTATGTTGTTTGTTCAACTTTTATTTTTGTTTATTTATTTTTGTATCTCCTTCTCCTTTAGGTGCCCTGAACCTCTTGAGTGCATCTATTGTTAATCCCTTTAGATTCTTAGCCCTAACCAAAGGGTACCAGGATAGGTACCAAAGGCTGGACTCGAGACCCGGCAGGGTCACTTTGGAAACCAAGCAGATAACATAACTATTAGAGGCAGTCAGGTATAGAGTAACTGGATGAGGAGCATGATTAGAGGGAAAGTGCATATAAAGACTTTCAGATTCAAAGAAAACACAACTACATTGGTAAACAAAATACATAAAGCCAGAGCTTTCCAGTTTACAGCCTCCTGGCTAGATCATCCTTCAGGTCTTTTTGAGTTCTAACGTTTAATTTTTAAATTTTTTTTGCCATACATAAAAATGAGCACATCCCTTGCTTATTCCCTTCAGGTTCTGCTTTCTATTGGCAGGAGTAGGCGATGGTGGCAATGAGCTAATCAGATAAGCTAACCTCTGCTAATGGGTAAATTAGCTAATGGGCAATTCCTCTTGTGACTTAATGCTATCATTGGGTTAAAGCATATCCCTTCTGATCTTGGACCCACGGGATTGACAAATGATGGGAATTCAGCATCCCTGCAACTACACCCTAGGGGCAGTTTCTTGGTCTTCTCAATGCCAGGGGCAGGGCTGGACAGAACTGGCAAGTGAGCCAGCCTCAATTCCCTTTAATAGTGGCATCAATATGATGGCCAGAACCTAATTATTGGGCTAAACACTATGGAGTTCTGTATCATGTGGTGGCCCCATGAAGGGGGTGGGGATGTGAAAACCCAGGCAATCTTAAAGTGATTTATGAATATTTTGTTTAATCACATTTTAAACTCTGAATAAACACATAAATACTTTTATTTTATTTTTCATTTGTTTTTGTGTGTTTGTTTATTTTTTAAAGAGGGGTCTTACTCTGGCACCCAAGCTGGAGTGCAGTGGCATGATCACGGCTCACCGCATCCTTAGTCCCTGGGCTTAAGTGATCCTTCCACCTCAGCCTTCTGAGTAGCTAGGACTACAGGCCCAGCTGGTTTTTTAAAAAATGTTTTGTAGAGACAAGGTTTTGCTCAGTTGCCTAGGCTGGTCTTGAACTCTTGGGCTCAAAAGATCCTACCACCTCGGCCTCCCAAAGTGCTGGGATTACAGGTGTGAGCCACTGCACCCTGCCTATAAGTACTTTTTTTTTTTTTTTTTTCGCGGAGTCTCGCTCTGTCACCAGGCTGGAGGGCAGTGGTGTGATCTCAGCTCACGGCAACCCCTGCCTCCCGGGTTCAAGCGATTCTCCTGCCTCAGCCTCCTGAGTAGCTGGGACTGTAGGCATGCACCACCACGCCCAGCTAATTTTTGTATTTTCAGTAGAGACAGGGTTTCACCATGTTGGCCAGGATGGTCTCGGTCTCTTGACCTTGTGATCAGCCCAACTTGTTAAAAAAATGCATTGTGGTAAAAACAAAAATATTTGGAAAGGCATAAAGTTTAAAAGTCCTTTTTCCTCCCATCTGCTCAAACTCCCAGGCTCACTTCCCTAAAGAAATTAAGTTAATGTTTTGTAAATATCTAAGCTAAGGAAGATCACCTATAGCTTGAATATTCCATCTCCAGAGGAGCCAGAAACAAGCAAACCAACCAATTCATCTTAGTTCCCTCCTTCCACCATCCCAGAGCTACAAATTATGTGAACAGCATGGTCTCCTTCTCATGCATCTGTCTTCCATTCTCTTGGCTTTCTATTTTCACTGCTATGGAACTCCACCCTATGCCCACCTTTTCGATTTCAGAAGATGTCTTTTTCAGAAAAAACCTTTTATCAGCAGCTTACACTTGAGTGTAGAAAAAGATTATAATGAATGTAGTATTTAGGATCTGGAAGGAACCTTCCATAATTGTGGATGCAGAGGCCACCTCAGAAAAACAAATATACACCCATTACCTTGGGTTTGTGTAAAGGTTCAGTGTTTATAAGAGGGCTTTCCTGTCCATTTTTATACTTGATCCTCTTCCTGGCTCCTGTATGGAAGCAGGGGAAGGCAGTATTATTTCCACTGTGCAGAGGAGAAAACTGAGCCTCTGAGAAGCTGACTTCCCCAACAGCCAGTGCACTCGTCCCGGGACCACAGCATGGAAAGCCTTTCACCCTACTGGCATCAGCTGCTTGTGGAGGGACTTCAGGTTTGGTGGAGACAGTGGGCATGAGGCCATCCTCAGAGCGCCTTAAATTGCAACACTTGGGATGCTGGCTGTTTTGCATAAGCTGATATTGAGCTCAGGCTCAGGTACTCTGCTGACTCCACTCTCCAGATTTGATTTGGCTACTGGCCCTGGGTTTCCCAGGCATGGAAATGACATCACCATGGCTTGAGACAGAAGACCAAGTGGAGCTCTGGCACTCAGCCAGCATGGGCCCTTCCCAGTCCCCTGCTTCACAGGTGGGACTCACTTTCTTTCCCTTCATGCTTTTCTTCATCCTTCCCTTAATTTGGTGTTGTTACCTCTCATATAAGGGGAGATGTCTGTTTTCCTAACATGACCTCCTTTGCCCAGGCAGGGGTAGGGGGAGTAGAATGGCAAGAAGCGGTTGATTTGAGTGACTACAGTGAGCAGGTGCTGTGCTAGGGACACTGGTACCGAGACCAAGAGGGCAGCATATTCAGTCTTGAGGACCTCACGGCTCAGGGAACAGGTCATCAGACACATAGCAAAGTAAATGAGTGAGGAATTGCATTTGGCTTCAAGTAATAGAGAATCAAAACAATAGAGATTTAAACAAGGGTCTCTTTTTCTTCCAAATTCCTTGTAATTTGGAGCTGGGTGGCCCAGGGCTGGTTTGGGACCTCTGTGATGTCACCGGGAACCCAAGTTCCTTTGATTCTTCTGCTTGGCAATGTTTAGTAGGATTGCTTCGTGGTCATAAGACAGCTGTTGGAAATCCACACTGCATGTCTCAAGCAGGAGGAGGGAAAAAGGCAGAAATGCAAAATGGTGTTAGCCAAGTACACCCTCTTTATTTATTTATTTATTTTGAGACAGAGTCTCGCTCTGTCACCCAGCCTGGAGTGCAATGACGCCATCTCAGCTCACTGCAACCTCCACCTCCCGGGTCCAAGCGATTCTCCTGCTTCAGCCTCCCCAGTAACTGGGGTTACAGGTGCCCACCACCACGCCCAGCTAATTTTTTGTATTTCTAGTAGAGACAGTGTTTCACCACGTTAGCCAGGCTGGTCTCAAACTCCTGACCTCAGGTGATCCACCTGCCTTGGCCTCCCAAACTGTTGGGATTACAGGCATGAGCCATGGTGCCTGGCCAGAGTACACCCTCTTTAAATTGCTTTCCTAGGGCCCCTATCCCATGATGTTGACTTACGTTTCATTGCCTGCCCTATCTCCAAAGGAGGATAGGAGATAATTTGTTTAGCCTTTATTTTTTCTTTTTTAAACTGGGCACATTGTCATCTCTAACAATATAGTCTTGTTATTATGAAAGAGGAGAAGAAGGGATGTTGGGTAAATTACTAGCTGTGTCACCTAATCTGGGCAATTTCAGTGCATTGTGGTGGTGTACTTTGCTGAATGTGTGATTTAGCAAAATAATTAAACCTCTCTCATCTTCAAAATGGATATACTAATAACACATACCTTATAGTGACTAAATTGCGTAGGATTACTGTGAAGATTCGATGAGAAAATGTATGTCAAGGGCTTAGGGCTATGGGAGGTATGCTGTAAGTGCCCAATAAATGTTAGTTGTGATGGTGAGCATGGGAGAGGGTGATGATCCTGGGTTTGTATTCCCCTCCAGCACTCCTTGCCTGGCTATGGGCACAGCCCTGTGATTTGGTTTCTTCAATGATAAAACAGTAGGATGTGTCTCTAAATTGCTATGAGATTGAGATAATCCCTGGGGAGTGTGTAACAGAGTGTGCAGCATGTCCTAGGAACTCGGAGAATTATGATTATGAAAGCACCGAGAAGAGGCGGGACGGTCAGGGAAGGCTTCCTGGGTGAGGCGTCTCTGGGTTATGTTTCACAGGTGTAAAGGAGACAGCCTGGGAAGGAGGTGGGGAAGGCTGTCACATGGTGTGCTCTGGGAGCTGTGAAGGGTCTGGGGCATCTGGGCCCCAAGGTCAAGGTAGGACATGGCACTAGTTGAGGCAGAGAGGAAGGCAGTGTTTGGGGCCATGCTGAGGGGCTGAGAGCCCTGGGGGTGTGGAGCCTGCTGCTCTGATCTCCTGGGACTGGTTTCTGAGGCTGAAGAGATCATTATTCACAGACAAGGAATTAGGTGCTTTGAACAATGCTTATTTTATTGGCATCTGCAAACTGCCACCTGTTAACCAGAAGCCTGGGCTCAAACTCTGGCTAGATTCCTCTGGGAATAGGCTATTAATCAACGAATGACTTCCTCTTTGGCAGAGAAGGAAATGTCTAATAGCTTGAGGCTGATCTTATGACTGGAAAAATGGAAAGGCTGTTGTAAGTTCTCACAGGGATGTAAAGACAAGTTGTCTGTAGGTTTCCAACAGGGTTTTTTATTACCTATTAGCAAATGAGCACAGATTTGTTTATCAGCTTCCCCTAGAAATTAGGTTGTTGAGGCAGCTGGAGAGGTGAATCCTGGGGTGGGAGAAGGCAGAGAAGGGAACAAGAGGAGCTGGCATTACCTTGGTGCATTGTACTTAAGGAACCATAGAGGTGGCTTGTTCCTGAGCTGGGGTTGCATAGAGAGAGCACTGGACATGAGTCCAAAGTCACAGGGGCCAGTCTCACCTTTGCCCTGAGTTCCCAAAAACAATGTACGCTGTTCTGTAAAACATGGATAATACCATGGCCACTTGGGATTACCAGGCTCTCTGATGGTAACCTAGGAAAATGTATGTCTGCGAAGACACTTTGTAAAGTGCAACTAGAGTAAAATCCAACCCCCGCCCCAATCTCCCAGGCCTTCTGACAAATTACAGAGCACCCCAGGCTCTCTTTCCACTTTGTACATTGACCATTGCTCCTTTTTCTGCCTAGATCATTCTTCTGCCCCCTCCTTGGAAGGGCCTTCCATGCCTTTCTAAGTATATGCTCCCCAACATAGACAGTGGTTAAGACCCAGGCTCTGAAACACCACTCACGGGTTCAAGTTCGGCTCTGATACATACCAGTGAATTGACCTTGGGCAATCACCTGACTTCTCTGCCACAGTTCCCACTTCCGTAAGATGGAAGTAATAATTGTTTGTACCTTACGGAGCAGTTGTGGAGAAAGGATGACATTAATAGTTGGCCATTATTACTGTTTTTCAGAGCACTCTATTTCCCTTCTAGCGCTGCGGTCTGTAATTAATTTATTTGTATATATGTCCATTAACCACCACCCGTAATATCCTATTATCTTCTATAATGGGATCTTTTAATAAGGGCAATGACCATGTCTTTCTCATCATCCTTATATAGCACAGTGCCTGCGACTTAAAAAATGCTCAAGTCATAGTTGTTGGATGAGGAATTCACTGAACGGGTATTTCCCAGAAGTCTCAACAGCCTGTCCCCAGAGACAAGAAGGCACCACGAGGGGTGACTGAGGCAGCCCTGCAGCCCCTCAGGGAAGAGCCAGGGAGCTTGTCAGATGGCCCTGTTTTGCATTTCATTCTCCCGGTTGCAGGCTTTCACTTATGTAATGAAATAGCAGTGAAACCCCACTGACACCTGAGTGCTTCCCCTCTAGCCAGCCCAGTATTTGACCACAAAAAGGGGGAAGAAAAAAATATAAGAAAAAAAGGAGCTTCAAACCACATGCTTCTTGGGACACACAGATGAGCTGTCCTTTCCCCAGAGTCGTCTGAGCGTATTGTAGTAGCCTGGAGGGGTGTTTTGCTGAGCCTGATCATTGTGACCAAGTGGTGAAAAATCAAGGTCCCCAGCCTGCGTGTCAGCAGTCGAGACTTTTTCCACCTCTGCCCCTGACCTGCTGTGCAACCTTTTGCAAGTCACCTTACCTGTCTGGGTCTCTTCAGTGACCCCATCTGCAAATTGAGGGACTGAAATAGATGATGAAAGTAGAGTAGCCATGCAGTTCTGGCTTTGCCTGTAGACTTGGTAGAATGATTAATAATAACCTCTTTCATTCTTCTTTTTTTTGAGATGGAGTCTTGTTCTATCGCCCAGGCTGGAGTGCAGTGGTGTGATATTGGCTCACTGCAACCTCCACCTCCCAGGTTCAAGCGATTCTCCTGCCTCAGCCTCCCAAGTAGCTGGGATTACAGGCATGTGCCACCATGCCAGGCTAATTTTTGTATTTTTAGTAGAAATGGGGTTTTGCATGTTGGCCAGGCTGGTCTTGAACTCCTGACCTCAAGTGATTTACCCACCTCGACCTCCCAAAGTGCTGGGATTACAGGCATAAGCCACTGTGCCTGGCCCATTTCTCTAAATGACTTGTATTGGATGATGGATTATAAGATTAGTTGGATGCAAGTCTCTGCCAGTTGTAAGATTATTGCTCTTATTATTATTATTATTTTTTCTGACTGCCCATCCGTGCTCCTACTCTATCCCCAGATTCATGCTCTGTCCAGCTTGCTGTCTGGAATGCTGACCTCCAAAGCCACTGTCACTTGGCCACTCCTACTCTCCGGATTCCTGTGAGGTTTGGTGATGGAAGGCACTAGCAGAAGAAGGGATTGTGGGAAAAGAGAGAAGCAGGGTCATTAATCCCTCAGTGCCCCCTTTACTGCATCCTGGGAAGTGTCTGTTTCCTGTGCCCACGGCTTCCATTGGCTGAGCTCTAGAAACCTTACAATTTCCCAGCCCTTTAGGCCTAGGGGTAGTAATGTCTTCTCAGTGTGCGCTTCCATCCCCAGCCGCTCCCTAGTTCTACCACACCTCTGAATTTAGTGCCTTCAGCAAACTGTCTCCGGTTGACTGTTTTGAGGATGCTTCTTGTTTTCTGCTAGAACTTGGACAAATACAGATTCTTTGACACTCTGACCCAATCTTCCTTTGAGGCACTGGGCTGTCCAGTACAGGGACACCACATCCAAATGTAGGCAGCTCTGCTGCTGAATCTTGGTTTTCTAGGATGCAAGGGTCCTGTGGCATAACTGGCAGCATGAATTGGCGGGGGGTCACGACAATGGGCTGTGATGCCATTTAGGTGCTATTGCAGCAACATGAACATGAACTCAAGAAACTCACAGTGCATGTCTGATGCATGGTAGGCATTCGAGAATAGTAAGATTTCTACCCCCAGATTTTATTATGAACATTTTTGAACAATCAGAAAGTTGAAAGACTTGCACCATGAACACCCATCTATTTGTCGTCTCAACTCTACAATGAATACTTTTCTGTCCTTGCTTTATCACATATTCATCTATCTAATCCTCTATCCATCTCTCAACCCATCCTATTGTTTATATACTGTATTTTAAAGCTAATTGCAAACATCAGTATATTCCTTGTCTAAACACTTCAGCAAATATAATAGGATTGTTTTCATTACAAAAGCAATTGAAGCTAATAGTGAAACATTCTGACAATACAAGGTGTATGAAATGAAAAATGGAAAATATCTCTTTACTCTCTGTAATCTTGTTCCCCAGGCACAACTGCTGGTGGGTGTTGGGACTCAGAAAACAATACCCCAAAATAAAGGCTTCAGAAGCCAAAACCTTTTTCTCTGACCTCTGCCCTCCTGTCTCTCAGCCCCTTTCTACCCCAAGGCTAGCCAGAGAAACTAGAATCCCTTTTTCCCAAGGTAGGGCATAGGAACCAGAACCCCTTTTCTCCAAAGACAGCCACAAAACCTAGAATTATTATGCCAGTGTTCCCCTCTGCCTTTCTGTGTAAAAATTGGCCATGAAGAGATTAGCTGACCTACCTTGTTTGACCCCCATTCCAGAGAGGGGTCTGCCCCATTCCCAGAAGGAAGGAATGCTGCTCAGAGAGGCCAAGAAGAACTTCGACAGACAGGCCTTGCTGGGTTTCCCTGCTCAGTCTATTAGCATTAGATTAGACCTTTTTTTTTTTTTTTCCCTAATCCTATTTCTACATGGCTGTTCACACTTTGTTGAACCTAAGCATAAAAATGGACAATTTCCCCTGTATCCTTGTTCTTCATCCTGAAGTCCCCTGTGTATGCACATTAAATAAATTTGTATGCCTTTTCTCCAATTAACCTGCCTTTCGCGAGTTGGTATTTCAGCAAATCCTCAGAGGGCCAAGGGGAGCCCTCCCTTTCACCCGTACATGGGATAGTCCCAAGCATTCATGTACACCTGTAGTTTTGATATCTTACAAAACTTGAATTATAGCATACTTATTGTTTCGCACCTTGCTTTTAAAAAATCAACCATACCTTGAAAACATTCTTGCTTGTTAATAATAATGGGTCATCTCAACTTTTTAATGACTGTAGAAATGTCCATATTATGTACCTCATTTATTTAACCATTTCTCACTGATGGACATTCATACTATTTTGGGTTTTTTGGGGATATGATAAACAACGTCACAATGAAGATTCTTACACATTCCTTTACTTGACAAATATTCTAATAAGCAGCACTGTGTGCCAGACATGGTTCTATGCTTGGGGATATTAGGAAAATAAGATGGGTAACATTTGTGTGGAAAGTACATTCTTCTGAGGGAGTCAGATAACGAACTAGAAAACATCAAAAGCAAATAAATTGTTTTTAGCTAGTTATTAAGAAAATAAAATTGAGTAATTTGATAGATGGTGATAGAAGGGGTTACTTTACAAATGGTCATCTGGAAGGCCTCCACTTCAAGGTGGTGATATTTGAGCTGAGACCTGAATGAAGAGAAGGGGCCAGTTATGCAAAGTCCTAAGGAGAATGGATAGCAAACGCACAGGCTCTGGAGTGGGAGCAAGCTTGGTGTGTTGAGGGATAGAAATACACAGAGCATGGCAAATACAGCAAGTGGTGTGAAATGGGGTTGGAAAAGGTGGCGCAGGCCAGATCACTAGGACCAAGGAGTTTGAAATTTATTCCTAGTGCAGTATATCAGGTTGTATTTTTATCACTGGATAATCATAGAGTAAAACTAGCTTGATCTGATCCATGTAGAATGGAATATGAGCAAAAAATGTTTTGTATCTGGTTAGCTGCAGCATGGCAAGCCACAATTTCCCTCTAGGCTGTGTGGCACCCTGGAAAGAGAATGGGTGTCGGAGCCAGAGAGATCTGCTTTCAAATTCCAGCTCCATTGGTATACACCCCAAAGAATTGAAAGCAGGGTCTCGTATTGGTACACCATGTTCATAGCAGCACTGTTGACAAAATGGAATCCCCAAATGGAAGCAATCCAAGTGTTCATCGACAGAAGAATGATAAACAAATGTGGTATATAGGGTGAGCATGATAGCTTATGCCCATAATCCCAGCCGAGGCTGAGGCAGGTGAATCGCTTGAGCTCAGGAGTTTCAGACCAGCCTGGGCAACATGGTGAAACCTTGTCTCTACAAAAAACACAAAAATTAGCTGGGTGTGGTGATGCATACCTATAGTCCCAGCTACTTGGGAGGCTAGATGAGAGGATCACTTGAGCCAGGAGGTCGAGGCTGCAGTGAGCCAAGATGGTGCCATTGCACTCCAGCCTGGGTGAAAGAGTGAGACACTGTCTCAAAAAAAAAAAAAAAAAAGTGGTATATGCACAAAATGGAATATTATTCAGGCTTAAAAACAAGGGAAATTCTGACCTGCTACAACACGAACATGTTAAGTGAAATATGCCAGTCACTAAAAGACAAATACTGTATGATTTCACTTATATGAGGTAGCTAGAAAAGTCAAATTCATAGAGACTGAAAGTAGAACGGTGGTTAGAAGGGGCTGTGGGGAGGGAGGAATGAGTAGTTGTTGTTTAATGAGTGTAGACTTTCAGTTTTGCCAGATAAAAAGAGTTCTGGAGATTGGTTGCACAATAATGTGAATGTACTTAACATTACTTAAATGTATGCTTAAAGTGGCTAATGGTTAAGATGGTACATTTTGTGTTAAGCGTTTATGTTATGCGCAGCTAATTTTTGTACTTTTTATAGAGACGGGGTTTTACCATGTTGCCTAGGCTGGTCTTGAACTCCTGGACTCAAGCCTCCAAAAATGCTGGGATTACAGGTGTGAGCCACTGCGCCAGGCCCTGTTACTTGTTTTTAATTAAAAAATTCCAGCTCCATCACTTACTGATGGTGTGACTTGGTCAATTAATCCCTCTAGGCATGAGTTTTCTCATTTATAAAAGGAAGACAATATCTCATAGCTGTTCTGAAAACAGACTTCAGTGCTGTCTGCTTCCAATCTTACTTTGCATAATTTGGAATCTCAGGCTCCCCAGGCACACAGCTTAAAGAACCTTTCAGTGAATCCCAATTGAGTTGTCCTTGTACCTAGTACATAGTAGATGCTCAGTGAACATTTGTTGACTTGCTGGCTGACTGAATCCACTTATGTAGATATGATCTAAAAGGAAGCATATGTGTAGGGAGCTATGTGCCTAGTACATAGTAGGCATTCCATAAATGTTTATTGGACAGATGAATGTGTACACACCTGACCACAAACTGTGGCAAAACAACTTGCTTGCTCCAAAATGCACACATTTTTTCCCCCACGTTGTACCGTAATGGTTGCTTTAGAAAACAAACTGAAATCCCTACTGACTGAGTCTCATGTTAGCACTGTTGCTAGAAAAAAAAAAAAACACCCCAGATTTCCACAAGTATTGTAGTTTAAACAATGCAAAGTTATTCTCTTACAGTTCTGTGGGTCTGACATGGTCTCACTGGGCTAAAATCAAGGTGTCAGCAGGGGTATGTGCCTTCTGAAAGCTCTAGGGGAGGATCTCTTTCCTTGCGCATTCAGGTCGCTGGCAAAATTCATTTCCTCTGGTTGTAGGACTGAGATGTTGTTTCCTTGCTGGCTATCACTGAGGGACATTCCCAGCTTCTAGAGGCCACCCGAATTCCTTGACTCACGCCCAATTCTGCCATCTTCAAAGTCAGAAACTCTTCTTTCCTCTCACCTCTCTGACTCATTTTTAAGGAAACTGACCCCGTTTTTAAGGACTCGTGGTTGGATTAGGCTGTCCTGGGTAATGCGGGATAATCTCAGAGTACTTAACCTTAATCTCATTTGCACAGTCCCCTTTGCTATGTCGTAACATATTCAAAGATTCTGGGGATTAGGTCATGGATATATTTGGAGGGGTTATTATTCTACCTATTGCAGCATCCATTATCACTTTAGAATGGAATGGTTTCTCAGAACAGGCAGTTGTCTGTCTCCCAGCAAAGAGCTCCAGAAAACTAGGCCAATGAAAGGGAAATTTGGATGAAGGCAAGAGAGGTGAGGCACTGGCAGTAAATGTGATGGCAGGCCTGCAAGGGATGCTACAGAAAGAGGTTCCTGGTTTCATGGAATCCAGGTTATTAAAAGAAGAAATATTCACAAATGCCAGGAAAGTTAAATTTCATGTCTCTTACAATTTCCCTTCAGATCAGTTCTGCCAAAGATAAAGCGATCTTCACCTCTGTGAAAAACAGTAATTCCTTTCTCCATGATGTTCATGATTTGGTTGATGGGTTATTGGTTCATCGCTGCAATTATAATTGAAGGACATTGTCTTTGCTGGTTTGGTGAAGCTTCCAGATGTTATTAGAAGGGGTGTTCCTTTAAGCTCACCCAGCATTCTCTCACTTATAGCTGGGCATTAGCTATACAAGAGCTATTTGGTCTCTGAGAGCAAAGGTTCAGCCACTAAGGAAGGACCTGGTGTCCAACGTAGGCCTTTAGATTATTTCTGGAGCTTGTCTCCAGGGCCTAAGAGGTGACTCTGGCAGGACACCATCTGTTTCAACCCTATTTTTTTTCTTCTTTCTGCCTCGGCAATCCTCTTTTTTTCTTTTTCTTCCTTTGTCTCTTCTCTCCTTTCTAGTGTTCTGATGTTTTAGGATCAAAATAATGAAAAAGAATAGAAACCATTTCAACTCAGAAAATAATTCAAAGATGGGAAAAAGGTGTGTACCAAATTCATTGCTCTAATCATTTCTGTTCTGATAAAAGGAGTTTACAGCAAAGGAATAACTTTTCTGTGTCTCTGAGGCTTTGGAAAAACAAGGCATCAAGAAGCTTTGGGGTGTGGTGGGTGTGGTGGGGCAGCCTACTGCTTGTTGAGGTAATGCAAACTAAGGAGAAAGAGGTGTTAGCTTCCTCCGAGGCCAGGGCGTTTTAGGCTGCAGGTAAACCATGGATGTGGTTCTACAGATGTTGCCACAACAGGAAGACAAAATCTCACAGCTAACAGAGGTCACAGCTTTTGGAAACAGTGGTTGCGACACAGAGGAAACTCCCCCTCCCAGCCCTACCCCAAGCACATCCTTGCTTCTCTCAGTCACGCCAGTTACACCAACAGGGGCAGCTCTGGGGAGGACATTTGGAAAATAGTCAAGAGAGGGTGAAACCGCTGGCATGATGTCACCAACAAGAGGCTACCCCCTGGGGAAACCTAACAGGAAAAAGGTAGTTGAGCCAGGAAAAGCCACCAGACCCTTTCTCTTGGCTTGAGGCATCATATACATTTGAATAATAATCAAATTAACAATGTAATATGACTGTTTAGCAACAATGATGTGCTAATCATGGTTTTACATGGATTATCTTTAGTCATTAAATTCTCTACATCCTAGAGATGCGGAAATTGAGAATGAGAGAGGTTATGAGAGCTTTGAAAGGCCACAGAGCATGTGTTGTGGCTGAGATTCAAGCCCAGCTTTACTGATTTTAAAGCTTGTCTTCTCTTTCCCTCCCTTGCTTCCTTTTTTTTTTTTTCAATTTTCTTTCTTGCTTCATGTGCTTTTTTTTTAAAGAAATAAAATGTTACCCCCTCATCGATAATCCCTTTGTGTCTCTGCTGTCTGCCCTGTCCCACCCGCCTGCCATCCTTGCCAGCAGCAGCCTCTCAATTGAGGTTAGAGTTTCTCTCCCACCCTTCATTATGCATGTTCATGGCTATAAACAATCAGTATGCATGTTTTAAAAATTTACGTATATGAGAAAGAGCTTAAAGTATTAATTTACGGAGAAAAAAATACAAATGGCTATTAACCATCAGAAAAGATTCATTAAAAAAAGAGTAATAAAAATTCAAACCACATTGAAGCTGGGTGCAGTGGTGCATTCCTGTAGCCCTAGCTACTTAGGAGGCTGAGGTGGGAGGGCGGCTTGAACCCAGGAGTTAGAGGCCAGCCTGGGTAACACAGTGAGACTCCGTCTCTAAAAAAAAAAAAAAAAAAAAAAATTCACTAAAAAAACCCCCTTCACATTGAGATAGCATTTCAAAAATCTGCCAAATCGGTCCATACCCAAGATTTGATAACAGTGTATAGAAGCGGCTGAGGGAAAGACGCACTTAAACTTTGATTGTGGTGAGTAAACTGGTATAATCTCTGTAGAGGGCAATTTGACAACATATAACAAAAATGCAAATGCACAAATCTAGGTGTGGTGGCTCATGCCTATAGTCCTGGTACTTTTGGGAGGCTGAGGTGGGAGGATTGATTGAATCCAGGAGTTTGAGCCTGCAATGACCTATGATTGATCCACTGCACTCCAGCCTCGGCAACAGAGTGAGAAACTGCCTCAAAAAAAAAAAAAAAAAAGCAAATGGCAAATGCACAAAATTATAAAAGAAATCCCATTTCTTATAATTTATCTATAGATAAGTATATGTTTACACATGTTCAAAACTGCATGTGTTCAAGGTTATTCATTGCAGTATTGCTTGTAATAAAAAGACCAGAAATAGTTCACATATTCATTAACAGGGAGTGATTAAATAAGTATGGTGCATCGTTGTAACGGAATCATATGCAGTTGTAAATGAGAATGAAGGCACTCTCTGTACTAATATGGAAAGTTTTCAAATACATGTGAAGTGGAAAAAAAAGCAAGATGCAGAAGAATATATATAGCATGCTGTATTTTGTGCTAATGAAGGGGAAAATAAGCCTATGTATTAATTTTTTTTTGCATATGCATAAAGAAACTGAAAGTTTACATGCAAAACCTAATAGCAGTTTTGCATGTGGGATGTGGAAAGAGGGGCGGTATGAGGTATGGGAGAAGATTTTTAAATATATTTCTTAATTTTTTTTGAGATAGCCCATGTGGATGGACTATGTTACCTATTCCAAAAATTAAATTAAAAAGTTAAAGTGGTTTTATGCTGTACAAGTGATTCTGTAACCTTTTCCAATCAGGTTTATTTTATTTATTTATTTATTTTGAGACAGATTCTCGCTCTGTCGCCCAGGCTGCAGTGCAGTGGTGCCATCTCGGCTCACTGCAAGCTCCGCCCCCCAGGTTCACGCCATTCTCTTGCCTCAGCCTTCCGAGTAGCTGGGACTACAGGCGCCCGCCTCCACGCCCGCTAATTTTCTGTATTTTTAGTAGAGAAGGGGTTTCACCGTGTTAGCCAGGATGGTCTCGATCTCCTGACCTCGTGATCCGCCCGCCTCAGCCTCCCAAAGGTTTATCTTTCTGAATTTTTATCCGTGTGGTTGTGCCCTTGATTTTTCCATTAATTATGCTGCCTTGAACTGTAGAATTTTACAGCTGGAAAAGCTCTTGGAGAACACCTAGTTTCCAGCTTTTATATTACAGGAAAGAAAAATGAAGGTGCAGCAGTGGCAAGTAATTACTGAGAGTAGCTCAGCAAGTCAATGGCAGAATTGGGGGTTTGGCCTCAGACCTGACTCTGATTCAGAGGCTGGGACTGCCTTTCTTCACCCCATCCTCAACCAATGCCAAAGCCATCTGCCGAGTCTTAAGAAGAGATTGGTAACTTTACATGTTATCCTTTCCTAGGCACATTTGCATTCAAAAACAAAACAAAGATAACAACAGACAACAAAACCCAGTGGTCACTGTTGCAACTGATTGTTCAGACCTCAGAAGTCAGGGAGATGCTTTGGGATGAGAGATATGGGGTGGGATGGTAATAGTGGTTGGGCCGGTAGTCAAGGACACGGTAAACTTTCTAATATCTCCATTCTCCTACAAAATACATAAATCAGTTAAAGGAAAAGAAAAAGGCAAATAAAACAAAAAACAAAAAACAAAACAGCGAGGTTATCACTAGTTCATTCATATAAAGATTGTTTCTGTTTTCAGCTCAGGAAGAACTAATTTGAATTTTATATTAGTGATGACATTGCTATGAATATTATTAATTTAACTAGATCTTATTAGACTTTTTGTTGCCATAGTGACAATACAGGCACTAATAAGCCACAGAGTATGAGACCTCTGCAGGCAGAGTCATCTGGTGTATCTCTCCGCCTACATGCGGAACTCCTCTAAGCCGTTCTGACGGGTAAAGACCTTTTAGGATTTATGTTAATAAATAATGCCAGCCCTTCTGGAGTTCTTATAGTCAAGCACCGTGCCAGAAGTGGCAAGAATACAAAGACTCAGAAGAAATGTACTTCTGAGATGGCCAAATTCCTAGGCAGATAAAAAGGGGTCCCCGGAGAATCTCCGACTGGCCTGCTCACTGGGAGAACGGGGTGGAACCAGGGGGAGTTCACACTCTTTGCAGGAGGGAGGAGTCTGGCCTCTTCAGTTTCTGTGTGGTGGCCTGGTGTTCAGGCTGTGAGATGGGAGCCCACTGGCAGAATTCCTTCTTGCTTTGCTGAGAGTTTCTTTTTCCTTTTTTCCTTTTTGCCCAACAAATTCCTCTCTAAGCACCCTTCAGTATGTCCGCGCGCCTCATTCTTCCTGGTTGTGTGACAAGAACCCGGTTTTAGTTGAACTAAGGAGCAAAATTCTGCAACACTTCCACCACAAATTAAATAGCATACATGGGTGTTTTCTAAAATTTTATACAAAAATATTTCACTTATGTATTATTATTATTATTATTATTATTTTTGAGACAGAAGTCTCACTCTTGTCCCCCAGGCTGGAGTGCAGTGACGTGATCTCGGCTCCCTGCAACCTCCGCGATACTCCTGCCTCAGCCTCCCGAGTAGCTGGGATTACAGGCGCACACCACCACCCCCCGATAATTTTTGTATTTTTAGTAGAGAGGGGGTTTCACCATGTTGGCCAGGCTGTTCTCAAACTCCTGACCTCAGGTGATCCGCCACCGTGCCCGGCTATACAAAAATATTTTTAACAGTAAAGGAACAGAAACAATGTGTAGAGGCCTCCCTATGCTTGAAATTTTGGTCACATTTGGAATTTTAACTCATAATTTCATTCAAAATGTTGGATTCTACTCCATAATATAAATGTGTTTGCTTTAATGTCTATTAAATGTCTACATGTATAGTCTGTTAACTATTTTTTCTTCCTAGTCTTCTAGTAAAATTGATGCTCCAAGAAGATACACAACGTTGACCATGTGGATTCAGATATCTCCCGCTTGGATCTCAGCCTGGATCTTGTTGTTTGAGAAGCATAGATTAGCTACAGGTTGGTAAACTTTTTTGTAAGGGCCAGATAGTAAATATTTAAACAGTATAATGAGCCACACTGTTCCCGGACAGAACGAGGTCCTGCTGTCTGTTCTCGCGGTCCAATAAGGAGATGCAGACAGACTGGGAAAGAAGGGAGTTTATTTCTGCAACTGGTTACAGGGAGAAGGTTGGAGTAACTCACCAGACCAACTAAAATTAGAGGTTTTTCTCTAGTGCTTATGTTGCTGGAAGGAGGTCCCAATCCAGACCCCAAGAGAGGGTTCTTGGATTTCATAGAAGAAAGAATTTGAGGCGAATCCATAGGGTAAAGTGAAAGTAAGTTTATTAAGAAAGTAAAGGAATAAAGAATGGCTACTCCATAAGTAGAACAGCCCCAAGGGTGGCTTGTTGCCCATTTTTATAGTTATTTCTTGATGACATGCTAAACAAGGGATGGATTACTCATGCCTCCCCATTTTAGACCATGTAGGGTAAAGTCCTGACATTGCCATGATGTTTGTAAACTGTCATGATGCTGGTGGGAGTGTAGCAGTGAGGACGACCAGAGGTCACTCACATTGCCATCTTGGTTTTGGTGGGTTTGGGCCGGCTTCTTTACTGCAGACTGTTTTATCGGCAGGGTCTTGATGACCTATATCTTCTGCAGACCTCTTATCTTATCCTGTGACTAAGAATGCCTTCACCTCCTGGAAAAGCAGCACAGTAGGCCTTACACTTACTTTATCTAGCCCCTATTCAAGATGGAGTTGCTCTGGCTTAAATGCCTCTGATATGCCTACATGTGGGGCCTGGGGTCTGGAAAATTACTTCAGAGGCTTGCAACAATTACTTAATCTAAAGTAGGTCCTGGTACAAGGTGTGCAAGAACACCTCCATTATTTTAATTAAACTCTAAGGTCTGAGAAAGCCCAAGTGCGGTCTTAATGGACTTGTTTTCACATTCTAACCTTTGTACTAAGGCACCAGTTTCTCCAGTTCTTTAATGTTTTACTTATATGTTCATCAGAGTGACAATAAGGTATTGGTGAAGGCTAACTGCTCTGGTGGCTAATGGAGACCTGGCCTGCCACAACACTGTTTCTGTTACATGCCCTCAACCCAGCCATTATAGCAAAAAACGGCCAGAGATAGTATGTAAATGAATTGGCATGGGTGTGTTCCAGTAAAACTTTACTTATAAAAACAAACAGATTTGGCCAATGGCCTGCATTTGGCCTGTAGGCTGTAGTTTACCAATCCCTGGATTAGAAAATGCCCCAAGAGTTCATAAAAGGGAAATTTTTGGCCGAGTGTGGTGGCTCACCCCTGTAATCCCAGCACTTTGGGAGGCTGAGGCGGGCAGATCCTGAGGTCAGCAGTTCGATACCATCCTGGCCAACATGGTGAAACCCTGTCTCTACTAAAAATACAAAAATTAGCTGGGTGTGGTGGCGCACGCCAGTAATCTCAACTACTCGGGAGGCTGAGGCAGGAGAATGGCTTGAACACGGGAGGTGGAGATTGCAGTGACCCGAGATCGTGCCACTGCACTCCAGCCTGGCGACAGAGTGAGACTCCATCTAAAAATAATAATAATTAAAAAAAGGCAAGCTTTTTCAGCTGGAAAAAATAAGGACGAAGAGTGGAAGTGGTAATTCTATTGGTTATTGAAGGCTGCACAGTATTTCAAACAGCAGAGAGGAAATGTCAGCATTATTGGTAGAGAACCAATATAAGCAAAGGCAAATGTCTTGGGGCTTATATGTAGATGGCAGTGGGGGACAGGGAGGACAGTAATTAGATCAGTTTGACTGAAGGAAGAAACTCGTGTCAAAGAGAAACATTCTAAATCATCAGGGCTGGAAGAGACTTTGCTGATCATTTGCTTTTCATTGTACAGATGGGGAAATTAATGTGGGCGATTTCAGATCTGGAAAGAATAAAGAGTGGCATGCCTCGAATACTGTCTTAGTTCGTTTTGTGCTGCTATTACAGCATGCCCAAGATGGGTATTTATAATGAACAGAAATGTATTGGCTCTTTCCTGGAGGTCAGGAAGTCCCAGATTGAGGGGTGACATCTGTCAAGGGCCTTTTTGCTGCATCATCCCAAGGTGCAAGGGCAAAGAGAGGGAGGGAGAGAGAGAAAAGGGGACCAAACTTACCCTTTTATGGCAAACCCACTCCTGTGATAATGGCATTAATCTATTCATGAAAGGTGGATCCTCATGGTCCAATCACCTCTCATTAGGCCCTGCCTCCAAATACTGTTGCATTGGAGATTAAGTTTCCAACAAATAATTTTGGAGGGCACATTTAGACCATGGCATTCTGTACCTGACCCCCAAAACTCATGTCCTTTTCACATGCAAACTACATTCATTTCATTCCAATAGCCCCAACATCTTAACTGTTTCAGCACCAATTTAAAAGTTCGAAGTTTAGAGTCTCATTTAAATTAGATATGGGTGAGACTCAAGGCACAATTTATCTTGAGTTAAAAGCCCTCCAGCTGTCAGCCTGTGAAATCAAACAGATTATCTACTTCCAAAATACATTAGTTGAATGAGCATAAGATAGACATCCCCATTCCAAATGGAAGAAATAGGAAAGAAGCATGGAGAAACAAGTCCCAGGCAAGTTCAAAACCCAATTAAGATGAATAATACTGAATCCTAAGGCTTAAGAATAATATTTTTTCACTCAGTGTCCTACCTTTTTGTATAATGGGTTGGGGGTTGGTCCCCTAATGCCTTGGCAACCCTGCCCCTATGGGGGGTTAGGGAGAGCTAGGCCTGTGCAGCAGCTCTCAGGGGTTGAAATCTCATGCCTGCAGCTCCTCCAGGCTGTTATCTCATGGTGGTGACTCTACAGTTCTGGGGTCTTGGGGGTGGACTTACCCTCATGGCTCCACAAGGACTAGTAGGGACTTTCTGCAGTGGCTCTGATCCCAGAGTTCTGCTGGGCATTGCCCTAGTGGGGGCTCTCTGCGGTGACTCTGCCCATGAGAAAAGTTCTGCCTGGGCCTCCAGGCTGTCTGAGACATCCTTTGAAATCTAGGTAGAAGAAGCGATGTTCCCACAGCTCTTGCATTCTGTGTACCTGCACACTTAACACCACACGGATACTGCTAAAATTTGCCATTTGGGGTGCTGTGCCAGGATTCAGAGAGCAGAGACTTGACCTGGCCTGGAGCCAAGGCCCCGTGGATGCCCTAGGCCTTTCTTTTGATGTATTTTCTTTTTCCAGGCGTTGTCATTCTGAGCCTGCAATAGGAAGGTCTGCATCAGTAATCTCTCATGTGCCTTTGGGGTCATTCTCCAGTTGTACTGATGAATAACCTCCAGCTTTATTCTATCCATGCTAATCTCCTTATCAAATGGTCCTTTGGGCACATCCTTGGTTTCCTAAAAATTTTTTTTCTCTCAAAAAAAATCTTTTTTTATTCTCTACTATATAGCCAGTCTGAGAGTCCTCCAAATCTCTATTTCTCTTTTAATTTTAAATTCTGTCTTTAAATAATTTCTTTTTCTTGCATTTTACTCTATGCAGTTAAGAGAAGCCATGCTGCTCCTTCAGTATTTTGCTTAGATATTTCTTCCACCAGACACCCTAGTTCATTGCTCTTAAATTCTGCCTTCTGTAAAGCTCTTGAGCACGCACACAATTCAGCCAAGTTCTTTGCCACTTAACAAGGATGGCCATGACTCCAGTTTTCAATAAGGTATTCTTCATTTCCATCTGAGGCCCAATCAGTATGGCCTTTACTGCTCATATTTCTATGAACATTCTGATTATGATGGCTTAAGTAAAGTTTCAGACTTCCTCTATAGCTCTCCTCTTCTTTTGAGCCCTTACCAGCATCATCCTCAAAGTCCATTTATAGTAATTTTGGCTTTTTCTAGCCTGCTCCTCCAAATTCTTTCAGCTTCGTTTAATTACATAGTTGTGAAGCTGCTTCCACATTTTCAGGTATTTGTTGTAGTAACAGCTCCACCTCTTAGTGCCAATTTTCTTTCTTAGTCTGTTTTGTTCTGCTGTAACAGAATACCACAGACTGGGTAATTTATAATAAACATAAATCTATCAGCTCATGCTTCTGGAGGCTGGAAAGTCCAAGATCGAGGGGCTGCATGTGGTGAGGGTCTTGCTGCATTTTCCTATGGCAGGAGGGCAGAGAGCAAGAGAGAGAAAGAGAGAGAAAAGGGGACCAAAGGTACTCTTTTATAAGGAACCCACTCCTGCAATAAAGGCATTAATTCATTCACGAGGGTATAGACTTCATGGCCTACTCACCTCTCATTAAGATCCACCTCCTAACACTGTTGAGTTGGGTATTAAATTTCCAACTCATGCCTTTTGGGGGACACATTCAAACTATAGCAAATACTAAGTTAAGGAAGTTTCAGCTCTGTCTGGCAGCCTCATAATATTTCAATGCTTCATCATTTGAATGCTTATTAATTAACCAACTTCCTGTATGCCATGTGATCAGATGTCACAAGAGGAGTTCCTTTGGGATGAACTTAGTTCTTTGTGCACCATTGTGAAGTAACACTGTAGTGATGGTGACAAGACACATCTGGAGCAGTTACCTAGACAAGCACCAAGTATTAGAAGCCTTAGTGTTTCAATTTGCCATCAACTTGCTCTGCAAGCCCAGACCAAACCCTGAGCTTCCCTCTGGCTTTCTCTTTGGTTAAACAAGAAGCCTTTATCTTCATCTCTCCATCAGAACCAGTGGCCTGCTCCTCTCTCCCTTCTCTGCTTTCATTGTCCACCAACACTGAAGTCATAAATGACTAGAGGGAGCTGGAGTGTGAGGGTCCAGAAACTTGTATGATCCAGGTATTCGTTTATTGATTTTTTTTCAAGTAATTAGTGAGCATTTACCATGTATGAAGTGCTGAGGATAAATAATGAGCAAGGCAAGCAGGCTTCTGCCCTCACAAAGCTCATATTCTAGTCCTGCGTATGTGTGTTGGTGGGGGAAATGTAAACAATATACAAGTAAACAAACAAATGAAAGAATTTCAGATGGAGATAAGTGCTATGAAGTAGAACAAGGTATTGTGATAGTGACTAGAGCAGTGCCTGTGGCTAGTCTAGTGAGGGAAGACCTCTTTGAGGAGAGACGTGGATGTTGAGAAGAGCCAAAGAAGAAGCACTCCAGCCAGAGAACCCTGAGTATGCTGTGTTGGGGATACAGAGAGAAGGCCTGTTGACTGTGGGTTAGTAGTCAAGGGGAAATGCATGGCAGACAAAGAGAAAGAGGTGGACAACACAAAGAAATCAATGAGTTTTAATCTGGTCAATTGAGTGACTGGACAA
This sequence comes from Homo sapiens, assembly GCF_000001405.40. Lineage (NCBI taxonomy): Eukaryota > Metazoa > Chordata > Mammalia > Primates > Hominidae > Homo > Homo sapiens. The sequence continues at coordinate 159,421,956 of NC_000005.10, forward strand.
TTGCTTCTATTTTTAAAAGAGCGTTCAAGCTGTTACCTGTAGAATGGTTTGAAAGGGATAATAGTAGAAAAGGTAAGATGATAGGCAAGGTTGTCAGGCACAGTGGCTTGTGAATATAATCCCAGCTACTTGGGAGGTTGAGGCAGGAGGATCACTTGTATCCAGGAGTTCAAGATGAGCCTGAGCAACACGGCAAGACTCTGTCTCTTTAAAAACACAAAAAATTAGCCAAATGTGGTGGCATGTGCCTTGAGTCCCAGCTACTCAGGAAGCTGAGGTGGGAGGATCACTTGAACCTAGGAGTTCAAGGCTTCATTGAGCTATGATCATGCCACTGCACCCCTGCCTGGGTGACAGAGTGAGACTATATATATATATATATATATATATGGCTATTTCAGTAGTCCAGGTGGGTGCCAAGATCAAACATCACAGTGGAGACTGAGAGAAGTGGCTGGATTTAGGATCTGTTCTGGAAGCAGAAGAAACAGGACCTGTTGAGGGATTGGATGTGATGTCCTTGGTAGTGATGGTAAAAGGAAAGCAGAAATCAAGGATGACTCATTAAGTTGGAGCTTGAACAACTAGGTCGGTGGCGTGCCTTTTTTTTCTTTTGAGTGGAATGTTGAGAGATGAACAGTTTGAGTGGGAGGTGTGGTAGTCCGTAGGTCTGTTGTGGGTGTGCTAAATTGGAGATGCCTCTGAGACTCCAGGTAAGGATATGCAGTCGGCATGTGGAAGTACTTTTCTTTGGTGTCTCCAGTCTTAAAGGATTAGCATTCTCTCTAACACTCATATAATAATCCCAGCCTTGATTTGTTCGACCATGTATTTTATAATATTCCCTCCCCCCTGGAATTTCTGGGACTCCTTAGAGATATATTGATTCAATGGGATCCATCCTAGTTTCTGCATTTCACCTCTGCCAGCCATCCTGCCCCCACCTCTGTTCAACCCCTTGCCACTACCTGGCTCCCTCTGCCCACCTACTTGGCCCCACATGGTCATCTTTAAGGGACTGATATATGCTGTCAAATTAGTCTTCCCAGAGATTAAGCCATTTGCATTCCCATTAGCAGGGCAGGATTTGTCCATTTCCCCACATTTTCACCAATATCAGGCACTAGCCAGTTAGATAGATGGTAACACATTTCAATTTGCATTGCAAAGATATGCTCCTGAACAGCAGAGTATTCTATGTCTGTAAATAGAAACACAGAATCAATTCAAGTGCCCAGAAACCACATGCAATTATTAGGGAATTTCAGGATGCAGATGATAACAACAGTTAACATTTGTTGAGATCTCGTTATGTGCCGGGCACTGTACTAAAGCACTCTGCAGGTATTATTACAACGTCTTGATAGGGTGGATGTTATGATCAGCCTTCATTTTCTAGATGTGGAAACTGAGGCAAAGGGAAATTAAGTCATTTGTTCAAGGGGCAGAGCTGGAATTCAGATCCCAGGTCTGTCAAAGCCTAATCCCAGCCAGCCTTCCTTCTGTTGCTCCAACGGGGAGTCCTACTCAAAACTGTTCCTGGTCCTGTATGACAGCATTGATAAGACTCCTGGAAATTTTTGTTACTTCCTAGCCTCCACTTTCTACCTTCCCATTTTCTCCTAATTTTCTCAATCTTTGTTGGGGTTTTCTCCTTCTTGACACCTGGCCAATATAATCCTGCAGGATCCTCACTCAACAAAACATCCCAGTCATGAGTGGGGCAGGTAAGGAAAGCCTCCCGCAGGTTTACAGGGTTGGGAGGGGACTCCCTGGCAGGTAGACCGCCATCTCCTCCACCTCGCTTTCCTACTCACAGGAGTGAGGTAAACTTTGTTCTTTCCTGATAATAATAATGAGATAAAGTATATTGAGGGCCTACTGTTTGTGCATGCACTGTTTTAAGTACTACAACTACCCAATGGGGTACTCACCATGATAGAAATTTTATGTGCATATTGTAAAAAATGTGAATAATAGAGTATCTAAAGACTGCCACTGCTAAGATATTGGTGTATTCCCTTCCAGTATTTTTGCCTAACATAAGTATTTTTAATATTTTTCTAGAATGCCATGTCATACATCCAATAAAATTCAACTCTGCAAGCATGAGAGAGAAGAGGAAGGAAAAGAGAGAATCTGAAGTGTGAGTGATTCTGTTTACCATTCCACAGAGTAAGTGGCTGCCTGGGAGTGTGTGTGAGATGGGAGTGGGAGAGAATCTTCTGTTCTTCCCTTGGACCTCAGTTCCACGGAGCTTTTCAGCGTGTAAAACATCTTACCATGGACATTCTGGGTTTCGGTTTAAAAAGATGTATTTTTGGTTTGACACAGTCTCTCACTGAAACCAGCTGCTTCAGCTGACAGTCAAACTAAGAGTCAAGGATTAACTGTACAGTTAGGGACACAGCAGCCATGGCAAAACTTACTGAGAAATGGCCATCTCCCATGTAGCATTCTGCTAAGGGATTTCAAGGGCATTTTGACTTTTGACTTTTTTACCTGGCACGCTGACTTGGCGAGCTAACCCCTGTGCAAGATGCCACTCAAGAAGCCACTCCGTTGTTTATAATTAAGACAGCAGGTGAGGTGGCCCTGTACTTTGAGATTTAAACAATAGTGACTTAAGCTCTTTCTCCTGTTTTCTGTAGGAAGTCCAGCATGCTTACTGAGACTCCCTCCATCCCTGGGGCTGACAGTCCCGTGGGTTTGTTCTGGCTCTAGGTGTCCACCCCCGAGGAGCTCTGAATTCACAGTGTCGCATGAAGGGACAGCACCCTGCTCTCCCTGTGCAAGGCACTGAGCTTCATGTCAAACTTGGCCTCTGTGTTTTGTTCCCACCAGGCCCTTCTCCCAAGAAATGTACACGTAGCAAACTTTACTCAAAGTGTGAGGACTCAGGAGGGATTTTAAAAAATCATAAAAATGCCGAGTTTAAAATTAGATCGTATTAGTGTTGTTTTCCTTAGAAGGAAGAAAAAAAGTTTAAAAATTAAAAAAAGAGATAAAATTAGATCTTATATATCTCTCTCCTGGAAAGTTCCTTAACAGCCTTGCTGTAGGGGAAATGTCTTTCTCACCGAACACTTTTCTTGGAAGATTCCGGCCTTCCACCTTGTTGTTTGCCTTCTCTGTCTGTAAAACATTCAAATTCTCTCATTTATCCTAGAAGGCAGTTTAGCTCTACAGCCCCTACACAGTCCTAGACCTCCTTTCTGTATCTACTATTAAGTACCATTCACACCAAGGGTCACCTACTCTGAGTTTCAATCATTATTAATAAAGAAGGGAAAGTGGAGGCTTTGAAATTCCCATATTTTCTTCATGTCTCTCCACCAGTCTTTGTAAGTGAAATAGAGGCTGATAGAGATTTACTTTCTCATTGATATTAACTATGCTTCTCCTCTTAGAAGACAGAGGCATCTGTAGTCAGTGTCAAATATTTCCCACCCTACCATATATATATATGAAATACATGGATTATGTTCTATGGACAATTGGGTATCTTGTTTGTTTTAGTTACTATTGCTGTATAACAAATCATTCCAAACTTACAGGTTAATCAACAACAATTTATTATGCCCACAGATTCTGCAGATCAGGGATTTGAGAGGATCATGGTGGAATCACTTGTTTCTGTTCCATGATGTCTGGGGCCTCAAATGGGGAGATACAGAGGTTGGGGATGGCTTCGTGGGTGAGGGCTAGAATTATTAAGAGGGTTATCACTTACATGCCTGGCAGTTGATGTAAGTCATCAGCTGAGATGTCAGCTGGGGACATCCACTGAAATACCTACTCATGGCCTGTCCATGTGGTGCCTTAGGCCTCGTCACAGCATGGTGGCTGGGTCCCAAGAGTGAGCATCTCAAGAGAGCAAGGTGAAAGTGCATGACATTTTAATGAGTCAGCCTTGAAAGTCACATAATGTTAGTTCTGCACTATTCTTGGTCAAGGCAGACACTGAGATCTGCCCAGCTTCAAGGGGACGTGGCAAAGACCCCATCATTTGATAGGAGGATCGTCGAGGTCACATTGTAGTGAAAGCCTGTGAGACGAGTGGTGATGTTTCTGCCATGTTGGAAAATGCAATCTGCTACACTGCTCTTTTCATTTAACATATCATACCATTAAAATAATCCATCAACTCTGTGAATACATCCATAGAACTTATTCATTTACTAGTTCCTTAGTATAGGACTTTTCTCATCACTTCCCCATAAGAGAGAAGAAGGAGGTATGGTTATTTTCCTTCCCTAAAACCAAGAGAGAGAGGCCCAAAGAGAATTATTTGACAAGTGGGATTCCTATTCCTGCAGTGTCGACTCCATTAATTTGGGGTCTGTTATCTTTCCTTTGATGGTTTTTGAGTCTTGGACCAGCAGGAGCACCTGAGGCTGCTTAGGACATGGATATAGGGGTCTGTGGCTTCTCAGGTGTGTCAAGGACACATACATTTCTCCTGGGTCGAGGGAACACCTTAGGAAGTGGGACTTGAGCTGTTCTGCCATTATTCCCCAAGTGGGTTTCCCACTGGATGAGATACCCCTGGTAGAAGGAAAGTGTGGGGAAGACTGTGGTTGGGGAGGAAAAGGAAAGGAAGCAGCTGGAGCCCTAGCCAGGCCACCCATGTAGGTGAATATGCAGGGGATGGCCCTACGACATTCTCCAAAGAACCCAATGGATGAGCCCCATGAAGGAGCCACACAGCAGGAGTCAAAGCTCAGTCTGCATTATCCAGGAACCAGTGACCACTGAAATAAAAAGGATCAGCTCCTCATCATAAGCAGCTAAATGAGGAAACATCTCTGTCCTTCCCTCTTTCCATCCTGCCCCAACAGCAGAGGGCATGCGCATAGGAGATGGCGTGGTGAGAAGAGACCATCCTCTTTCCCCTACAACCTTTAAGCAGCTTAGAAACTCAAGTCTAGGTTTGTGTATGTGTTTGGGCGTGGTGAGGAAAAGAGAGTCATTACAAGAAAACAAGTTTCAAGTTTTGAAATGCATGGGACTGAGTCCTACAGAAACAAAAATGTCACTGAATAACCCTTAATAACTGGAAATAAATGGAATTGCACTAAGATGATGTCAAGCACCATTAAAGAGGATTTGAGAACACACAGTTGGTGGCAATTCTGTGTTTGAAACAGTGGTAAGCTGAGACTCCTTGATAAACTAGGTACAATTGTAGTTATTGGGTATCAGCCTTTTTTAAAGACTTAATTCTTAGCCAAAATGCCCTTCCAGGAAGGCTGTACTTTTCCCAGCTCCTTGAAGATGCCCACTTCACGGGATGACATTTATTCAGGCCTGGAGAGGTGCAATCTCATTATGTGGGTCATTAGAGCAACACATTAAAGGCGACAAAGGGAGTGTCGCCAAAAGACTTTGTAGCAAGTTATGTGGAAGTGAGCAAGAGAACACGACTGCCTCACCTCTTGGGGGTGGCGAAGGGTTATGTTTAGATGGGGTGTATATGAGTGTCTGGGGTTTTTTACTCATATTGATGGCCAAATTATTTTCCCCTTCTGATTCCCTTTGAGAATCCACTTCACTACCTGCTTCTTGCTGCAAACTGGGAGTTGTAAAATCAGAGAGTCTAGGGTGTCACCCGAATTGCCCTCATGTATGGCATAGCTGTGTGTGTAGAGCAGAACGAGGTAGGGAGGAAAAGTCATGCTGAGCTCAGGCTGAGAAAGAAGAGGGAATCAGAAAGATGGGCCATTTGAAAGCAAAACTGCCTTGAAATCTCTAATAGGCTCTGTCTTGCAAACAAGAAGGGGAAGATAGGGTGAGAGGGGATGTTAGTTTTTAGCAACTGTTTTAAAACTGACAACAGAGGAAGAGAGACCAGACCACAAAGTTAACATTTGCAACTTAGGCATCATTTGATTGTTTAAAAAAGTCCCCAGTCTTAGGAGGGGCTGTCCTTGGGTGAAGGGTTCTGTTTTGAACTGGAGGGAGATCTGGGTGAAGCATGGATGAAGTATATACTCCCTTCCTCAAATCACTCTCCATCTGCATCACCTGATGCTGGAAATCCCCAGGATTAGCTTTTATAAAGTTTTGGCTACATTATGAAGTTCATTTAATGCCTTCCACAATGGCGTCTCAATTTACAGGTGAGCTAACTGAGGCTTGGAGCAGTTAAGGCAATGAGTGTAAGTCTGCGCAGCTGGTGAAGCACACAGCCCAGGATTTGGACCTAGATCTGTCCGATTCTAAATTCTTTCGATCACACCAGTGGCCCCAGCAGATGCTCACTCCTTTAGATTAAGTACCCTCTCCGTCAACTGCATTACACAGTTTCTTAAGCAAATAGCATGGAGGCTCAGACTATGAGCTTTGGAGTCAGTAGGGCTTGAATTTAAATTTTGACTCCAGCCTTGATCATTTATGTGACTTTGGGCACACAACGCAAAGTCTACTCAAAAAAAGCTGTGAGGAGGATGTGCAGCACAGCTGTGGTAAACACTCTACTAGATTATTATTATTGTTATTATTATTATTTTGAGACGGAGACTCTCTCTCTGTCGCCCAGGCTGGAGTGCAGTGACACGGCCTTGGCTCACTGCAGCCTCAACCTCCTGGGCTCGAGCCATTATCCTACCTCAGCCTCCCAAGTAGCTGGGACAACAGGTGCATGCCACCACGCCTGGCTAATTTTTGTTTTTTAATTGAGATAGAGTTTCACTATGTTGCCCAGGCTTGTCTCAAATTCCTGGGCTCAAGAAGTGATCCTCCCACCTCAGCCTCCTAAAGTCCTGGGATTACAAGTGTAAGCCACCACGCCTGGCCTATTGTTAATTTTTAAAAAGCTGTTGTCTCTCTTTGATCCATAAGTGTGTGATAATAGAACAGGAGGGGGACAGTTAACAATGATCAGAACACTAGCTAACACTTCTTGAGCACTTAGGATGCATCAGACACTGTGCGAATTGCTTTCCATGGTACTATCTTAATCTTCCTAACAATTCAACGATATGTACCATTAGTCAACCTCAACGTATAAATAGAAAGCACATCCAGCTACAGGTAGAGGAGCCAGGATCTGAACCTAGGTGGGTGAACTCTGGAGCCTGTGCTTACACCAGGAGGTAAGCTTGCAGGGGCCCTGCGGGACTTTGGGAGTAGATGGGGATGCTTAAGGAGGGTTGAGTAGGAGGCTGTGGTCCTGGGGTAGTGTGTGGGCTTTGGGCATTGGAGGGTGGGGAAGAAGGTGACAAGAACGGGGTGAGATAAGGTAACCATGGAGTGGGGATTTGGACATTTGAAACAGTTGTCACCTGTAGGATGATGTCTTAGTTCATTCTTGCACTGCTATAAAAGCACACCTGAGACTAGGTTATTTATAAAGAAAAGAGGTTTGATTGGCTCACAGTTCTGCAGGCTGTACAGGAAGCAAAGCAGCTTCTGCTTCTGGGGAGGCCTTTGGAAGCTTCCAATCATGGCAGAGGGCAAAGGGGGAGTGAGGTATTTCATGGGGCAGGAGCAGGAGCAAAAGAGAGTGAGAGGAGGAGGTGCTGCACACTTTTAAACAACCAGATCTCGTGAGATCTCACTCACTGTCATGAGAACAGCACCAAGGAGATGGTGCTAAACCATTCATGAGAAACTGCTCCCATGATCCAGTCACCTCCCATGGGGCCCCACCTTCAACACTGGAGATAATAATTCAGCCTGAGATTTGGTGGGGACACAGATCCAAACCATATCGGATGGTTTCCAGGGAAAGGCATTTGCATCTGAATCCCAAAGGCGAATCACAGACTGTCAGGGCTGGGAGTTCCTTAGACATGGTCTAGTCTGATGGTCTTTTAAACTGTACATATGGAAGCTTAGAGTCCGTCAAGGGTATGAATCGATAGAGGCAGTGGGATGGAGGCTGAGCAAAGGGGTCTTCAAGACCTTCTGGTTTGCATCAACCAAAGTCGTTCCATTTCTCTTTTTACCCTTTTTGTTGTTGTTGAGGTACAGCTTATATATAATAAAGCACACGAATTTCAATTCATGTGATGAGGCTGGGCATGGTGATGCATGCCTGGAATCCCAGCATTCTGGGAAGCTGAGGTGGGTGGATATCTTGAGCTCAGGAGTTCAAGACCAGTTTGGGCAACATGGCAAAACCCCAACTCTACAAGAAATACAAAAATTAGCTGGGCATGGTGGCTCATGGCTGTAGTCTCAGCTACTTAGGAGGCTGAGGTGGGTGGATCACTTGAGCCCGTGAGGTTGAGGCTGCAGTGAGCTTTGATTGTGTCACTGCACTCCAGCCTGGGTGACAGAGTGAGGCCCTGTCTCAAAAGATACATGAAATAAAATAAAGCCTGATGAGTTTGTATAAACTTATGCACCCATGTAACCACAGATCAAGATAAAGAATCTTTCCAAAGTCCCAGTAAGCTCTCTCTGGTTCTTTCCCATCAGTGCTGTCACCAAAGAGAACCACCATTTTCATATTATCTGTTTTCGAACTCATATAAATGGAATCGTAGAGCATGCGTTCATTTTGTCTAACTTCTTTTGTTCAAAATTATGTCTGGGAGATTCATCCATGTTCTAGCATGTAGGAGCCGCCCACCCTTTTTCATTGCTGTGTAGTATTCTGTTGTGTGACTATACCAGAATTTATTTAGCTTTTCTGCTTTTGATGGACATTTGGGTTGTTTCCATATTTTGATGTTATGAACATAGCTGCTATGAACACTCTTGCACAGCCTTTTTGGGGAAAAACGAACACATTTCTGTCGGGTATATACCCAGAGTGGTATTGCAGGGTTACTGGGTGGCTGCATGTTTAGCTTTGGTGGGTAGGGCAGCTCTATTTTTGAACAGATGTTTCATAGAGTAGGAATCCTCATGTAAGATTTTGCCTGGAGAAAGGGTGTGATTGCTTACATTTTTCTTTACATGGAAAAAGTTTCAATTCCTGTAGTGCAATCTTCTGCATTTACAGATGGTGAAACTGACACTCAGAAAGTGATTTGCTCAGACTCAAACTGCGGTAAAGCCACAGCCAGATCACTAGACTGAACATTTTGTATTGACTTTCAAACTCTGTGAAACAGATCCTAAATATCACTCAAACTGGTTGCTGGTCAGATGTGGACAGGAACCCATAATTAGAGTCAGAAGCCTTGGGTTCAGTCTCAAAACTCTCACTAACAAATGTGTGAGTCAGGGTGAGGCACTGCTGTGGACCTCCATCTCCCTAACAGGGAAATGGATGTATTTGCTTCACAGCGTTGCTGGATGGAAGGAGGTAATGATGGGGAGACATTTTATAGCTGGGAAGCTCTTAGCAAATTGTTATTATCATTATCAAAATGTATTCTAAGGGGATGCTTGGGCAAGCATGCTGTTTTCTTGTGGTATGAATGTTTATTCACTATTTTCTGTTTTATATTTTAGCCTGAGTTAATAGTTTTTAATGAACATTTCTTCCCCCTCATTAAAGAGCTAGTATGGCAGTTAGTATTTTCCGGAGATAGCCACACCAAGTATAGCCCATCCTCCATGCTGCTCTTACACTGGGGACATTTTTATAATGAGACACACCTGCATTGAAGCGGGGGTCTGTGTTTCCTCCCCTTGAACCTGGGCAGGCTTTTGTAACTGCCTTGACTCACTGAAAGTGCAGAAATGGCAGTGCGCAAGGAGGAATGCAGAGTTAGAAAGGAAAAGTCTAGATTTCGGGGTGTTTCCTGCAGAGAACAGAAACCCTCCCTGGGAGGAGACACTGCTGTGGCTTTTACTTTTCTGGTTTTACACTGTGGTCCTATTCACTTTTCAGATTTCTTCATTAAAACCTTCCCCCAAAGAGGAAAGCCTATGTCTAGGAACCACCCTGACAAGTTAAAGCTGAGGTGAGAACTGAGTGCTCCATAGCTTCCAATTCAGGCAGAGTTTTAGTCATTTTGGGGGAGCCTGTTGACTCTGGGAGAAAGGCCTAGAGCTCAGATTATCCTGGGGTTGTGGGGGCTGGGAACAGGAGCTTTGAGTGACAGTATACAGGGGAATAGTGACAGCTCCCCTTTGCCTGAGGGGCAGATGGACTCCTAGCACCCAGAACCCTAGACGCAGAATGGCGCCCATGGGGGTGAGTGGTCGAGAGGCACACAGAGAGAGCTGGATTTCTGCCCCTTGACTTTCCCCTCCCTGAGAGCTCCAGGTTTCCAAGAAAAAAGGTCCTCACCACAGTTCTAAAAATAATAACTATCTTGGCTGGGCACAGCGGTTCACACCTGTAATGCCAGCACTTTGGGAGGCTGAGGTGGGAGGTTTGCTTGAGCCCAGGAGTTGGAGACCAGCCTGGGAAACATAGTGAGATCCTGTCTCTACAAAAAATACAGAAAACTTAGCCAAGCGTGGTGGCTCCTACCTGTAGTCCCAGCTACTCAGAAGGCTGAGGCAGGATGATTGCTTGAGCCCAGGAGTTGAAGGTTACAGTGAGCTATGACCACACAACTGCACTTCAGCCTGGGCAACAGAGAGAGACCATGTCTCAAACACATACATTCAACACATACATACATGCCTTATATGTGCAAATCACTTTACATACTGGGAGGCAGTTTCATACATGTGACTTTTTTTTATTTTTCCAATGACCCTGTAAATAAACCAGAGAATTGTATCATCGTCATCATCATCTTAATGTTATGTTTAAATAAACTGAGAGGGTGAATAAAGGCTTCACCCAAGGTCACACAGTAGCAGGTGGAAATGCCAGTGGGAAAACCAGGTATTCTGGCTTCGTGAGTTTTCTTTCATTGCATTGCATACTTGATCCGTGGAGGGGTGGGAGTTTGGGGCACACAGCAGATCAATGGCAGAGCTAACTTGGGGGAGAGGCACCTTTCACCCCTCAGATTGCCCCCAGAAGGTAGCTGTCTCTTTGGCTGGCAGCATGGTGTTGATTCTATGTGAGAATAAAATGTCCTGGGCTGGCCACCTCTGCCCCACCTTTGTCCCCCTACCTCCACCACCCCATGACTCCCCAGCCCCTATCAGAAAAGAACCATTCTCAGTCATTTACACCCTCATTACCATTTAAGGGCTTATGCTTTCTCTTTTAGCAATATTTGCTTTTAAATCTTATCGCTTATTATGATTTTTGTCTCCTGGAAAACATGGTTTCTGGCATCAGTAAGCTGATAGAAAAGCATTATCTCAGGGGCAGGGTGGGAGTGAGTGAGAGAGATTTTATAGACACCCTCCTCGTGTGTCAGCAGATCCTAGCTACTTGAATCACAGCAAGTCACTTATCAAATATCTGAGTGCTGGATGCCCGGGACAGAGTGATGAATAGAAAGTGGTCCATGCAGGTGCTGGGATACAGCATGAAGAGAGTGCAGTTCATGGCAGGGGCCACAGACTGGTGGGCGAGACAGGCAAGGAAGCAAGTAATTATGATCTGCTAAGTGCTACTATAGCTGTAAGTGTTCAGGGTGCCTGGGAGCATGAAGTAACTGGGGTCGGAGTGGGGTGGAGGTGATGTTGTTTGGCGGAATCTGGAAAGGTAATAGAACTTCCCTTTATTGAATATCTTAGTCCAGATACTCTAGACAAGCAAATCTGAGGGATCGTGTGCTCAAACCAGGGCAGGAGTGTGACCTTAGGGAAGAAGGCATGAGGGAAAGGGCGTGCGGTGGTGAAGGAGGAGAGTAACGTGAAGGAATGTGTTACGGTTGTGACCACCGTTCTGCAGCAGCCCTGTAGGCTACTCCATCTTGCTGGACAGTCCCAAGAGGTCTTACGGACCTCTGCCGCCTGAGCAGGGCTCTACAGGAGGGCAAACACCTCTTCTGCTTTTTTCCCATTTTGAGTCCCCCAGTAGCTAAGCTTGCTCCATGGGGAGTCACCTTTTGTGCATTTCTAGTTTGAGTCACATGCCCTGCAGCTGGCAAGTCTGGGGGTGATGGGAACTGCCAGAGATGGCTGGTGTCAGCCATAAGGGCAAGCAGAGATCTAGCAGCCAAGATGCCAGCAGAGACTATAAAAGGAGTCTCTTTGAGATGTCGGAGCATTTGCACACAGTGGATTGTCAAATCCTCACAATGGCCCTGTGTTGTTCATTGAATTGTGTACCCCAAAAAGATAGGTTGAAGTCCTAACCCCTGGTACCTGTGAATGTGACCCCATTTAGAAATAGGGTCTTTGCAGATGTAATCAAGATGTGTTTAAGATGAGGTCATGCTGGAGTAGGGCAGGCCCTTAATCTGATATGAATGTTATCCTTTAGGAAGAGAAGAGATACAGAGGCAGGTGCACATAGAGAGGAGAATGCCACATGAGGACACAGATGCACGGGTGAATGCTCTGTGATGATGGAGACAGAGACTGCAGGGGCACATCTACAAGCCAAGGAATACCAAGGACTTCTGGCAACACCAGAAGCTAAGAGAACGGTGTGAAATGGGTTCTCTCTGCGAGCCTCTAGAGAGAGCATGGCCCTGCCAACACCTTGATTTTGGACTTTGGTTTTAGAAGTGTCAGAGAATACATTTCTGTTATTTTAAGCACCCCCGCCCTTTATGGTACTTTGTAACGGCAGCCCCAGGAAATCAAATGAAACAAGGATCTTGCATTTTCACAGCTAATAATTAGAGGAGCTGGGGTCTGAAGCCAGGTTTGCCTGTTGCTTAGATTTGATTTGAAAAATGGTGAAGGCTTTGCAGGGGTGGGATGGGGGAGACCAAAACATGTTCATGTCTGTGGGTAAATTGTAGGTGTATATATTTTTGAGGTACATGAGATATTTTGATACAGGCGTGCAATGCATAACAATCACACCAGGGTAAATGGGGTATCCATCACCTCAAACATTTATCCTTTGTGTTGCAAGTAATCCAATTCTATTCTTTTAGTTATTTAAAAATGAACAATTATTATTATTATTTTACTATAGTCGCTGTTGTGCTAGCAAACACTAGGGCTTATTTATTCTTTCTATTTTTTTGTACCCATTAACTATCCCCACTGACTACCCTTCCCAGCCTCTGGTAACCATCCTTCTACCTCTATCTCCATGAGTTCAATTGTTTTCATTCTTAGCTCCCACAGATAAGTGAGAACATGTGATGTTTGTCTTTCTGTATCTGGCTTGTTTCACTTAACATAATGACCTCTGGTTCCGTCCATGTTGTTGGAAATGACAGGATCTCATTCTCTTTTATGGCTGAATAGCTCTCTATTGTGTGTATGTACCACATTTTCTTTATCCATTTGTCTGTTAATGGACACTTAGTTTGCTTCTAAGTCTTGGCTATTATGCATAGTGCTGCAATAAGCATAGAAGTGAAGATAACTCTTCAATATACTGATTAAAATAAAAAATTAAAAAACAAGGTGGTGCTCCCTCACACACACAAGAGAGCAGCTCTGTCCAATACAGAGGCCTTGTGGCTACTGAGTGCCTGAACTGTGGCCAGTCTACACTGAAAGGGGCTGTGTGTGAAAAATACGTACTGGGTTTAGAAGACCTAGCACAGAAAAGAATGTAAAGTATCCAATTACTAATTTTTAATATTGATGACATATCAGAATGATTATATTTTGGATATAGTGGGCTAAATAAAATATATCATTAAGCTTCCTTGCACCTGTTAAAAAAAGCAACCACAAGAAAATTATAGTCACATATGTGCTTGTGGGATTTCTGTTGAACAGCACTGCTCTGGAATGTGAGTTCTTTGAAGGCAGAGACCATCTCTGTACTGCTGACTGTGGTCCAAGAGCCAGAGCAGGGCCTGACATACAAGAGTTTCTCAACACATAATTGTGGATAATTAAATGAATGAATAAACGAATGACCAAATCCAATCCAACTCTGAATCTGCTCGTCTGGTCCCTGTGAACATAGGATTGGATGTAATTTTCACCTTGCCTTGTCTCTCTGGGCAGTTCTTCAATGGCTGAGGCTTACAGAGAGAATGCATGCCGCACAGTGCTAGCTAATGGAGAGGCTGGATGTGTGGTGGAATTTGGAGAATAAAAATGGCCAGAGTATTTCCAACCACAATGGCAGTGACCACTTACTGGATACAAATTCTGTGCCTGGCATCATTCTAGGCACATTATATGGAGTGACTCATTTTAATTCTAACAACCTATGACATCAGTCCCACCATCAACTCTATTTGACAGACAGAGGAAATTAAAGCTCAGACAGATAAAATTATGCCCCCAGGGTTACAGAGCTGTTTTTTTTCCGAGTTCTGTCTGACATGACACTTGCACTCTTCACCACCATCACAGAACACAGAGAAGAGGGGACTGGGGGTCCTGCCAACACAGGGTGACACTGAACCAGGTCTGTTCAATTCTGAGGCCCCAGCTCCTGAAAGCAGGTGGCCCCAGCCCTCCAGGATTTGGAAGACTCATTGTCTGTGTCTGGTACCGTGGAGCATTTGGCCACATATCGTCTGTGCATCTAGACAAGTCCTGGCATGCATCCAGCCATATCTTGCCCATGCATCTTCTTCACCAGATGGCGGGACCACCCTCTGTACCTATGATGTGGCAATGACTGCACAGGTGAGTGAGCATTCCCTGTGTTGGAGGAGGGGCCCTGTGGGCGGTGGTTGAATCATGGGGGTGTTCCTTCATGAATGGTTTAGCACCATCTCCCTTGGTACTGTCATCGCGATAGTGAGTGAGTTCTTGTGAGATCTGGTTGTTCGAAAGTGTGTAGCACCTCCTCCTTCTCTCTTGCTCCCACTCCCACCATGTGAGATGTCTCACTCCCCCTTTGCCTTCCACCATGATTAGAAGCTTCCTGAGACCTCCCCAGAAGGAGAAGGAACTATGCTTCCTGTACAGCCTGCAGAACCATGAGCCAATTAAATCTCTTTTCTTTATAAATTACCCAGTCTTAGGTATTTCTTTACAGCCTCGGGAGAATGGACTAATACAATGGGCAATCCAGACTGAGCAAACCAAAGGGGAAAAAGCACAAAGATATAAACCTATGGTTTACATTTGGGGAAGTAAGTAGTCCAGAGTGGCAGTGGTATGTGTGTTTGAGGTGGGTGGACAGAGGGAACATCTTATGGAGAGAAAGCATCAGGGAAGGGGGCTGGAGGCAGATTGTATGAAAATCTGAAGGCCAGGTAAGGGGCTTGGACTCTCTCTGGGGTCCCTGAGGAGCAGGGATAGGATGGGCATTGCTGAATGCTGCCAAGTCTGTTTTGGCTGTTTAGTGGAGAACCGATTAGAGGCAGGAGGCCAGATGCTGTTTGAAGCCAGTTCATTCTGTGTGCTCATGGTAAGTGGGCATTAAGAGTAGATGGCACAGGAACTGTGTCCATCTGCATGTCTTCCCTTACAGCTCTATGGAAAGACTTGTCCCATGTAGGTCCCAGCAGCCTCATTTTCAGGAGTTAGTTTGCTAACAGGTGCAAAGCTTTCTGGGAATCAAGCAAAATTACAATGAGTCTTCATATAATGGAGCACGTAATGGAATTATCTTCCACCTGATCTTGGGACTTCCTTTCCACCCAAGCTCTTTGTACAGCAGGTCATCTGTGGGCCCTAGGAAGCAGGCAGAAATAACAGCAAGCAGGCACCTGCTAAGTGTCAGCCACTGTTCAAGGCTCTTGACATGTGTTAACAACTTTAGTTCCCACAATGTATCATGGAGACAGGAGCAATTGTTATCCCCATTTTACAGATTAGACAATCAGATAGGTCAAGTGACTCGTTGAAGGTCACACAGCCAGTGAGTGGAAGAGCTGGATTCAAACTCCAGAGACCACAGTCTTAACTGCTATCTTATATTGCCTCTCCCTTTTTAGATACGATACTTATTATTTCTACAATGATCACAGCTCCTTATGAAATCGGTAATACCATTACTTTTCAGTTTATAGATGAACAAACCAAGGTTCAAAGAGGATTCATAGTTGTCACAGGTCACACAGCCAGAAAGTGGCTGAGCTAGAACTTGAACCCAGGTCTGTCTGACTTTGTAGCCTCATCCCTGTTTTCCAGGAAGGGGTGAGGAAAGAGGAGAGAAGGTGAATGCAGGGGCCTGCCTTGTGATTCCTCACCAGAGGGCAGGCATCCTCCAGCCTATGATGTTTGGGTCTCATGTCTCCATAAGAATGAGATTTTTTGTTTTCATAATTTGAAAAGTCCACAGTAGGGCACAAACATCGTGACTCTACCCTTGGCCACATCCACCTCTTCTCTTGGCCAGGCCTTTGGCTCTTTCAAGTTGTGACAGCAAAGCCCTGTCTCAGAGCTGGAGCTTGTAAATTTCAGGGCTCCCATCTGGGTCTGGAGGATAGTGGTTTCAGGGAGTGGTTTCTTTATGTGCAAAGAAAACTGCTATTCAAATCCCATCTCACTTCACATTTCAAAACTCTGCTCATAGGCCAGTGTGTGTGCACATCCGTGATTGTCAACAGGCATCCAGGGATGGGGCGGGAAGTGATGCTCCATGGCCACCATAGGTCAGATAGGAACTGGGAGGCTGACATATAATGAATTAGGCGTTGCTTCATTTTCTGATCAGCATCACCTTCAGCTGATGCTCATCTAGCAAGGCTGCCTTTGAGGAAATCTGAGCAGTGTGTAGTAATAACATATTTGAGCACTCATTACAAGCCAGGAACTACATTAAGCATGATATACACACCACCTCACTTAGTGCTCAAACAATGCTATCACAGATTTCATTACCCCTGGTTGAGAGATGGGGAAACCAAGTGGCAAAGTGGGTTGCCCCATGGCTGAGGCAAGATTCGGACCCAGGTCAGACTCTTTAAGTGTACAAATTGAACACCTGTATCTCTGACTACTGTGTGAAAAATAGAATGTAGGAGAGCAAAGACGGATGCAGAGAGACCAGTTAGGAGGCAACTGAAGTAGTCCAGGTAAGACAAAACAGTTGCTTGGACTAAGATGGTACTATGGAAGTAGTAAGAAGTGGGTGAATTCAGAATATAGTTGAAAGAAAGGCAAAACAACAGGGCTTGTCAATGGAGTGGAGGTGAGCCATATGGGAAAGAGATGAATCAAGGATAAGACCTAGACTTTTGGCCTCAGCAACAAAGTACAAGGAGGTGCCGTTTAGTGAGATGGAGTTGTTAAGGGCAGGAGAGAGTTTGGCGGTGGGTGTCCAGAGTTAACTTGGTGGGTCAATTAGACAACCATGTGGAGACATGACCAGGGGAGAGGTGGGGGAAGGAGGTGTGGATTTGTCACCAGTTTATGGATCCAATTTAAAGTCTTGGGGTGGGTGGATGAGATCATCAAATGGAGGATTATAAATAGAAAAATAGCCAAGGGCAGAACTTTGTAGAGCCTAACAATTAAAGGTCAAGTTGAGGAGGGGTAGTGGGCAGAGGAGACTGAGAAGGAATAGCAGCAGGTAGGAGGACAACCAGGTACTGATCAAAGAGGAACCATGTTTTAAGAAGGAGGGGTGATCATCTGCTCACTGGCACAGAAGGTCAAGTAAGACAAGGAGACAGTTGGCCAGTGGCTTTGGCAAAGTATAGCCCATTGTTGACTTTGACATTTCAGGAGGAATGAATGGTTTAGACCTGTCATGTTGGCTGTCCTTGAATTTCTGGGCAAGAATTCCCAAGATTATGGCGCCTAGAGATGGCAGAGCTGACATTCAGACAGTCCCAGGTTTGAACCTCAGATCTGCCAGTAGCTGTGTGACCTTGGGCAGTTACTATCCCTTCTTGAACTTCATTTTCCTCATCTATGCAATGGGAGTGATAATGCTTACAACTTGAGGCAAGGATTGAATGAAATAATAAGTAAAAACATAAAGCAGCAAATACTTAGGAGGTATTAGATATTTTTATTCTTTTTATTTTAAAAATAAAGACAGGATCTCACTCTATCACCCAGGCCGGAGTGCAGTGATATGATCATAGTTCACTGCAGCCTCGACCTCCTGGGCTCAAGTGATCCTCCTGCCTCAGCCACCTGAGTAGCTGGAACTACAGGCATGCACCACCATGCCTGGAGAATTTTTTATTTTTAGTAGAGATGGGGGTCTCACTATGTTGCCCAGGCTGGTCTTGATCTCCTGACCTCAAGTGATCCTCCCGCCTTGGCCTACCAAAGTGCTGAGATTACAGGCATGAGTTACTGTGCCTGGCTTATTATTTTAATTTTTATATATTTTTAAAACCATTGTTAGCACAAGAGTGATACCTATATTTCTGAGAAAAACCAATGACCTAATTTTGAGCAGAGCTTTATTAATGCCAGGGAATCTGACGGAAAATTCTTTGAGGGTTGAGACATTCTTTTCCCTGTGCCACCCCAAATGTCCAGCACCTAAGTAGATTTAATCCAATCAGGTCAATCCCTATTCTGAGCAGTTTTATATTGCTCCCTAGGAAGAGACCTAGATCCCTACCTGGGCTCACAAGACTGGGTAGTCTGGTTCCACCTACCTGTGCTGCCTGGTCACACACCATACTCCCCCGGCGACTCTCAGTTCCCCAACGACGGCACTGTGCTTGGTCCATGCGCTATGGGGCGCTGCACATTCTGTTGCCTCCCCTACACACTTCCTTCCCTGTCCTCTTCCCTGTGTTCATTTCTTCTTGTCTCCTGGGGCAGTGGTTACTTCCCCAGGAAGCCCTTCCTGAACTTCTGGACCAGGTCGATTCCTTTCTTAGAGGCTACCAGAGCCCCTGTTCCTCTCCTTCCTGGCACTTAACATATTTCTGGTCATACATTCTTGGTGCACATCTTAGTTTAACACCTGACTTTATCACTAGACTCTAAGCACATGGGGGCAGGAGCAGACCTGTTTTGCTCACCAGTGTGTGCCTTGTATTGAGCCCAGGGCCTGGTACACAGTAGGAGGGCAACACATAATTGTGGACTGAGTGAGTGAGTGGGTATTTAATGCAATGAATACATGAGCAGATGGCTTTCCCTTTGTAGAGCAAAGCAGGTGTCTCCAAAAGGTTGTTGGAAAGGCAAATATAATACCAAATCCTATTTCATTTACTTTAATTACAATACTAAGGAGTGGAATAAATCTTGCCCTTGAAATGTAATAAAAGCATACTTTAAAATCCCAGCTGTCTTTTTCACTGGCTTATTTTTAAAAATGATAATTTCCTGATAAGCCACAAGTAAGA
Source organism: Homo sapiens (assembly GCF_000001405.40). Taxonomy (NCBI): domain Eukaryota; kingdom Metazoa; phylum Chordata; class Mammalia; order Primates; family Hominidae; genus Homo; species Homo sapiens. The sequence goes on from NC_000005.10 coordinate 159,441,080, forward strand.
CCACTTAAAATAGATTCCTGACTTGGCTCGGCCACTAACTAGCTGCTGATCATAGACAAGTCACTTACACTCTGCATGTCAGCATTTGCAGTGTATGGTTCTTGTGAGGCTCTGGGTCGATGGCGTGAGAGCCCTTTGATAGCAAGCTCTTATTTATTATCCATTATTCTCAGTCTTATTAATAATAAGAAGGAACAGGCTGCGTGCCAGAGATAGTTGAGTAGATTTGCAGGGCTGGAGGATTGAGGCCACAGAGAAAAATGAAAAGAAATAAGATTGGTTGAGAAATATTTAAGGGGGGGGGGGTTGGGAAATGAAGGGTGGAGGGGACCAGAGACAATAATGGCTGGGGGTTTATGTCTATCAGGCTGAGTAAAAGGTGGGGCTGTTGGTGACCTGAATAAAATCCCTCTCATGGCCAAATTCTTAGAAACTGCACAGGGAAGGAGAGAAAGGAATCAACTCCTTGGCTCACCATGTGGTGGCATAAGAGAGATGCCGAGTGACTCCCAGGTGACCTTGGCTGATCAGAGCTGTGGCTCTGAGGTCGGGGAGGCTGGCAGCTACTGGTGAGGAGGGTGAAGCTGGTGGTGCTTGGTCCACCAGGCAAATTATGCTGCCCAGCGCAACCTGAGCTCCACCACTAGGAGGGGACACAGAAGCCCCCAGGCCTGGGAGAAGGAGCAAAGCCAGCAGGACAGGGAGGGGAGGGGTGTGGAATCCAGGCCTTCAGGGCTGGGCAGAAAATGGAAAAAATTGGGCAGCCCAGAGGCGATGGGGTCTCGAAGAGCCCAGCCCAGTTAAAGGGCAGCAGCACGTCAGCAACAAGCAGCTTGCGCTGTGTGAGGATGCGGCACCCACCGTCTCTATCTAGCTTTTCCAGAGAGGTTGCGCGTCCTTAGTTTTAAATGTGGAATCATGCCATTTGCAGAAAAACAAAAAGCAACCAAGCAAACAACAACAACAACACCTCTGCAGGCCAAACAGGACAGGTCTGATGACTGTGCCTGGGCTGCTCTTTTGTGATCTCATTTGATGCCCCACTTCGGGGCTCCAGACAGGTCCCTGCCCTCCCCGTTCCGGGGTGGGGATGGAGAAGACCATTTGACTCTGTGGGAAAGGGTCCTGTAAGCTCACCTAACCCATCTTCCATCTTTAAGAAAACCACTAGAAGTGAACAAACATAGAGTAAAATGTCAGCTCGCCGTAGGTGCTATGAATAAAGATAATGCAGGGTCAAGGGGAGAGAGAGTGATGGAAGCATTGATTTTCGGTTGGACGACCAGGAGAGGTCTCTGTATCCTTCCTCCTCCTGCGCTCTCAGCGGCTTAACAAGATTTCACCAGGTTTCCCGGGCTTCATTCATAGGTGCTAATGAGCAGCTGGGGGTTGACTGAGTAGCTACAGTAATCCAAAAGGGCTTCCCTTCCACCCTCTACATCCCTGGCCTTAGAATTAGCCTCAGCCCCAGCAAAGGTAGCAGGTGCAAAGCCAAAATCCTGATTACGAGTAAGTATTTTTGCCTCTACAGCTGGAAGCAGCTGGCCGCTGAGTCTGGGATGGGAGGAGGCTGCATGCTGCAGGACAGCAGCTGGGGGAGGGGAGGAAGCAGGAGCCACCAGCTTCTGGCCATGGTTGTTCATCTCCCGCTCAGCCTTACTCAGAGGGCACTTGACAGACATAAGGGATGTGGTCAGTCAGGGCCGGTCCCGCTGCCTCACATATGTCTTCTCTCACCCAGGTCTCCCTGCCTGAAATCTTATCATCAGACAGTAACTTTCCTGAAAGCTGCAGTGGCATCTCTAAATCTCTTCTTTTCCAAGACAGAAAACTGTGGGAGTTGTAATGCTTCCCATCTCAAAGAGAAAAAGAGTTCTCACTGTGAGCTGTAAGGCCATCTGTGATATGCAGCCCCAACTCACTGGGATGGCTACATAATTTTGGGGGCCCAGTGCAAAATGACAAATTGGCCTGCAGCATTATTGCCATCTCCCTGAGCACAGAGATTTCTGTCTTTTTGTTTTGGCTTGATGATGGCTCTATCTTCAGTGCCTGGCACCTGATAGAGGCTTACTATTTTGTTGTTAGTGTTGAATAAAAGCATAGTGTTTGAGTCATGATGTGGATGTATTGGTAGGACTTCTTTCAACATTTATTAAGTTTTTTTGGCATTGGGCTAAGGAAGTGGGGTTTCAGCCCTGGCTTCACAGGGGAATTGCTCCAGCAATTCTTAAAAATCCCAATGCCAGGCTTTACTTTGGACTAGTTATGTCAGAATCTAGTGGGGGTGTGTGAGGGGCCGTCAGCATTTTCAAGCTCCCCAGCTGATTTCAATGTGCAGCCAAGTTTGAGGACCGGTGCGCTGGCTCAACCGCACTTGCTCTCAGTGGCTGTTGTGTATTGTTAGGCAGCTTGTTAACTGCTCAGAAGGTCCAGGGCCATTTTCAGATTTTCCAGATTGTTAAATTTGAGAAGGAGGGTCTGTCCTGTTAATAAGCTTGCCAGGGAATTTTGCTTATACCAAAGTTTGCAAACCTAAACTGTTCTCAATCCTATTCATTTTACAGACAGGAAAAAAGAGACAGAGAGAGGTTAAGTAGTTTGCCCACGGTAACAAAGTAGGTAACTGGCAGAACCAGGATTTGAACCTAAGGCTTCTGAGCTTACCTAGTAGCTTCTCTGCTTTTTCTTTTTGTTTTTGTTTTTTTAAGATGGAGCCTCGCTCTGTCACCCAGGCTGGAGTGCCGTGGTGCGATCTCAGCTCACTGCAACCTCTGCCTCCCGGGTTCAAGCGATTCTCCTACCTCAGCCTCCTGAGTAGCTGGGATTACAGGTGCGCGCCACCACACCCGGCTAATTTTTGTATTTTTAGTAGCAATGGTGTTTCACCATGTTGATCAGGCTGGTCTCCAACTCCTGACCTCATGATGTGCCTGCCTCGGCCTCCTAAAGTGCTGGGATTACAGGCGTGAGCCACTGTGCCTGGCGCTTCTCTGCTTTTTCTTTGTGATAAAAATCTAAGTGTGCTCCAGGAGTTGGTTGTGAAAATAAAATAAAGATAAGGTTAGGTGCAGTGGTTCATGCCTGTAATCCCAGCACTTTGGGAGACCAAGGTGGGAGGATCACTTGAGCTCAGGAGTTTGAGACCAGCCCAGGCAACATAACCTAGTAAGACCCCACCCCCATCTCTACAAATAATAAAAAAGATAAGATTAAGAGGATATGCATGTTATATTGTATATTTTGAAGATGGAGAAGTTGGTATTTCTACTCCATGGTGAGGAAACAGGTCCAGCCTGGGGGACTAACTCCCACTCCCAGGGTCTTTGGGGCTTTAAGAGGCAGAGCTGGGATTGCAGATGTGGGCCATTTTCTCCAGACTCTTAGGTTTTGCAGGTGAATCATTCAACACCTAGGGCATCCCAGAATCCATGTTGATTGGTGCCTAATAGGCCTGTAACCAATGATGAGAAAGTGAGTGGCGGGAAGGCTGGCTAGGTGAGTGAGTGAACCAGTGAGTGTGAAGGAGTCATTTGTCTATTTCATGGATTCTTTCTATTTTTCAAGTAGAGTTGGATCACTAGAGGGCAATATCGGCCAAGAGAAAGAAGAATTCTTCACCACCGTTTCTAGGACTGGTGAAGGTAAGACATCTGTGTCTGTGGATTTAAACCAAAAAGGGAGACTCTAATTTACAGAGCAGTTAAAGTGAGCTTTGCTTTCCCCTGGGCTTTCAGGCTGATGAGAACCTTTCTCAAGCCCCATTAACACGTACAGCCACTCCAGACCTTTCTAGACTTAAAACCAACAGGGCAAACGGGAGAGGAGGGAAATCTTGGTTGGCCTGAAAAGTGGATGTTTATAGATAATAGGAGGTTTTAGAAAAAGACATTTTGTAGCTTCTCAGACTTTTACAACATTGATGGGAGTTAATGTTTCGAGAAATGGTATTATGATGAAGTTGTATGCTGAATTAATTTTCCATAAATAAGACCATACATTTCCACAGATTGCTTTGCCTGCTGTATAATGAGAGTGTGTGCTCTTGCTGGATGAGCATTCTCTCCCCTTCCTCCACCTACCGCCTCTTCTCTCCATGAGCCCTAGAGTAAAAGTGATCTGGGTATGTCTCCACTGGTTGTAAGGCCTTGAGTAAGTCACTTAATTCTTCTGAATCTCAGGGTCATCAATGGTGACATTGCAAGTTTGTCCTGAGGTTTAAACACAGAACATGTGGGTCTCCTTGGAACTCCTTTCAAGCTTCTGTTTCTTTGTCTTCTCTTCTCTGCTGTTCCATTAAGCACCAAAAGTTCTGATGTCAAAAGAGCAGCTAAGTCTTTACTGAGAATTCACCAGTTGCCCCTCCCTGGGGCCATCACTAACCCCAAGATGTGCATTTTGGAAGCTATCTGAATTGGAGGGGGCCCCTAAGGAATGAATTTCAAGTGAAAGCCTTTCAGACTCAGCACCTACTCAGTGCTAATAATCATTACTCCTATTAAGGACATACGATGTGCTAAGCATTGTGCTGAAGGTTTTGTAGGCATTACCTCCCTTAATCCTTGCCACAAACCTTATGAGGTAGGTGTTTTGTTACATCTTTTTTACAGATGGGGAAACTGAGGATCAGAGAACTTAAGTAACCTAGCCAAGGTCACACAGCTATTAAGTGGCAAAGCTGGAGTCAATCCCAGGTCTGATTCCAACCCTTATGGTCAAGAAGGGGGCTAGGAATAACATATGTGTATCATTCACCCCATGCCAGGGTGACTTCCATAGAAAGGTTGTATGTCCAGGATACCAGAAGGAAGAGGAGGCCACACACGATAGAAACACCTGGAGACACTTCCCAGAAGTGGGGTCATTTGAGCAGGGCCCTGAGGATTAGTCTGGGTTCTGGCAGACAGAGATGAGGAGGGAAGAGAGTATTAGAGGAAAGACCAAATGCAAAGACAAGGAGACTGGAGAGCATGGCATTTGTTTTGGGGATGTGGATGTATCCAGTAATGTGCCACCATATGAGCGGGTGCTACCTATCATTATTTGCATTTTACACATTAGGAAAATGAGGCACAGAGAGGGTAACTGATTTGGCCAAGGTCACACAGCTAAGTGGCAGGGCTGGAATTTAAACTGCCATCTCTCTGACTCCACTTCCACAGGGTAGAGAGCACATATGGATCTCAATTCAGTCACAACTAAGAGAAAGGCTTTAGTACCTGCGGCTTCTCGGAGGATCCCAGGGCCAGCAGCCCAGCCATGCCAGAGGTTTGCACATCAATATGCCCCTGACCTGGAAATGTAGCGGGGAGAATAGTGGGGACAGGACAATGTTCAAGTTCTAAGACACCAACAGTAAGAATCTACCTTTGCGCCACACCCAGCTTTCTTCTCACTCCCGCCTTGGGATCAGATTACTCTCTTGCATTCTTTTACATTTCATAAAAACTGTTCATTAACCATGTGCCAGACCCTTAAACAATACTGAGGCAGAAGGTTGGTTTAGAAACCTGTGGGAGGTCATGTAGTGAGCAAGTGGTAGATGGAGGATTCATTCCCAGCCTGGGCTGCTCACTGCTGTGCTATTCCCCTCTCTTGGGGAAAAGAGCAGGGGACAGATGAAGAGATGGGCTCTTGTGAAGCCCATCCTGTTTCTCCTAATGGCCCCACAAGGCAGCTGGTTATAGGTGAGGCTCAGGAGCTCTGAATGGTTTACCAGGGCTGGTGGAATCAACACAGGAGTCCAGATCCTGACCCTTCATGCTGCGCCACGTCCACCTGCCCTCAGAGTCTCCAGGCCACCACCTCTCCTCCAGTCTGTCCCCAGGCAGCAGTTGCTGGTGGACCCTGGGTGTCTCCAACACCACCACAGCCAAGGTCCTGGCCTCAGGCTCTTGTTAACCTGAGAACTTCTGCCTGCAGGGGGCAGGGACCCCAGGCCCCTGGTAGTTCTGTTTATGTGGGTTTTGGAATCAATGGAGTCATGGCTGGTTTCATTCTATGGCCAGAAACTGCCTTGGTCCTAGAGGGACATTTATAGGGCCCCAGGCAATATCCACAGATGGACCAGATGCTGATGTTGGCATACACACAGAAATCCTGTTTGGAGAAAAGTAAGGTATAAAGGGCACCAGAGGGGATCCCCTGCCATGGAATTAAGGGGAATCACCAAGGTAGTGATGAGAGTGGAGACTCATCTCCATGTGTTTGTGGAGGAAAGAAGGGAGTATGTGCATTTATTCATTCATTCATTTATACATATTATTCACTCAACAGACACAGGTGGGGAGCCTATTATGTACCAAGGAATGTGCTAGGCATCAGAGAAATAGCGGGGTACAGAACAGAGTGAATCCTTACCCTCACAGAGCCCCCTCACTATACTGGTGATGACAGGCATTGGGGAAGGGGAACAGCTGATGAGCACATAAATCAAATACCTAAGTTAGGTGATGGGGGAAAGTGACATGGATGGAAACAAACCAGGGAAGGGGCTGGGAGGTCTGGTGGGTGGGATTTGTTTGGAATGGATCATCATCCTCACTCCAAAAGGAGCTAGAATTTGGTTCTTTATCTCGTAAACAAATGGGTCTTAATTTAGAGAATCCAGATTCACTCCTCAGGGGTAAACTGCAGGCAAAGCTCCAATACCTCAGCGGGGAATGCTTGGAGCCAAAATGACATGAGAGTGAAGTTTCTCTTGGCTCCTCACAGCATCAGTGAACTCTCAGCTGATGGGGTAAGGGAGGTGGTTTGCACCCAGAAGCCCGGGCCCATTCTCATAAGGTGGGGATGGCAGTAGCACTTCCAGGAGAAGGTGTCGGTGAAGACCAGAATGTTCTGGTGTCCTATCACACAGTAGGGTGACTACGTCAACAGTAAGGTGTTTTATATGTCAAAATAGCTAGAAGTGAGAATTTTGAATGTTCCCACTACAAAGAAGTGGTAGATGCTGGCAGAGATGGGTACACTAATTACCCTGAGCTGATTATTACACAATGCATACATGTACCAAAACATCACACTGTATGTACCCCATAAATATGCACAATCGTTATGCATCAATTTCTTAAACAGACCAAAATGAATATGTGTCCCTGTGCCACGGGTTGCCTGTAGAGGTGCAGGGCTTCTTGCTGTCTGTTATGGAAGCAGTCGGGCCTTTTCCCGACTCCCAGTGAGATGGCCAGGAGATCTGGGGCTCAGTTTTCCTGAAACAAAGATAAGGACCCAGAGTGTGACTTCAGCTCACCATGTTGTTACACGTTAAAGCGTGGTCTTGGTGCCCGAACTAAATTTGAATCAGCTGCCTTCTATTAGGGCCTCCTTTCGAAGTCTCTGGTGGCCAAAGAAACACAAATTTATGACAGAGTGGCTTTGCTTTGTAAACTTAAGCCCTCAAAAGGGGACTTCACTGGGAATCTCTATTAAGATATTTATGAACTTCATTTTTTAAAAAAATAGTAAATATGATCAGCTTTGAATTATTTGATTTATTTTCATTAATTGCCAGTCATCCAAAAGAATTTATTGAGCACTTGTAGGTACCAGACACTGTTCTAGGCACAGATGTGAGCAAGATACATATGGCCCCTGTTCTAATGTAGCACACAGTGTGGTATTGACACAGAGTAAATGGGTAGTCGTAACATGGGGCTCTGAGAGGGGAAGGAAGCGGGTATCTTAGGAGATACTTAAAGGTCAGGGATGGCTTCATGGAGGAAGGAGTTAGCTGGATGAAGAGTGGTGGGAGCAATGTAGATGCCCAGGTGAGAGTGGGGCCAGCCTGGAGTGGAGAGGGCATTGAGCACACAGCTAGAGTGTCATAACCTGGGGAGGGCGGTTTAGGGAGGTGAAGGAGAGAGATGCTAGGGCTGCCAGAGCAAAGTATCACCGACTGGGTGGTTAAAACAACAGAAATGTATGTTCTCATCATTCTGGAGGCAGGAAGTTTGAGATCCAGGTGTTAGCTGGGTTGGTTTCTCCTGAGGCCTCTCTCCTTGGGTGGTAATGGCCATTTTCCTCTTTGCCTTCACATGGGCTTCCCTCTGTTCGTGTCTGTGTCCTTATCTCCTTTTTGTATAAAGACGTCAGGCATATTGAATTAAGGGCCCCCACACATGACCTCATTTTAACTTAATTACCTCGTTAAAGACTCTATCTACAAATACAGTCATGTTCTGAATTACTGGAGGCTGGGGCTTCAATGTATGAATTTTATGGGACACAATTCAGCCTGTAATGGATGCATAGTCACTGGATCAAGCAAGGCCTTGGAACCATGTTAAGAAACATGGACTTTATCTGGAAGGCAAGGGGGAGTCACTGAAGAGTCTTACACAGAGCGGCGATGCTCATGTTTACATTTGGCAGAGATCTTACAGCAGCGAGGGGAAAATTGGAGAAGGATAGAGTTGGGTTCAGAAGCTATGAGGATGTTGTCTAAGAAAATTCTTGGCAGAGGGAGATTAGGAGGTAGAAACTGCAGAACCTGTGATGGGTCACTCCTGAGGGGCAGAGCAGGGGAGTGTCAAGGTAAGCTGGATTTCTGGTTTGGGCCACTGGGTGCACCATGGAAATCTTCACTGAGAGTCGTGGTCTGGGTGAGGGAAAGGAGGTGAGTCCAACATTAGGGGGGCATGCTGAGTTTCAGGGCCCTTTGGGACATCTGAGTGGGGCAGGTCTCAAGCTCCTGAAATAATTCTGGGTTGGAGATATGGATTTAGGACTCATTAGCTTGGATGGTAGTTGAAGCCATGGGAATGGATGCGGGAGGGGGGCTAGCCATGAGTTTGAATATTCAGAAGGGAGCTGGCAACTCTTCTTACTAATGCTGGAGACGTGTATGTGCCCAGAATGACTAACACCTCCGCTCATATGAAGGCCCAGTTAATCTTCAAGCCCAGGTTTTCCTCTCTGAGGAACCACTGGGGTCCTGGGGTAAGAGAGGATCTTGGGTCTCCTGGGCATTTTCTCCCTTCCCAAGACCTGAGGATGTTTAATCAATTTTTGATAGTTGATGAGTCACTGGATGCCTTCCCAGCTGAGTCAGCGAAGGTACCCCTCCTGGGAAGCACAACCCAGGCAGTTCCAAGTACCGGCCTTGTTTATCAGAGGGATGGGACGAGAGGGTGAGGTGTGACTTCCCAGAGCAGCGAGCTTCAGTGTCTGACTACATGGGGCAAGGAAAGACACCAGTGGACAAAAGGTATTTGCTGGGCTTAAGGGTGCGTGACGCATGTTTTTGGTAGTAGTAGCAGATTTGTCTTTTTAAGATGTCTTTTTTGAGCCACTTTTAAAATAACAACAGCTGACATTTATAGAATCTTCATCAGCTTCCAGACAATGTGCTAAGCATTTTACCTGCATTGTCTCAATTCGTCCTTACAGGGAAGCACTGTGGTTATTCCGATTGTACTAAGGATGTGATAGAAGTCACACGATGTGACTTCTGAGGCTAGGACATGAAAGCGTCTACCTGGCTCTCTCAGTCTGTCTCAGGATGTATGCCAGGGAGCCACAAGCCAACTTGTGAAATGTTTGGTTACCCTGCAGGTGCTGTGCTGGAGAGAGCATGTGGAGAGACACCACAGAGAGTGATGTCCAAGGATCCTCTGCTGTTCTAGCCTCCAGATGTTTGGTACCAAATGGAGAGTGAGTGAGGCTTCCAACCCCACCTTTGAGCCACCCCAGCTGATCCCAGTAGAGCAGAGATGAGCTGTCCCCACCAAGTCTTGCCCAGATTGCAGATCTGTGAACAAATAAGAATTTTTGCTTGAAGCCTCTATGTTTTGGGGTACTTGGTCACGTAGCCCTAGGGCTAACTGAAGTATAGTGAGAAGTGACAAGATTCAAGGTTGTATAGCTGCTTAGGGGAAGAACAAAGAAAGTACACTCTCCTTGCATTCAAAGGATATTTCTTCAATTTGCTTGCAGTGTGACCTTTGGCAAGCTACTGAACCTCTCTGTGCCTCAGTTTTCTCATCTGTATGATAGGGATGAAGATGGTATTTCTTCAGAAGGTAGTGATGAGGAATAAATATCTCATTCTTGGCATGTAGGAAAAAGCTAGTAAGTAGCTGGGTTGGGGTTTCAATTCAGGCAGTCTAACCCTAGACTCTTTACTGGTAAGCTCAGGTCCAGAACATTCCCACCAATCCCTGAAAAGGAGGCCAGACGGCAATATCCCAGGTACTCCCATTATTTTCCCCCATACGGCATGATTCTGAGTCCTCCTTGGCCGCCCTTCTCTGTTCACTGGGCCTTGATACATGATTCTCTGAACTGAAGGCCGCACCATCACTCCTCTCTGTTTAGTGCAGCCCGAGATTACACTGGCTTTTTTGGCAGTCACATCACATTGTTGACTCATTCTGAGCTGGCAGTCAAAATCCTAAGTGTTTTTATCACATGTGCTAGCATCAAGCTGCATTCCTTCCCATCTAGGATTGGTGCAATTGGAGTTTTAAAAAATCCAACTGCAGAATTGTTTAGTTTATTAGATTTTGCTCATTGTGGTAGTGTGCCTAGGAAAGAATCCAGATGAGCTCCTCTCCAGGGTTCTCGGAGACACCCTGTATCCTTTTAATATACCTTTCCTTTATTTCTGTAGTCCATTTGAGTGGCTTACTGGTACTCACAACACAAAAAGTAAGCCATAGAGTGACTTCTGGGTGGTCCTTGCTCAGGAGGAAAAGAGGTGTGGCAGGGATGCTGTGGTAGAGGGCAGAGAAAGCAAATGGCAGGAGCGTGTGCCGGGTGCCACGTCTGAGCCGTGGCAGACCTTGCAGCTGATCATGACTCTCTTTTCTGCTGAGTCAGGAAATGGCCTCTACTTTGATTAGCTGCCACCTGAATAGGACAGAGTTGAGGACTGAGGACAGAGACTGCTTTCGAAGTGGACCCTGGCATAATTAATCAGGCTTCAAGCACATCGGTTGTTCGGATGGTTCCCAATTCCCCCAAATGTGCTGCCATCTTACCCTCATTTTCTCAGCTTGCCCACAAAGATAAAATGATATTTTTATCAAGTCTCATTTCTTGCTGAACTACAAGTTCTCTAAGTGGCCGCATCACTTGATCCTGCTACTCTGGCGATACTATGTACAGTGCTTGCTGAAGTGGTCACTCTGGTTGGTGGGTGCCACAGAAGGTGGGTGGCTCAGAGTGGACTGAAGAAAGTACCAGAGTCTGATGGACCTCATTTCTGCAGTCAGTGGTGAGGTGCTGGCTCCCATGGTGGGGGGATTTTCCCAGGTGCCTTAGCTCAGGAAACATATGGTGCTCAGTGGAATGGACCCTGGTGTGTCTCCAGTGGTCTGCATAGCTCCTGGGCAATATGGAAGGACAGTGCTGACTCAAGCAGAGCCTGAGCCATCTCTAGACGCTTTCCCACCTTGTCCTTGAGTCCTACAAATTAGGTCCTAATTGGTCTGTATTCTCCCCGCCCCCTTACTCTCCAGCCTAGGGACGTCTTTCCATTCTGGGAATAGGACGCCTTACCTTTACTCCACTCATATTCTCTCAAATATGTTGTATGTGCACGAAGCCTTCCTATTTGCCTATGCTTAAGCTCTTGAAGCTCAAGGTTAATCATTAACTTCTTTTTTTTGCCACCCCTTTGCTTTCTTTTATGTCAGCTCTTCCTTGAGGGAATGAAGGCAGACTGCTGGGCTGAACACAAAAAGGGGAGCAGCCCGGGGTAAAAGGAAATTCTAGAATAAAGAGCACATTGGTTAATAGCTTAGAAATGTTATCCCCCTAGACGAGTAATAGAAAGTTCCTCAAACTCGCCTCAGCAAATTATGGGAACTGATTGTAAGAGGCAGCTTAGGGAAGCCAGGGGTGGAAATGGCTGATTGGACCGGAAGTGGCACAGGCGCCTTGGGGACGTGCTCTCACAGCTTCTCACTTTGGGTGCCACAGTCTCTCATCTCTGGCTCCTCTGAATGTCTACCTCATCTCTTCTCTCTCTGGACTGGCTTTCACTGCATTGGTGGACGTATGACATGAGGATACCCAGCCCTGCCCATGGCCCAATTGCACCAATTAGAAAAGCTGCCCCTTCAAGAAATATTGTAATTGCCATCTGCCAGGAGACTCAGTTAAAAACACACAAATAAGTGAGGACCATACATGCTCAATGGACTGCTGCTGCACGTTTGTGTGCAGTGATGGCAAGTGGGACCCGGAACTCTGGCCTCTGCTTATCCTCAGAAGTGGGCGGCAGAGAAGGAGGAACGTGCTTGAGTCGCAGTCCCCAAAAAGGGAGGAACTCATTGGCCCAGCTTAGGCCTGGTGTCTGCCTACCTGTGGTTCAGTCAGCTGTGGTCGGTGGGCAGGACACACCTGAAGGAGCATATCTTGGCTGTGTGGGTTGGGCAGACATCCCACAATGCTCATGTAGGGGGATTCATCTCATTAACTCTGAGTGTTTCTTCGGCATTCCCCCACTATTTTTAACATATCATTTACAATATTGAATTAATAAGACTGGGAATGAAAGTTCTTTGACAGAACACACATGGTAGTTACTTTTGGGACTAATTGCTCTGCAGGTCGCCTCGTGCATTACCGTCTGCTATTTTTGCTTAAATTATATGTATCTGCTTTTATGTCACTTCCTAGGTAAACCTTACTTCCCCCTATAGGAAACATGGTTCACTCAAACAAAGTAAATAAAAGGGCTTTCCTGAAGGTGTGGGCAGATTTAAGGGAATCTGACAAGAAAAGTACGAGCTAAGAAGGTCTGGCAGCCACTCCCCTGCTAAGCTAGAACAGGCAGGAAGGGAGCACTTACTGGGGCCAGGTGGTGGTAGCTGTAGGGATGTAGGACAGGGCAACTCAGGGGACCTGTGGCCTCATGCAGAGGGAGGCAGCCAATCTATAGCCACCTATCAGGGAGGGAGCTGGGCAAATAAATGTCTCCATCTTGTTCTCCTCCTTCTTCTCTCCAATCTCCTGCCAGTGCCTCCACTGGTTGAACCTAGCTGGGAGCCAGTGGATCAAAGATCCAGTGGACCAAAGGATCCATAAATGTGATCCTCCTGGGGGTATAAAAAAGGATAGAAATAGGTGGAAAGTGGATCTGGGAGTGGCTAAATGGAAAATATCCAGGATGTTCCAAATTGCATTCCTCTGCTATATGCCTTCCCAGACCATTGCACTGCCCCATCACAATGCTCATCCTAGTTTGTCATATCTGCTGAAGGATTAGGCATGCAGAGCATATGCCTCATGGAAGTTAAGGACTGTATCTGACTTGTCATTGCTGTATGCCCAGAACCTATCCCTGCATCTGATTATCAATGATGTGTAATGGAGCTTGGAACGTGAATGGGCACATATGTCTGATGTCCTCACCTGACCATTCTTTGGGAGCCCTTTGGGGATAGTGAATCTCCCAGTACCCTACTTGGGCACAATAAGGACTATTTAGTGAAAGAACATTCACAATTGAGTGAATGGATGAATTCTAAGGGTGGATCACTTTGAAAATACCTGAATGTCAATCTCATGGTACCAAGTTTATATCAGAATTCAACCTCAAATTAACTAACTTCCATTCCAGATCTGTTCCTTTCTTGGTGACATGGCAGCATATACATGCCTCATTTTCTCCTGCCTTATATCCATATCCTCTTGGTCTGGTGGCACACCTTCCATTTCTTCACAAGCAACCTGGGATGATTAGCTTAGGTCCCCAGCCCAGCCCTACTCAATGGATGAGCTTCAACTAAGATGGGGACAAGGAGGCTCTCCTGGGATTTTGCCTCTCAAAACCATGGATCATGTGCCTCTCCTCTCCTTCCACTTTCTTTCTTTTTTTTTTTTTTTGGCTTAAATTAAGCAGAGGTGCCATTTTTTGCTTATATTCAAAGAACTCATATCCTCAGACACCAGGAGGGGAGTTCCAGACTTATGAGGCTATACAATGGTATGGTTAAGGTCTTGGGCATTGCAGCTACATTGCTTGGGCTTGGATCCCAGTTCTGCCATTTTTTGGCTATGTGACCCTAGGCAAGTTACTTATGTTCTCTGTGCCTCAGATTTCTGATCTTCAAAGTGGAAACATTAGCTGAGATAAAGCATGCAAACACTCTTAAAACAGTTTCTAGTGCATGGTGAACACGCAGTATATATCACAGGGTCTTGACCATCCAAGCAACTTGAGAAGAAAAAAAAATGATGGAATTATACTTCTTTAAACAAAAAAGAAAAAAATCACAAATCACAGAATAAATTGGAATGAATTCAATGAGTTTTCAAGGGCTGCTATGTCTTCCTACCCACTCTGATGTGGGGTATGTACAGAGAAAAACGAATCTGGAGCTGTTTCTAAAGGAGACATTTGAAAATGAGCTTGTGCCTTTTTATTTTTCAAGAAAAATCAGAGGCCAGTGGCTATATGTGCTGTTCTCTCTTTCTTTTCTGGGAAAGTTCATGAGTTCTTGGCCCCAAATAAGCTTAGTTCTCTACCGCTTCCCACAAGGAAATTAAATTTTCAGGTCCTGCACAAAAGTTTAGTTATCGCTAATATAATCATTGGTGCTGTCACTGTAGGTCTGTAGGAGCTGAGTGGAAGGATGGAATTTGACAGCAATAAAAAAGTTCTCCCTCTTCCCCTGCTCTCAGACACTTGGATACCCATTTACACATATGTGCACAATGTGACACACACCCTCAGGCACACATGCACAACCACACACACACATACATAAAGGGATGGCTTTCCCAGAGACAGTTATCCTGAGTGATGTTTTTAATCCTGAGTTTTATCCTGAGTGATTTTTAAAAAAACTAAATCCATCCAGTATTTTTGGGTGCCCACATAGCCAGAGCTGGGCATGGGGAAATGGGGAAGAAATTGGTGCTATAAGCATGATTAAAGCTGTAGTCCTGGTCCTGCCTTCTAGGAGATTCTGAAGCAGTGTTTTGGGAGTGAGAGACACCTACCAGTATCTAATAAAAGGTAGGTTGTGAAAAGGTTATATGAGAGGTTAAAAAGTTGCTAAAGGTTGCTTTGCTTTCTTTCTTTAATTTTTAATGTGACTCTGGAGTAGTTTCACAGGTTCTCAGTCTAGCTTTGGAGTCAACCAGCCTTGTTCTGCATTGGTCTGGATTTAAATACTGGATTTGCTGCTTATGAGTAGTGACACTTACTGAGCCTTGGTTTCCCAGTCTGTGAACAAGGTACGAACATCACCTGTCTATATGTGTTAAGATTGCATGTGCTGGAAATCACAGAGGTTAGATGGCAGTGACTTAACCAAATAGGAGTTTGTTTTTCTCATGCAATAAGTAGTTCAGAAGTGGGCAAGCCAGGGTTGGTACCATTGTTCCAGGGACTCATCAAGGACACAGGCTCCCAGAATCATCCAGAGCCACAGGGTGGCTGCCCTGGTTGCAGGCAAGATAAAGGGGAATGGAGAAAATGGCAGGAAGCTGAAGACGTGAGCCAGCCACATCTGTACCCCTTTGGAGAGCTTTCTGGAAAGCCCCATTCACTGACTACATCTTATACTTTGTTGGACACACTATGCCAAGATGACCAACACTATCTGCAAAAAAAAAGCTGGGATATCAAGTATTTTAACTGAACATATAGTTGCCTCAAACAAAATTGAAGTCCTGTCACAAAGGAGGAAGAAGAGACTCCAGCTGTATCTGCCACATGATATTGGGAGAGTTGTTGAAGAGATTCCCTGAGATAATTCATGCCAAACTCTTGGCCCAATGCCTGACATGTGGTGACTATTATTATTAGCTGGGACTCTCCCCATTGTCTTCTCAGAGGATCCTCCAGCAAGGTGACAAATGTAAATGCAGCCTCCTCAGTGTTCAGGGACTCCCCCTTCCACCAGCCACTTTCTGTCTGAATCTGAGTCATGCTCATGACTCAGGCCATCTCATCTCTTCCAGAAAGTCTCCCCTCACCTCTGTGGTCCTCCAAGATATCACCTGCTATTTTCAGAACCTGTAGCATGAAATGACTATATCACCCAAATGTAATTTCAAACATATTTCCTAGTGTGAATAGATCTATATCTCTGTGTTTATTTTTTCTCCCAACTAGGTTACAAGTATCTTGATGGCAGGAATTACATTTTATTCCTACAGCCCTGCCACAAAGCTCTGATTACTGGTTCTTATGCATCTCAGATGCCCACACTGAGTAGACTGTAGGACATTCTGAGGTAGCTAGCTTTTGTTTAATTTGCTGTTGGGCTGAAGTGTGGTGTGCCAGGGATTTGTTCATGTATGTGCAATAATGAATCATGCTCTTTTGGGCATTTGCTGTTTTTTTAAATGTTTTTTGAATTTTTTTATTGATATATAATGGGGTACATGTGATATTTTGTTTCATGCATCAAATGTGTAATAATCGAGTCAGGGTATTTAGGGTTTCCATCACCTTGAGTATTTGTCATTCCTCTATGTTGGGAACATTTTAATTCCTCTCTTCTAGCTATTTTGAAATATATAATACATTGTTGTTAATTATAGTTACTCTACTCTGCTATAAAACAGAACTTACTGTAACTCAGGAATGGAAAACCAAATACCATATGTTCTCACTTATAAGTGAGAGCTAAGCTATGAGGATGCAAAAGCATAAGAATGACATAATGGACTTTGGAGACTCAAGAGGAAGGGAGGGAGGGGGGTGGGGGATGAAAGACTGCATAGTGGGCAAAGACTACTGCTCAGGTGACAGGTGCACCAAGGGCATTTCCTGTTCTATCTGCATCAATTTTGGAAGCTCAGATAGCCAAGGTGTTGTCTAGTAACATACACCAGGGTGACCCCAGAACAAAGGGGGATCAAACGTGAGGTTTAGGCCAGGCGCGGTGGCTCACACCTGTAATCTCAGCACTGGGAGACCAAAGCAGGCAGATCACCTGAGGTCAGGAGTTCGAGACCAGCCTGGCCAACATGGCAAAACCCCATCTTTACTAAAAATACAAAAATTAGCTGGGCGTGGTGGTGGGTGTCTGTAATCCCAGCTACTCAGGAGGCTGAGGCAGGGAGAATTGCTTCAACCCAGGAGGCAGAGGTTGCAGTGAGCTGAGATTATGCCACTGCACTCCAGCCTGGGTGACAGAGCAAGACCCCATCTCAAAACAAAAAAACAACAAACAAACAAACAAACAAAAAACATGAAGTTTAGAATGCCCATCTGGAAGCATTCATTCATTCATTCATTCACTCGTTCACCATTTATGTTCCCGATGTATGCGAGGCACAGTTCTGAGGCCCTCCTGTTGCTGTGTCACCTCCCACAGCTGCTTCCCATCAGCTGCATCCCAAACATAAGAGGAGTGTGTTTAATCAGCAATACTCACTTTCTTCTGATTTTGACTCAAGGGTACTTCCCTGCACCCATCAATTTCAAAACCACTTCCTAAATCTGACTTAGCCACTTGATTTCATGGGGTGCCCTGTCAAATAATTGTGAAAGAAGAACATGAAGCAGGACTACTGTGGGTGGGAAAGCCCCATACTTACCTGCCCCTTTTCTAGCCAACTCATATCCTGGTCCCTTCGGGGTCCCCAGATGAAGTACCAGCAACCCCTTTCCCCACACCCCACCAGTTCAGTGGAAAGGACTTATCTTCAGGAAGATTGGATTTTATGCCTCAAAATGAATGAATTCAGCAAAGAATTTCTGAGCTCTTCTTACGTGTAAGGTACTGTGCCGGCATGGGTGACGAGAACACAGCTATATTAACAAATCAATCAAGTAACTGATTACATATTAGACTGTGCTAGCTGATGAGGATACTTTAATCTTTGTAAGATGGATAGAGCACTTTCTCTGTGCCAGGCCCCATGCTTAATGTCTTATGTACATTTTCTCCTTGGATACTCTAAGGATTCACATCAACACTCTGAACAGGTTGAAGATAGAATGATTATCCTCTACCTGCCCCTTCCCTCCTGCTTTGTGTAGAACCCATCAAGGAGTGGAGAGGGCTGGAGATCTAAAAACAGGATCTAAATCCTGGGAAGAGACCACTTGTCTGTTGGGGTGCCCCATGCCAACATGAGGTGGCCTCAGTTGAGCAGTATGCTGGCATTTTGAGTGGAAAGGATTTGAGATATTCCCCAGTACTCTGTCTCTGAGTTTCCCTCAGGTCCAGTGGGTGTGTGTGAGATCTGAAAATGTTCAATGCCCTGTGGTAGAGTAGAGGAAGGTAGTTAAGAAGTCAGAACCAGTTATTTGCATGGGATCATTGTGATGTGGTTTGAGGGGACACTGTGGCAGAGTCTTAGTATGGATGAGCCAAAAGTTGGGGCTGAGAGAGAGAGCACAACAGGATCAAGAGAACCAAGTGGAGGCCGAGTCACAGGGAGGACAACCTACATTTACTGTGCCACTGTCGCATCAGCTGTGGACACTTTAGAAGTGTGTGTGATAAGGAAAAAAGCCAATGCCCAGCCATGACATTGGGTGTTACCTAGACCAGCCAGGATGACAGGTGTTACCTGCCTGGAACAGATGCCCTTCCCAAGGAAGGGGAGAACAAGTCAGGAGGGTATAACAAGTCTGGGAACTTAATTTCGCTCCTGGGGAGACAAGAAGGAGAAAAGGGAGAGAGAGAACTTTCAATTCAGGTGAATAAATTACTCAAAAGAGATGGGCTGTAATCTCTTTTGAGTGGTGTTATCTTGATGTAAAAAGATTGATTTGGTTTTTTTGTGTCAATCATAGAAACAGTTTTTCCAGAATTGTGACTGTGAATTTTATACCCACAACAGGAGTTTAGGTGAAAATATCCTCAACTATTTTCTTTTCTAATCTTTTGCTCTTGGCTTCCTTCTCAGAGTGCCTCCTCATAACCTGACGCACCTGCCAGGACCAAAGTAGATCTTAAACATATAAATAATGGCTGAGGTTTCATCCTTAGACTGCATGGTTTCCCCCAGGGGAGTACATATTTATATTCTTCTTTTAATCAATGGAGAAACCAGAGGATGACTCATTCCCTCAGAGTGGAAGAGGAAGTCATGGTGCCCTTGACTAGAGTCCCTCCGGGTTTTGGTTTCTTCTCGGTGGGGTTGCAGCAGCCCTGTAAGGAATGCATGAGGGAAGGGGGCAAAAGGTGCTGGGAAGAGAGATGGTGGCTGTTTGGACAAAGGGCTCTTTCTGTCAGTGGCTCCATCTCCACCCAGACTCAGGCTCCCGTTCAGAAGTTCAGCTCTCTTCCTTTCACCCACTCTGAGATTCACATGCTCACACTCAAAGCTATTCCCTCACCACCAGGGCTGGGAGGGACCCTGCCTACAAGCCCTTTCCTCTTCCAGATGCTGAAAGAAGAAGTAATTATAGAAAACAAACAAAACAAAACAAAACAATGGCAACACTATGGAGACAGTGAAAAGACCAGTGGTTGCTAGGGGTTAGCCTGGAGAGAGTAATAAATAAGCACAGTGCAGAGAATTTTTAGGTCAGTGAAACTACCCTGTATGAGACTATCATGGTGGATGCATGTCATCATACATTTGTCCAAATCTACAGTATGTACACCAAGGGTGAACCCTTATGTGGTAGTCTCCCTTATCTGAGGTTTTGCTTTCCAAGGTTTCAGTCACCTGTGATCAACTGTGGTCCAAAAATAGTAAACAAAAATTCCAGAAATAAACAATTGGCAAGTTTTAAATTGCACACCATTCTGAGTGGCGTGGATGAAATCTTGAGCCATCTTGCTCTGTCCTACCTGGGACTTAAATCTTCCCTTGGTCCAGCATATCCACACTGTCTATGCTACCCACTCGTTAGGACTGAAAAACATATTGTGTATGGGGTTCAGTACTATCCCAGGTTTCAGGCGTCCACTGGGGGTCTTGGAACTATTCCTTGGGGATAAGCGGGCACTACTGTATACATTATGGACTTTGGGTGATGATGTGTCGATGGAGGTTCATCAGTTGTAACCAATGCACCACTGGGGTGGGAGATGTTGATAATACAGGAGGCTACGCTTGTGTCAGGGCAGAGGGTGTATGGGATATTCCGTACCTTCCTTTCAATTTTGATATGAACCTAAAACTGCTCTAAGAAATTAAAGCTTTAAACAACAGCAACAGTAACCTATCCTATAGAAAGCAGTGGGGGCAGCTTCATCCTTCCCCTTCTCAAAGCATAAAATAATTGCACCTAATTTTTTTTTTTAACCAATGAGGTATCTGGGGAAATTGAAATGGAGAGATCCTCATGGTGTAGATTCAACTTATGGAAACTCAATATACCAACTTACAAGCCGGATCATTTAGGAGGTGATACTTTATTTTATAGGCAACTGCATTACTTCAACACAGGATTCCTATCAACATAATTCCCTAAGGCATTTAAGAATTTGCTTATAGATCATGACTATTTTAGAGAAAGCAGAGGCAGGCAGAAAATCATTTTGGAGCCATCATCTGTTATAATTCTGGCAGAAGTAAAGTAAAAAGATGAAGTATCTCTGAAATCAAGTAAATCAATAGGAAAACAGGATGGATTTCCCAAATTCAATTTATACACAACTTTTTATAGCATTATAAAATATAGGCCGGGCACAGTGGCTCATGCCTGTAATCCTAGCACTTTGGGAGGCCGAGGCGGGCAGATTGCCTGAGCTTAGGAGTTCAATACCAGGCTGGGCAACACGGTGAAACCCCATCACTACTAAAATACAAAAAAAATTAGCCAAGCCTGGCAGCGTGCACCTGTAGTCCCAGCTATTCAGGAGGCTGAGGCAGGAGAATTGCTTGAACCTGGGAAGCGGAGGTTGCAGTGAGCTGAGATTGTGCCACTGCACTCTGCCTGGGCGACACAGCGAGACTCCATCTCTCCAAAAAAAAAAAATTAACCTTTCCAAAGACTCAACGTTGACTATATATGCTGAACTAGACAGTTTATTTGCATGAATCCTCCTAACAGCCATGAGAGGTAGCTATCAGTCTCCTCATTTTATAGATGAATAAACCGAGGCCTGGGATAGGGAAAAGACTTGTCGAAGGTCACAGATGTTTCAAGTTCGTATTACTGTAGTCCATAAATCCAACTGTGTGTGTGGCTCTTTTTTGGGAGCATGGGGAACAAAACACAAGGGGCTAGTCAGCATTCACTCCTCTATTTGAAAAATATTCTTTAAAAAGGAAACTATTTTTGGATAGGGAATTAAAGAGTAAACATGAGTCTCTGCTAGTTTATTTTCACTGAGTGCACACACTCCTCCAACGATAATTCATTCAGGATGTGAGCTGGAACTCATTAGAAGTCACCAGGCCTGGGGGAGTAGATAAAACCACGATTAAAGACATCTGAGCCCTTTAGGACAATTTATTATCTTGGATTTCATATTTAATAGGAGACATTAATTCACAAAAGAAGTCCTCAGGGCAAGCAAATAATGCCCTATAATTGCTGTAGGGCTCTGGGGTTTCCAAGCATGCACTTGCTCCTGGGCTGGGCGAGGTCCTAGGTTTGCTGGGAGGTTCCAGGCCCAGGAACTCCTCTGAAGCTCTGTCAGTTTGGCATTGCAGGAGGAAGAGCTCTTGCCAAAAACCAGAACATAGCTTCAAGTTATTTGTTATAAGTTGGCTATTTTTTTTTCCTCAAAAGCCTCTCCATTCATGCCAATGGGAGGGGAAACAACCCAGTAGATAGGTCTGAAGCATTAAAACAGGTGACAGAGTGGCTATTCTTTTTTTTTTTTTTGAGACAGGGCCTCACTCTGTCACCCAGGCTGGAGTGCAGTGGCATGATCACGGTTCACTGCAGCTTCGACCTCCCTGGCTCAGACATTCCTCGCATCTCTGCCTGCTGAGCAGCTGGGACTATAGGCTCACCACCATGCCTGGCTAATTTTTGTTATTTATTGTAGAGACGAGGTCTCACCATGTTGCCCAGGCTGGTCTTGAATCCCTGGGCTCAAGGGATCCACCCGCCTTGACTTCCCAATGTGCTGGGATTACAAGTGTGAATCAATGTGCCAGGCCAAGAGTGGCTATTCTGAGAGCCCTGTTTTCCATGGTAGCGAAGTGTGTAAGAATGATCCTTGGTGGGCCTCTGGTCCCCTGTTTGTGAAACGAAGAGTTTGGATGACAGAGTCTCTAAAGTCCTTTTCAAATCTGTGGCAGAGTTAGAGAGGCAGAGTGGGGAAAAGCGTCCTGGAGTTCAAATCCCTGCTCAGTCCCTTCCTGCATGTGGAATGTTGGAACTATAATCACAATACCAGCAAAAGAGTGTTGATTATCTACTAAGTGCCAGACATTATGCTGAATCCTAGAAACACTGAGGCGATCCTATGAAGTAGGTACTGCAATATCTCCATTTCATTGTTGAGGCAACGGGAGCATAAAGGGACTAAGTGACTTGCACAAGGTCATATGGAGCAGGATATTTTGGATCCAGGTAGTCTGACTTCAGCATCTGCACTTCTACCCACCACCATCTTCACCCATAAGATGGGATAACTGCCCACCTTATAGCGTTATAGTGAGGATGAAAGGTTGTCCTGAATCAAAGTGCTTAGCATGGATAGTTCCTGACCCATAGTAATAGCTTGTGAAGTAAATTGGGTTTGTTTAACTGGAGAAGCTAATGAGAATAGGAGACTTAATTATTGCCTTCAAATATATGAAAGATTTTTAATGATTCACTTATGTTTGATGAATATCAAGCCTCCACAGAGCCAGACTAAATGCTTTGTATTATTCTTAAGTCTGTGTCATCCAGGAAGAAAATTCAATTTAAACAGGAGAAATTTAATTAGACATAAAAATAACTTGACCTTCATACTGGGTATAAAATTTCAGAATAAATGATTGCAATTAGCTGTGAAGTTTGTATACATGATGTTGAAATAGAGAATTACTATTTGAAGGCCTGCCATGGACAATTGTGCAAGTTGTTTACTGCACGTAACCAGGGACTGCCATTTACACCATAGTCTATGTGAATGGTACCCTCTGGAGATGTGCAATACATAATTTGCATATCCTTTTATCCTGACTATTAACCCTGAAATGTTTAGATTGAGGCTGGTCCCATTCTAGCTGTAGGAATCCATGGCTTTGAATGAAAGTTGAGAGTTCAGACAATTATCTAAGAAAGGTAAATATGTGTTTTGTACAATATGACTCACCACTCAGGATTCCATGGCAGTCACAGATAGTAGACCAAGGCCTCAGAATCTTCTCAATGCAACACTCCAGGGAATTGCTATCAACAAATCAGATCTGCCACTTTATCTAAAACACAAAAGCTGTTTAACATAGTGATCAGAAGCCTAGGCTGGAGCTATAATGACTGGGTTCAAATCTAAGCTCTGATACTTATTAAACTGATGACCTTTGAATCAGAAAGGAAGCATTTTACTGCAAATAATAGAAACCAAACTAAAAGTGTGTTAACAATAAGAAAAAATTGTTAGCCCCCTTTTTATAACCTAAGAAGCATGCACACGTGTGTATACACACACATACATTTTATATTTTTAACATCTCTGATATGAGGTATGTTATGCAATTGCTGTTGCTAAGCATTGCCTGCCCTTGTGCTTCGAACCTGCAGAATGGTGATGGCCTCTTGGGAACAACTCCAGAGATTACAGAAGGGCACTTTCTTAAGAAACACAGCATCACCAATGTTCTTCATGTTACAGAGGACAAGCGTATGTGGAAAAACTAGAACATTGATAACTCTGATTGGACAAGTGATTCAAGAGAGTTTGACTCAATGTAAAGCAGATTTAGGAATACCTTGACTAATTTACTTTATTTATGTATGTATTTATTTATGTATTTATTTATTTTTGGAGATGGAGTCTCACTCTGTCATCCACGCTGGAGTGTAATGGCGCTATCTTGGCTCACTGCACCCTCTGCCTCCTGGGTTCAAGCAATTCTCCTGCCTCAGCCTCCCAAGTAGCTGGAACTACAGGCGCACGCCACCACACCCGGCTAATTTTTGGTATTTTGGTACAGACGGGATTTCACTGTGTTGCCCAGGCTGGTCTCAAACTCCTGAGCTCAGGCAATCTGCCTGCCTTGGCCTCCCAAAGTGCTAGCATTACAGGCATGGGCCACTGTGCCCAGCTAAATTTACTTTAAATTAGTAAATTTATATTTAAATTTAAATGCACAGGAGTGATATGTGGTATAAAAAATCTAGGCATAAGTAAATCTAAATGGACTTTTTCATTAGCTATATTCAAAAATTCTAAAAGTATATTCTAAAAATATATTCTAAAAATTCTAAATGATAATATAGCATCATAGTTAATTTGACAGCATTACAATTTTTTTTAGTCAGAGACAATGTAATGGTGCATCTCACAATTGATGGCATCTTAAATGAGAAGAAATGTGGCATATCATATTACAAGGCCAGAGAAAAGACAGTGCTGGGGTTGGCCAATTTGGCAGCTTAATAACATTGTTAAGGACAAATTTCTTTTTATTCTTTTAGGCTGTCATCCTCCTTCTATCAGCTTGTTCTTTGAGCTGACTCCTCTTGTTACTGGCTGGGAAGTCTTGACTATGAGTTGTTCAGGTTCTTGGCACATTGAGCAAAGAATTGAACAAAATGCACAAACAAAGCAATGGAAGATGAAGGCACAGATTTGTTAATATTAAAGCGAAAGTATATTCCATAGAGTGTTTGTGGGCTTGAGCAAGCAGCTCAAGAGCCTTGAGTATAATGTCCCCTGGGGTTTTTATTAACTAGAAGAACTTAATAACACCCTTTAGAGGCTTCCAGTTGGTTAAACCCTATGCGAATGAAGAATTGGCCTGTGACCAATCAGAGGCTAGAGCCCCTATGCAAATGAAGGCTTTGCCTGTGGCCATTCAAAGGGCTAGGTAAAGGCTGGGCTCATGGCCAATCAGAGGCATTTCCTATTTGTTGACGGGGAAAGGAGTTTTGCTGAGGGAGGGGCCTCCAGCCCATTTTCACCTGGGCATGGAGAGGTGGGGTTTTCCTTTTGGTTCAATTCTAAGAAGAGAGCCATGAGTTGCTCTTAAGCTCCCTGTCTCTAGACCCTATTCTCCTACCTTACTCTCATGATTCTATGAAGACTGCTGCAGTTCTAGGTACTCCAGACAGATGACAATGTCCAGAGACAGAAAGAAAGTCTCTCTCATGTATCTCCTTTTAGTCTGCAAGGATTCCTAGCAGACTTCTTTTCATTTCTTCTTGTGTACAATTGTGTCTCATATGCATAATCATGACCAATGCGAATGGGATTACCATTGACTTAAGCCAATTATGACGTCCCCCTGGGCCTAGGGTAGGACTCCACTCCCCTGCAACACACGATCCTCTGAACAAAACTGAGGTTCTTCTAGCAAGGAGAAGACAGGGAGAATGACTATCAGTTAGTCAATCAGAAGTATCCACCATACTCCGCAAATTGCTTATCTTTTTTGGCTTTAGTATTTTCATGTGTAAAATGGCAATAGTAATAATAATAATAATGACAACTACCTCAAAGGGTAGTGAGGATTAAATAATGCATGTAGGGCTGAGCACAGTGGCTCATGCTTGTAACCCCAGCACTTTGGGAGGCCTAGATAGGAGAATTGCTTGAGGCCAGGAGTTCAAGATCAGCCTGGGCAACAAGGCAAGACCTTATTTCTAAATATATATATGTGTGTGTTTTATATATATATATATATATATTTATATATATGTATACTGCTTGTATATATATACTGCTTATATATATATAAACTGCTTATATATATATAAACTGCTTATATATATATAAACTGCTTATATATATATAAACTGCTTATATATATAAATAAACTGCATATATATATATAAATAAACTGCATATATATATATATATATATATATATATATATATATATACTGCTTAGAATAGTGCCTGATATATGGTAAGGGCTCAAGAGATGTTTAGCATTGATTGATACTGTTCCTGTTTTCACTGTTGTTATCATTATATTACCCTATATCTAGATAGGCAAAGTCTCAACCTGCCACTGAAGAAAAGGAAAATGAGGGCTTAAACTAGCCTTAGATATTAGTACAGATAGTCGTTGGTCAACAGACTTTTTTCTTGAGCAAGTCCTCTATACTAGGTATTGTTCCCAATGTAGAAAGAATTCAAAACACAGCTCTGAGGAGTTTATGTTCTGGTTGTAGAGGCAACTAGAGAGTTGGAAAAAAAAGTAGAGATCTCTTGCCTTCTAGCCTCTTCGTATACTCTTTCCTTTGTCTGAAACACAATTTATCACCACCTCTCTCCTACCTTAGCCTGGTGAACTCGTATTCACCTTATTACGTCAGCTTAATTGCTTCCCTGACCCCAGATTTTAGGTAAACTGTCTATGCGAATGCTTTCATAATTGCCATCATAATAGCAATATTATATTGAAGTGTGTCAGTCTTTTGTCAGTCTTCCCACTTTATGTCTAACTTCCATGAGGGCAGAGACTATGTCTGTCTGTTTCATGACTGTATCTCCTATTCACAGTGCCTGATACAAATGTAGGCAGGCAGGGTGAACCTGTTGAATAAGGGAGTGAATAAAGGAATGTGTTTCACTTAGAACTCTTTCTGTTGTAAGTGACAGATATAACCTGGTTTAATTAAAAAAGAGATTTATAAATCTCATAACTGAAAAGCCCAGAGGTTGGTCTGATTTCAGTCGTGATTTGATTTAGGGGACTCAAATGATGGCATTAATATTCTGTCAGATCTGCCTTTTCCAGTGTGGGTTTCATTTCCAGGCTTCCCATGGTGTTCTTGGCACTTCCAGAGTCTCATCTTTCCAATTCACCTACAAAGGCAAAGAACATATGCCTCTCTCCCACCAGTTCCACCAATATGTGATTCTCACTGGGTCACATGCCCATCACTGAAAGAGTCACTGTGACCAAAGCTGGACTTGAGGTGGGATTTTTCTCCACGGAGTACGTGTACGGTAACCTTACATGTTACCTGAGAGTGCGGGATGTAGTGACTCCCAGGGATAAGTTTGGGATATTATAATTAGAAATGGGGTAAATAGATGCCGGACCACAAAACAACAGATGTTCACTATAGAATGAATGACTGAATCATACAGGACCATGTGATAAAATCAGATGTAGAGAAGAAAGTCCTGCAGAATTTGTGGTAGGATAGAAAAATGCACCCGCCCCTGCACCCCCCACCCCCGGACTTGTTAATATATTACCTTACATGGCAAAGAGGAATTTAGGTTGCAGATGGAATTAAGGTTGCTAATCTACTGATCTTAAAATAAGGTTATCTGGGATTGTTTGGATGGACTCACTGTAATCACAAGGGTCGTTAAAAGGGAGAAACAGAGGTACAAGAGGAGGGCAGAGTGCTGTCATGTGAGAGGAATTCAACCCTCTGTTGCCGGCCTTGAAGATGGAGGAAGGGGGCCATGAACTAAGACATTCAGGTAGCCTCTTGCAGGTAGAAAAGACAAGGAAATGGATTTTCTCCTAGAGCCTCCAGAAAGAAACACAGCCCTGTTGACACCTTGAGTTTAGCCCAGTGAGACCCATGTTGGACTTCTGGCCTAGAGAATTGTGAGATAATATATTTGTGTTGTTTTAAACCACTACATTTGTGGTAATTGGTTATAGCAATCAAAAACTAATGGCGTTTAAACAAAATAACAGACAGTTCTCATAGAAAGAACAAATGAATGAATGAATGAATGGTACAAGACCATGTAATGAAATCAGGGATAGAGAGAAAAATGCTACAGAGTTTCAAACAGGGAGAGCTTTTTGTTGGTGTAGTCAAGAAAGGGCTCTCAGAGAAGGCAGGATGGTAGCTACAGTATTTTATGAGCTTCACACACAAAAAAGAGGGATTTGGGGCTGAGAAAAGTGGAATGTTCAAAGGCAGGAATGAATCAACACATTGGGAACTTCACTGAAATTGCAGGTTGTGGTGGGAGAAGGGTATGAGATGGGGTTGGGTAGGTAAGAAAGGGGGTCTGATGGAGCTTCTGCAAATCTGGGAGGAGATGTTTCCATTTATTCCAGTTAGCCATGAGAAGGCAGTGTAGGTTTTGAGCAGAAGCCTATCATGGTGCACACACACAGAGGTGCCCAGGATGAACTGGGGACAAAGGAGACCAGAGATGAGCCAGGCTGGCAATGTGGAAATGCTGGGTAGGTAGCCTGTCTGCAGGATCCATGGGTGACTCTCTGCAATTGAGTAGAAATGGGAGTGAAAATTACAAAGAAAGCAGAGAATCCTGGAAGGCAGGGAATCTTCACTTGGGGCTCATGGGTCCTCTCTCCTCTGTTCGTGATTTCAGGGAGTCAATGAGACTCCCAAGATTAGATGCACAGTTAGGGGTTTTGTGAGTTTTTCTGGGGAGAGGGCCACATCCTTTATCAGATTTTCAAAGGGCTCTGTGACTCGAGACAGGTAAAAGTCACTGATGTAAGTTTAAAAAATATGCTTTATTGAAGAATAATACACATGTAGAAAAGTGCACATGTCATAAATGTACAGCTTGA
Organism: Homo sapiens; assembly: GCF_000001405.40. Lineage (NCBI taxonomy): Eukaryota > Metazoa > Chordata > Mammalia > Primates > Hominidae > Homo > Homo sapiens. Next base: position 159,469,592 of record NC_000005.10, read on the forward strand.
TGGACTTGCATAAACTGAATACCCCTGAGGAACCAGCACCCAGATAAAAAATCAGAATCATACCAGCACTCTAGAAGTTCCTTCTCAAGCCCTGCCCTCTTCCTGCCACAGTAACCACTGCTTTGATTGCTAACTCAGCTGTAAGGTATTAAGCCAGGGCTGTATCATGTTCGACCTCCTAGAAATTGGACCACCATTATTAAAAGCAACTATAGGCTAGAAAACACATATTGTGGATTTTCTCCAGGGGATTTCAGATAGAATTGGATGAGAAAACCACTGTGGTGCTTTGCAATCATCCCCAGGTTGTTTTGACACTGGGCAGGACTGCTCCAAGCAGTTTCCTTCCCTGGGTTTCTAACCCTCTGACATGCAGCCAAAGCTGTGCTTCCCGCGCCGGGCTGAAAATCTCTGTGCTTCACTCCATTTGCTGCATTAGTCACCGTAATCCTGGGGGCTGGGCCACGGGAAGAACAAAATCTAATTTGGGCATTTCATTTTATGAGTTGATCATTATTTGGTTTCCTTTCCTGGTTCAGAATCAAGGGCCAAGAACACAGGCTCTTAAGTACATAGTTACCATGGCATGTTTTTATGCTGCAGCGAGTGGCTAAAACACATTGGAGGGTAAGAGGATTAGACAGCAAATGGCACCCGCTAAATGTGAAGAGCGAGTCATCCTGCAAGGGGGTTACAGTGCACTCCAGCAGGCCCGATGCTGGAGGGGACATGGATGGGCTATAATAGGGTTCAGAACTGATCTATTTGCGTTTTCAAACAACAGTCAAGTGAATAACAGTAACTGGATTACAGATTCGGCTTCTGCCTAAGCACATAAAAGCAGAGAACCCAAAACAAAAGAAATGAGACAAAGGTTTTGTGGTATCACCAAGAATTAGGGATTCTGGCAGGAAGAAGAACCCCCCAGAAAGAAATTAAATTTCCTTAGAGAAACAGAGAGGGAGGGAACATAACCATACCCTCCTTGGTCCCATTCCTGGTGCCCCCACCCTTCCCACTGACCACATTAGATATCTCTGAGGTCAGAGACCATTGCAATGGGTTTTGTGGGACTGCCCTAATTCTCGAGTTTGGTTGGGATTTTGTGGCATTGATTTCCGTTAGATTTGACATCGCCTGGCCTCTCAAACTCTTTTTGTTTTGGAAAGCGTTTTATTATGATGGTATTTATTCTACTTGGCAGGGCCTCACTCTGGAGAGGTCTGTGAAGAAAGTGGGATTTGTTGGTATGACTTCTTCCCCACCCTCTCTTGGCCAAGCCCTTCTTCTCTTTGCATTTTCCTTCCACTGCTTTTCACATTTCTGCTGTCTCTCTCTCTCTAACCCCGAACTGGCCCTACAGGCCAAGGAATCGCCAGCCTTTTCCAGGACCTGAGCTGAGTTTTCATGTAAAAAAGCTGTCACAGAAAGAGATAGTACTTTTAGTGTCACCTGCTTTTTTTTTTCTTCTTTTTTTAGAAAATATATGGTCAAAGCTAATAGGATCTCAGAAAAGCCCTTAAAATGTTTATTTTCCCTAATTATAATGGGAAATAAATAAAATATATTTATATTACCATAAATAACATACAAAATCAAGGTGCTTTAATATAAAAAAATCAAGATGCCCTGAAAACTTCCATTTAAATGTCACAGAGTGAACAGATGTATTAATTTTGGTTTCTTCCCCAAACTCAGCTAAAATGACATTGATTGAATGAAGGTGGTAAAACCCACAAAGACAAAGAAAGTGGGAAAATGAGAGAAGTCAACAGAATGCAAGCTGGGATGCAGAACTCATAAGGGTCTTCTTAGAGCCAAAGGAAAGCCTGGGAGGCAAGAGGATAGAGAATCATAAAGAGCAAGTCAGCTCACCCCACAGAACCTCTGGCATCTTAGGAATTGGAGGCTCAGAGCTCCTCTGCAAGCCAAGGTGTAGGTGGGTCTGAACATAGGAGGATGGGTTTAAGTCTGATTAAAGAGCAACTGGGGCTGGGCGCGGTGGCTCACGCCTGTAATCCCAGCACTTTGGGAGGCCGAGGCGGGCGGATCACGAGGTCAGGAGATCGAGACCATTCTATCCTGGCTAACACGGTGAAACCCTGTCTCTACTAAAAACACAAAAAATTAGCCGGGCTTGGTGGCGGGCGCCTGTAGTCCCAGCTACTCAGGAGGCTAAGGCAGGAGAATGGCATGAACCCAGGAGGCGGAGTTTGCAGTGAGCCGAGATCGCGCCACTGCACTCCAGCCTGGGCGACAGAGCGAAACTGTGTCTCAAAAAAAAAAAAAAAAAAAAAAAAAAAAAAAAAAAAAAGTAATTGGATTCTCAGAGTCCATCCCCCAGCCTGAGCAATTAGGCAACTTGCCTTTCCTTAATCCAGCAGAAAACAGAATGTGTCCTCTCCAGAGAGTTGAAACTGAGACATTCTGGGCTCAGGACACAGCTGGGCACAGAGACAGAGAACATCACATGTGCTTTATTAAAAGCAGGGGGATTAAGTGAAAGATGCTACACTGAATGTGGAGGACTCCAGCTGCCTTCCAGCGCTCAGCTCCCAGAATGCAGCAGCCAGGCTCACCGCACTACACATTAGATTGTTGTTCTCAGGGAAAGTAGACCAGCACAAGAAAAGAATCCCACAGTTACTGCCCTTTGGGTATCCCCAGTGGAGTGGTGGTGGGTCCTTTCTGGTCAGTATTTCTCTCTTAAGTCAAAGAATAGCCAAAGGCTCCCCTCGATGTAGTCAAAGACTAAGCATGGCTTCTAACTTGAAATGTAGATAGCAAAGTAAATTAACAGGGAAAATAAAACACTGAGAAAACAAAGACAATGCAGTGAAAAAAAGATTTAAAAAATATGTCAGTATTCACTTTGGGAGGCCAAGGCAGGCAGATCGCGAGGTCAGGAGATTGAGACCATCCTGGCTAACACGGTGAAACCCTGTCTCTACTAAAAATACAAAAAATTAGCCAGGCATGGTGGCGGGCACCTGTAGTCCCAGCTACTCAGGAGGCTGAGGCAGGAGAATGGCGTGAACTCAGGAGGCAGAGCTTGCGGTGAGCCGAGATCGCGCCACTGCACACCAGCCTGGGCGACAGAGCGAGACTTGGTCTCAAAACAAACAATCAAACAATAAGTCAGTATTTTCTTCATAGAGATAAAACATTATCTCTATGAAACAATAAGAGGATGGTATAGAAAAGGAACGAGTTTTTCTCCCAGCTTTGTTGAAGTGCGATTGGCAAATAAAAACTGTATATATTTAAGGTGTACAAGATGATGTTTTGATATACATATACTTTGTAAAATGATCACCACAAGCAAGCTAATTAGCAGCCCTCACATAGTGACCTTTTTGGAGGTGGAACGCTTGAGGTCTACTCTCCTGGCAAATTTCAAATATAAAATACATTTCTAACTATAGGTACAAACTACATTTGTACCTTTTGAACAACATCTCTTTCTCCCCACACTCCAGTTTCTGATAGTCACCATTCTACTTTCTGTTAATATGAGTTCAACTTTTTTTTTAGATTTTACATATAAGTGAGATCAGGCAGTGTTTGTATTTCTGTTTGTCTTATTTCACTTAGCATAACGTCCTCCTGGTTCATCCATGGTATCACAAATAGCAGGATTTCCTTCTTTTTAAATGCCAAATAACATTCCATTGTGTACATATACCACATTTTCTTTAGTCTTTCATCTGTTGACGGATTCTTAGGCTATTTCCGTATCTTGGCTATTGTGAATAATGCTACAATAAACAGGGGAGTGCAGATATCTCTTCAAGTTAGAAATTTTACTTCCTTTGGACATATACCCAGAGGTGTAATTGCTGGATCATATGTTAATAATACTTTTAATTTTTTTGAGAGACTTCCATTCTGTTTTCCACAATGACTGTATCAATTTTCTTTCCCACCAACAGTGTGCAATAGTACCCTTTCTTACACACCCTTGCCAACATTTATCTTTTGTTTTTTTGATAACAGCCATTCTAACAGGTATGAAGTAATATTTTATTATAGTTTTGATTTGCATGTCCCTGATGATTAGTGATGTTGAGCATCTTTTCATATACATGTTGACCATATGTATGCCTTCTTTGGAAAAATGACCATTCTGGTCCTTTACTCATTTTTTAATTGGGTTATTTGTTTTTTGGTATTGTGTTCTATGAGTTCCTTACACATTTGGGATATTAACTATCTTGCTGTTTTCCTTTATAATTTGATTATTTTCTGTAGTAGTGTGCTTTAATTCCTTTGTATCTTTTGTGTATTAACTACAGATTTTTGCTTCAGGGTCACAATGAGACATAAGAGCCTATTTAAGCCAATAACAACTTAACTTTGAATGCATACAAAAAGTATACTTCCCCTCCCCATTTAATGTATTTGATTTCATAATTTACATCTTCTTATATTGTGTATCTATTAGCAAGTTATTGTAGCTATAGTTATTTTAAGACTTTTGTCTTTTGACCTTTATGCTAGAATTAAAAATAATTTACACATCTTGATATTACAATATTAGAATATTGTGAATTTGGCTATATACTTACCTTTACCGGTGGGCTTTATACTGTCATATGTTTGCATTTTATTAGTTAGCAGCCTTTTATTTCAATTTGAAAAACTCCCTTTAGCATTTCTGGTAAGGCAGGTCTAGTGGTAATGAACTTCCCCAGTTTTTGTTTGTCTGAGAAAGACTTTATCTCTTCTTCATTTCTAAATGATAGCTTTTCTAGCTAAAGTGTTCTTGGTTGCCTTTTTTTCCCCAACACTTTGACTATATCATCCTACTCTCTCCTGGCCTGTAAGGTTTCTGCTGAGAAGTCCTCTGATGATCTTACAGTGTTCTTTTGTATTTGGTGAGTTTCTTTTCTCTTGCTGCTCTCAAAATTCTTTCTTTGTCTTTGATTTTTGAAGTTTTTATTGCAACAGGTTTGATGAAGTACTCTTTGGGTTGAACCTGTTTGAAGACATTTGAGCTTCATATACCTGGACGTCCATATCTCTCCCCACATTTGGAAAGTTTTCAGCCATTATTTCTTTAAATAAGTTTTTTGCCCTTTTCTCCTCTCCTCCTCCTTCCATAAGACTTATGGAACACATGGTTCTCAACTTACAGTGGTCCAACTTAAAACTTTTCAACTTTATGATGCCATGAAAGCGATACACATTCAGTAGAAACCATGCTTCAAGTACCCATATAATCATTCTGTTTTTCACTTTCAGTACAATATTTAATAAATGACATGAGATATTCAGCACTTTATTATAAAATAGGCTTTTTGTTAGATAATTTTGCCCAGGTTTAGGCTACTGTAAGTGTTCTGAGCATGTTTAAGATAGACTGACTGAGCTATGATGTTAGGTAGGTCAGGTGTATTAAATGCATTTTTGACTTATGATATTTTCAACTTATGATGGGTTTATTGAGACATAACCCCATTCTAAGTCAAGGAGCATCTCTAGCAATTCTCTTAATGGCATCCCACAAATTCTGTAGGCTCTCTTTTCTCTTTCTCATTCTTTTTTCTTTTGTGACAGGATAATTTCAAATGACCTGTCTTTGAGTTCATAGATTCTTTATTTTCTGCTTGATTGAGTCTACTGTTGAAGGCCTCTATTGCATTTTTCACTTCATTCATTGTATTGTTCAGTTCCAGAATTGTTTTTTTAATCATTTCTTTTTGTTGAGTTCATTGTTTTGTTCATGTGTTGTTTTTCTGATAATGTTGAGTTATCTATCTCAACAAAGAGAAGGGTTATTCTCTTCTAGCTCACTGAGCTTCCTTTAAACAATTATATCAAATTCTTTTTCAGGGAATTCATAGATCTCCATTCCTTTGGGAGTGGTTACTGAAAAATTGTTCCTTTGTTGGTGTCATGGTCCTTTGTTAGTGTCACAATTATTTTCTGTGTTCCCTGAAGTGTTACCTTGCTGTCTTTGCATTTGAAGAAGCAATTACCTCCTCTAGTCTTTACTGACCAGCTTTGAGAGAGAAACACCTTCACCAGTCAGTCTGACTAGGGATTCTGAGACTCTCTCCTAACTTTTATATGAATATTCCCCCTCCACACCTCTTGTTCTGTCTTGGGGGGTGAATTATTAAGATTCTCTGCCTTCTCTTGGTCCTGCAGAGCCAAGCCAGGTGCTGAGATCCTCTCATTTGTTTTCCCAAGATGGTGCCCTGAAATACTCAACTTTGTGTACTTTTTTCCTATCTTGCCAAGTCAGGCTGTCTGTCTGCATGTACTTGTAAACCTCCTGCTGAGATGCACACTTTCAGTCCATGAGGCCACAAGTGGGAAGCTGGCATGGGGGTAGGGGAGATATGTGAGGCATGCATAACATTGCAGAGGCCTGTGGGCCAGCTGGGGAGTCTGCATGTGTGTTGTCCCAAGTAGTTTTGGACAAGCTTCCTGATGAAGTTCATGAAGCAGTTAATAAAAACTGCATCCCTTTTCTGAATACTGAGTATTGGTTGCTATGAGTCTCTTCTCTTCTCTACTCGCAATCTCTCCTAACTGCTGAGCTCTACCAACCACCATGGTACTTTGAGTGGCAAAAGAAAGGTGCAGCCCTCTTGGGCAGCATTCCACATGACTGGGGAAGCCAGGTACTCACTTCCTATGTTCTCAGTTTCTCTCATGGGAGAAATCACAGGCTGAGAGATTCTCTCTTTGTACTGAGCTGTACTGTCCTAGGAGAGGAGTGACATGGGTATAGTGAAATTTTTTTTCTTACCCTCTTTAGTGTGCTTTTCTCAGATTTTTTTTCCCCAAAAGTGTGTTGGAACTTCTTTGCTGGATTCTCAGACTCCCACAAAGGTAGTATGATCCATTAGTCGTTGTCAAAAGTGATGCTCTGTGGGGAGATAATCGTAGAAAACTCCTATTTCACCATTTTGCTGATGTTACTTATACTGAGCTTCTTGAGAGTTAAAAATATGGTAACAAGAATAGAAGTTTCAATAAAAGATCTGTGTGATAAAGTAGAGGAAATATTGAAAGTAGGTAGAAAAGAGGAGAGAAAAGCTAGAAGACAAAGAGAAAACAGAGGAGATGTATGTAGGAGGTCTTTCATTTACTTAATAAAAATTCTAAAAAAGGGAATAAAAAACCAAAATGAAAAAATAATACCTAAGAAATAATAAACATATTCAACAACAGATGGACGTGAGTTTCTAGCTGGAAAGCATCAACCAAACTGTTCAAAACAATGACATTTAAAGGGCCCTCACAAAGCACAATATTGTTAAATTCCAGAATGCCAGAAATAGAGGTTTTAAAGCTTTCAGAGAGAAGAAATAGGTCATATACAGAAAAGAGAAATCAGAATGGCATGAGACTTTTAAACAGCTACCTTGGAAGTTAGAAGTCAATGAAGTGCCCTTCTATTACTAAGGGAAAATGACTTTCATTCTAGAATTGCTTTTCCAGATAAACTGTGAATCAAGTGTTAGGATTAAAAGATGCTTTCCAACATGTAAGGTTTTAAAAATGTTACATCTCATGGTAACTCTTCTCAGTTTGTGTTCAACCATATTGAGAGAATAAAACAACAAATAGAAAATCATGGGATACTGGAAGTGGGGGATCCAATACAGGAGAGAGCTGAAGGGAATTCCCAGGCTGATGGTGAAAGATGGCCCACAATGACAGCTGTTTGGCAGGTCTAGAAACCCATTACAGGTTGAAGGGAAAAGGTGGAAGTCTCCACGGTGGATGTTCCTAAGAAGAGTGGAACTGAGAGACTACTAATGGATTCAGGTATATTGAGAGAAATTCTTAGGGCTCCATGGGAGAGTTGGGGGGATAAATTAGTGACAGGCACACAGAAAACTAAGCAAAAAATAATGTTAATCCCAATGACAGCAAAAACAAAGACAATTCCAGAAAAAAACCACAAAGTTGTACAAGAAAGAAAATAAAGTCATAGTATAGTCACTTCAGTGAGTAATACATAGTTACAGTATTGGGAATGGTGATGTTGAAAATTTAGTTACAATGTTAGTAATGCTAGTATTGGACATTTAAGTATTTTTAAAAATACTTAACAAAAGCATGATATAAATGTGTTAGGAGAACAGAGAGAGAGGAAGGGTATGTAGGAAGGGGATCTGTGTGGGAATGTTAAGACCAGAGTAGAAAGTCAATCAATGAGGTATGAAATGCAAAAATCAGAACGTACTGGTTTACAAACATTATTTTTATATATGGAAGGAAATAACCAAGAGAAATATCCCAAAGCTGAAAGTGATTGGCCCTAGAGAGAAGATAAGGGTTACAAAGAGAAATAATGAGAAATCTTGTTTTTCCAGTATAAACCTTGTAGAACTATCTGATTTTTAAAAAGATGTTTTATACAAATTACTCTGATAAATTTAAACTTAAGTTTAACAAAGGGAAATAAAAGCATCTTCTAATCTCACTGTCTGCATATTAATTGTAAATAGTCTAGTGAATATTCTTTTGGACTTTGTTTTCTATGTGTAGTATAACAGAAATATAATTTTTAATTTTCCCATGATTAGATAGTACTATGCAAATTGTGTTCCATTTCTCTTTTTCACTTGTATCTTGGATATTTTTTCCACCTTAGAGAGGGTAATAGTAATACTTTTTAACGAGTTATGTTTTACTAGTCACAACTGCAACTTTTTGCATTGGGGAAATAGCAGTACCTATAAGTAGAAGAATAATTAGGGGCTCCATTTCTTTGGGCCTTCCCTTCAGCTTGCTTAACATTGGGTATCATTTGTTCAAACTCCTACTTAGGTGTTAATCAATAAGGGCTTAATAAAATATGACTTTTTTTTTTTTTTTGAGACAAAGTCTCACTCTGTTGCCCAAGCTGGAGTGCAATGGTGCAATCTCGCCCCACTGTAACCTCCACTTCCCAGGTTAAAGCTATTCTCCTGCCTCAGCCTCCCGGGTACCTGGGATTACAGGCATGCACCACCACACCCAGCTAATTTTTGTATTTTGAGTAGAGATGGGGTTTCACCGTGTTGGCCAGGCTGGTCTCAAACTCCTGACCTCAAGTGATCAACCCGCCTTGGCCTCCCAAAGTGCTGGGATTACAGGCGTAAGCCATCACACCTGGTCTAAAATATGACTTCTCCCAGAGATATTTATGACTTAATAGATAACTCCCGAAGATTAAAGGACCTTATAACTTTAAGAATGAGCTACTAATGAGGAAATTCCAGGTACTTTCATAGAAAGTAGAAGAGATCATTTTTGGGTAGAGGATATCCATTAGATATCTTCTCTCTCTCTCTGTGTATATATATATTAAATATATAAAAAGATATATAATATATATAAATATATAATTCATACATATACATTATATATAAAATATATGTAAACTCTATGTATATTTCAAATATAAAAATTATATATTATAAAATTATATGTTATATGTAGCAATTTATATATATATATATATATATTTTTTTTTTTTTCCTAACCCTGCTTCCTGTGTGAGAAGGGGAACTCCCTATTGTGGGTGCCCTGCCCCCCACTATGAAAATCCTTCCTCTCTCCCTGTAACCACAGACAACTAGGGCATGGGCACCTGCTCCAGTCCTGACACCCTTCTGCCCAGGGCTTTGATCTTGAGAGAGCAACACAGAAATGGACAGAGGCTCATGTTTTGTGGTGGTATGCCATGACAGCAGTTGCATCCCCCCTCTTCCTCCCATTTTTCTCATCTGGTGTCCATGCTGTCATCCGTTGCTGTCTGTTCCTGCTACCCAATCTCTGGCTTTGGGGGTGGGTCTCTGCCGTCCTAGTACATCTCCATCTTAGGGCTGAGCAGAAACCTAGCTCTTCCATGTCCACAGTGCCAAGAGGCCTCGCTGCAGTGTCTAAGGAGAAAGTAGCAATGACTGGAGACAGTGGAAGAGGAACACACATCAAAGAACAATACTGCACAGGATAGAACTGCCTTTGGGTCTAGGGCAGATCCATCTTGCTTAAGACCTGCCTTTATGTGACTGGCAGCAGCAACTATGCCTTCAACTCTCCCCTCTCCTGGAAGTTCTCTAGTCATCTTCCGTATCGATTTCAAACCCCAAACAGAGCAAGAAGTGTTTCCCTCATAGCTGTATAAGGACTGGCCTCTTCTTAGGATGACCGGTAGTAAGAACACCATTTCTCTTTAGGGGAAACCCCACCCTCTCTGCAGAGCTTTGGTCAGACCCTGTGGCTCAGATAAGACTATCACAAAGGAGTTTTAGATGGGTACCTTTCCTGAACTCTGGGGAATTGAGTCTTATGACTAACACTTTGCCACCCTAACAAGAAAGATGCAATTAACAATGCTGTTTGTGATTAGCAGTTGGTAATCTGTCACTCAACGCTTGCACCTGCCTATCTGATGGAGGACCAATACACATGCTCAGTAATCATAGTCCTAATAGCCAAATGAGTACCCATTATTCACATGCAAAAATTCTGGCTGAAGCTGGAGTAGAATACATAGCTTAGGTCCAAGGCCGATAAGGCCTTTCCTTCTCATCCTCAATCTAAATCCTGGGACCTCCATGCTCAGGCATGTCAATAGGTAGTGAGAGACAAGGAGCAGACACTGCATTCATTTGCCCACCAGTGATGTGAGCAAGGATGGCAGGCTTGCCTCAACCATTCACCTGTGGGTGGGCCAGGAGAGCCCACACGAGTAACACTGCTCATGGTATAATAAAATGTCAAAGGATGATCAATCAGATTAGCTTCTCCTCTTTTCTTCCCTCTCTGTGGAGGAGTTGGGTAAAGGGTGGAGGGATAGAAGGAAGTATGTCCTTTCAGGAAAACAAGGAGGAAGACCTTCCCTGCAACATCTAACAGTGTCTGGAACACAGTGGCTACTTAGTAAATGCTTATTAATGAGAAGCAGCAAATGATCAGATTCTAATGAGAGGCACAAAAAGAAAAGGAACTCAGAGAAGGCTTCTTGGAGGAGAGGGCATTTAGAGTCATCTCCTCCATCCTTCTGTGGCCTATCTGCATCTGGGGCACAGCCCATGTAAGCTTCAGTAATTAAAACGTTTTCCTAAGTAGCTAATTCACACTAAGAGATATGATCATGAAGTATTACTACCTGTCATTACTTTGGTTGGATGTTGGCTAGGACTTTTGGATCAATTAGTAATAGTCATGGAAGTTGGATACAAATAATGATATGATCTGGGATCTGGATGTTCTTAAATTTTATTCCACTAAAATTATAAAACTCAGGCCTTCTGAAAGATTATTGACAAAAGGAGAGGAAATCTCAATAAAGCCTCCAGGTACACTTGACTAACAACTGAATCATATCCAAAAATTATATACTATGTATGGAGGCTTTCAACCCACTGCTCTTCTCAGTAAGTCACCCCTGCAGCCAGTCCACACCCACACACAGATTTTGGATGACAGGTGGCACAATTGAAAAAAGTGGGTGTCCATAGAGTCAGTGGCAGAAAGGAAGAAAGGCATTGAGGTGGGAGCATTGTGTATGCAGAAGGAGTGTGCAAGAAACATTCAGGGGATGATGAGCACACCCATTTGGCTGACTAGTTAATCTGCTCATTAATCGCTCTGCCTCTCTGTCAAAAGGAAGCATTTCACTCCGGTCCTGAGAAATTGCCTTCCTAAGGAAAGAACGTTATTGATGGAAATTTAGGGGTGTTTGGGGAATATTACTAAAATTTGTGTGTAACCAAATTTGTGACCTTCTAACAAATGTCCCCCTGTAGACCTGTGAGAAACAATATTAGGGTTGACCCACTCAGTTCATGCTTTTTTTTTTTTCTGTTAAAAAAAGCCAGCATTTCAAGCAGTGAGTAGACCAGTAAGCTTTACCCCAGGCCTTATAGGTCAACAAACCTGCACCAGGGATCCAAATCTTTCTCAGAGTGATCATACCACTGTGTTAGAGTTCTTCAGAGAAACTGAACCAATAGGAGACGATATAGATATGTGGAAAGACTTATGAGGACTTGATTCACTGGATTATGGAGGCTGAGAAGTCTCATTATCTGATATCTGCAAGCTGGAGGCCCAGGAAAACCAGTGAGGTAGTTGCAGTCCAAACCCAAAGGCCTGAGAACCAGAGGGGCCGGTGGTGTAAATCCCAGCCAGAGCCTGCAGGCCTGACAACCAGGAACACTGATGTCTGAGGGCAGGAGAAGACAGATGTCCCAACTCAAGCAGAAAGAGCCAATCCACCCATCCCCTGCCTTTTTGTTCTTTTCAGATCCTTAATAGATAGGATCATGCTTACCCACAGTCTACAGATCCACGTGCTGATCTCCTCCAGAAACACCCTCACAGACACACCCAGAAATAATGTTTTATCAGCTATTTGGGCATTCCTTAGCCTAGTCAGGTTGACTCACACAATTAGCCAACATACCAACCTCACACTTATTTATTTATGTATTTATGTACTTGTTTATTTATATTTTTAGAACTTTTATTTGAGGTTCACAGGTCCATGTGCAGTTTTGTTATATAGGTAAACTTGTATCCCAGGGGTTTGTTAAACAGATTATTTCATCACCTAGGCACTAAGCCTAGTACCCAATAGTTATTTTTCTGATCCTCTCCCTCCTCCCACCCTCCACCTGCTAATAAGCCCCAATGTCTGCTTGTCTCCTCTGTGTATCCATGCATTCTCATTATTTAGTTCTCACTTACGAGTGAGAGCATGCAGTATTTGGTTTTCTATTCCTGTGTTAGTTTGCTAACAATGATGGCCTCCAACTTCATCCATGTTTTTGCAAAGGACATGATCTCGTTCTTTTGTGTGACTGCATAGTATTCCATGCTAACCTCACACTTTTGTTGTTAGGGCAGGCTCTGGGAGCTTTGGGATAAAGGAGACCTTTAAAATTTGCCCCCTTCATTTAGTCATACTAGATACAGAGCCTCTAATTGGTCAACAGGACCCACCAGCCGCTCCCTCTCCATCTCTATACTCAGGCCTCCTTAGCTTGTGCTGTGGATGAGCTTCCACCACATGGCAGAGGGTAAAGGGGGGGTGGCCACAGTCAGCTCCAAGCTCATATCAACCAAGCCTAGCAACCTTGGGAGAAAAACAATTCCCCCAATCCATTTCAGAAGATTTAGAAATGTGGAAAGGACTGATTACTATGGCTTGGGTCACTTGCCTATCCTGTGAACCAATCACCTTAGCCAGGGAAATAAAGATGGGCCATGCACTAATTCTCTCAGAGGGATCATCAGAGTTGGCAGTCCCATCAGACTCACATGGGAAGCCTAACAAGGGGGCAGTGATCCCATGAACGGAGGTGTGTGTGTTGAGCAAGGCTGTTATCTGAAGAACCAGAGGAGAGAAATACTGATAAACCAAAGTAGCAGATGTCCCCAAACTGGGAAAGCTAGAAAAGAGAGCAATGAAATTTAGAATGAAAAGTAAGAAGCAGAACTTGGAGAAACTCCCAAGTAGAAGGCAATACGTTCAAAAGATTTTAGGGTACTGGAGGTTTTAAGTGTGTATGGGGAAGGAAGCTGTTAATGGCATTGGCCAGGCCTTGACACTGCTGGAAAAGTGACTTCAAGAGCCAGTCACACTTCTTATATGAAGGTCAGTAGACTCTTTTTGGCTAGAAGAACAAGGACACTGACCTGTGGGGACATCGTGGTTTTCTTTTTACTAACTTAAGAATAAAGATGTCAGGGTTTCTTTCCCACTGCAGTGGGAAGTTTCTTTCCCATGGCTGGAGATCACTGAACTGGTAGGAAGATTGCCACGTTGGCCAAAGGAAATCTGCCACTTTTGTTTAAGTCCTGGAGATACTCATTGCCTCTAGAAAGGTAGTCCGCATTATGATGTGGTGAGCTCTGATGGAACACCATGGATAGGGAGTGGCACTGAATCTTTAGAAACTCAAAAGTGAGCAGGGGAACCAGAGGGAAGTTTGGATCGACTGAAAGGACAGTCTGCTGAGTTCCTAGGAAAGGGAAGTAAGTGAAAGTGTCATTTTCCCCTGACATATCTCCAAGATAAAATTTTGATGTGATGATACTGATCAAGCTCATTAATTTGTTTGGCACTGGTTACTGAGGTTGAATGATGGAGACTGCTTGGAGTATTGTGTTAAGAAGAATTCTGAAGCAGTATTGGGCTCAGCCAGGAACAGTGCTATAAATGACAAAGCAAAACCTGGCAGTATCATAGAAATAGAACATGGTAGTATGTATCAATCATATTTGCCTTCCCCAGGGAATCTATTTCCCGAGGATTTCTCCCAGGAAACTATTACAAAGGAAGAAAAAAATGCTATATGCCACAAAGATGTTCTCCTTGGTGTTATTTACCATAGCAGCAATTTGTTCTGCAGAAGGAGAATGGTCACTTGTCAGAATTAAATTGTTGATCATGAAGGCCATTTGAAAACATGGGAAAATATGGGACATAAAAAGCTGAGTAAAAAGAAAACATTTATATACATAATATTTGCAGTGAGATAAAAAATGACATATCACACACACACACACATGTATTTTTGTGCATCTAGGGCTCATTTATTTCATATTCACTTGTGTTTGAAACCCAGCTGCTATTATCACACAGTAGGTACACAATAAATACTTTCAACTATTTTGTTGCTAGCTTTACATATTTTTTTGCGATAAAAATAGCTTTTCCCAAAAGGAATAAAAACTAAAACAAAAAATTCAAACATCCAAAAGTTAACATCCAAAAGTGTTGGTTTTTCTTCTCAGAAATAGCAATTTGTTCTGCTTCTCATCAGTCCCACTTAGGCTCTCTCTAGGACTTAACTGAGCAACTCCTAAGATCCAAGTTCCCTTAAATTCCTACAGGCAGTGGTCCCACCAACAAAGACTTCTCTACTCTTCCTTTGCCTCCAGATGCTCAGACTTGGGCTTCTGGTATTCTGAAAGCATCCTTGTTTATTTTCCTACCAGAGATTGTTGATTTGCCCCAAAGGAAGTTTTTTTCTTCCATTTTGTGTAGTGTGAGTGGTGACTAACTATGAGAATGGTCTCAATGGCATCTCTGAGGCCAGAGGAAAGCTTCTGATGCAATTCAAAATTCAGATCTGAAGCCTATGAATATGGTTACTGGGCGTGATCGACAGATTGAGGCCAGGTATCAAACAGATCTCAGATATTGACAGAACCTCTGCTCATTGGAATGACCTCTCACTATGAGGGCAAGTGATCAATTACTGTGTACCTTCACTAACTTCAGAAACTCTCCTAATATTCCCTAATTCCATCTAACAGTATTTTTTTTTCCTCCAAACCACACAAAGCACCCGTAGCCCTTGACTAGGAAATTAAAATTTATTTTCAATTTCCTCAGGCAAGGCAAAAGCAAGTGTAAATTAACAGTCTGTAGCTTGTCTGGGACTAGAAAAGCATTGAAAATGTAGTGAGGAGTCACAATGTAGGAAAATTGTCCAAAGACAATGCAATATTTAGCTGATGGTAATCTCAGACGATATACTGGCAGGACAGCGGCAGTTGGACGAATGGGCAATATCTCTAGAAGCAAAGGAAAAGAGGAGAGGGGAGGCAGTTATTGCAATGATTTAGACCAAGAAAAAAGCCATGGTTTATCTGTCTGTACCAATCTAATATACTAGATGACACAATATCTGTCCGTTTCACTGGGTCCAAAATAGTCAACTCACTGTCACATGTAATTTACTCATTGTAAAGTAATAGTTTTGTCTGTCTTTATTTCTCACCTGAATACCTTCTGTTCCCAGCCCTTTCTTTTTAATAACATCATTTTTTTCTTACCATAACAATTCTTGCGTATATCTATTCTACACATTTTTATTGAATTTCTACCATGAGCAGGCACTATGTGAGGCACAAAAGAAAGAATGGTCAATAAAAACCGGTCAGGGATTGGCCGGGCGCGGTGGCTCACGCCTGTAATCCCAGCACTTTGGGAGGCCGAGGAGGGTGGATCACAAGGTCAGGAGTACGAGACCAGCCTGGCCAAGATGGTGAAACCCTGTATCTACTAAAAATACAGAAATTAGCTGGGCATGGTAGCAGGCGCCTGTAATCCCAGCTGCTCAGGAGGCTGAGGCAAGAGAATAGCTTGAACCTGGGAGGCAGAGGTTGCAGTGAGTCGAGATCGTGCCACTGAACTCTAGCCTGGGTGACAGAGCAAGACTCCATCTCGAAAACAAATAAACAAACAAACAAACAAACAATGGTCAGGGACACAGGTAAATTAAAGAGAAAACTACAATTCAGTGCTATGATGCGAGGATGTAGTAGGGGCTCTCAAAGCACTAAGGAGGGGGCCTAACCCAGGCTGGGGAAGGCTTTTTGGAGGAGGCAATAGATAAGCTAGTTTTGAAGATAAAATGGCTTAGATGGTAGAGGAAACATCCTATAGCACCTTTGATCCCTCTTAGATAAAAGAGCTGTTAACATATATGTGTGTTTTCCTTCAGTATTTTAAACACACACACACACACCACTTGATGAAGAATCAAACACGGGATTTTAGGGCACACACACACAGAGAGAAAGACTGGATTTATAGATATCATAATAATTATCTAGATGTACATAGATGTATAGAACTGTGATCTCTATAGGATTCAATGTTGTTTTTTCCATGTCTTTAAATATGTGTTGAAAACATGGATTTTGATAGATTAATATTATATTTAATAGATGTTTCGTAATATATTTGATCATTCTCTGTGTCTGTCAGAGTTTTTGTTTGTAAGCCACAGAAAACAACACTGGCTATATTAAGCAAAAGATGAATTTACTGGAATCATATTAGGTAGCTATAGGATCTATGGGAGGCATGGAAAAATAGGCTAACAAAAGGGACAGCAATCAAAATAGGCTCAGCAGTGGGACCCCTAGCCAGCGCTGACCACAGAAACAATCTGTCCCTGGAATTTTTGTTTTCTATACTTAGGTTTCAATGTTCTGAATAGGGGCATCTTGCTGACCAAGCCTAGGTGATGTGTCCCACTTTACCTACAAGGGGACAGGCAGTAGGAAGGATTGATTTTGTAGTGAGAAGTAAGGCCCCAACTCCCATTAAGAGTCCCCATGGGGTCCATCTCTCAAACAGGAAAGGCATTAGGACATGACTAGCAGGAAACCACCAAGAACATCTTACTACCTCCCCATCGTTAGATGTTTGGGTTGTTTCTTTTTTCCCCTATTCTATTGTATTATAAAACTGTGAAACATTTTTTCTCTGCAAAATTATTGAGTACCTCTCTGATTATCTCTAAGATAAATTCTCTAGCAATGGAATTTCTGGATGAAAGGGTATGAATGTTTTCTCATCTCTTAATAGATACTGCCAAATTGCTTCTCTGGAAAGTAGCATCCGTTTAAGCTCACTCTTGGAGTGGGTATGAGGTGTGCCTGGTTTCTTACCCAGCTTTGGCATGATTATTTTTAGGAATCATCACGCCCACGCCTTTCTAGGCTGTACTCATTTGTGCAGCCTGTACATCACTTAAATTATGGTTCTCTGAAGTTGAAACACCTAGTGGCAAAGTGAACAACTGAGTAAATAAGTTGTTTATTTTCTTAATTTTATTTGTGATAATTACTTTTATTGATTTTCTTCCTCATTAATTTGATTAATACAGGGGCTGCTTCTTTTACTATGCTGTAGACAAGCTGTTTCTTTTTCTCTTCTGGAAAGATAGCATTTACAAAGCGGCAAGTGCATCTGAAATAATGAAAGGTTGAGTTCTAGAAATGAGGTTCTAGGAGGTGCTCACCCTGCCTTGGCAGGTGGCTCTCACGGATAATGTCCAGGGTATCTCTCAGACCTCCTGGGAACAGGCGGAGAGCTCATCTCCAGAAGCAGATCCATTCAGAAGTCATAGCAGTGATTCAACTCCTATGGCCCCTAAGTTGGGATGAACACGAAACCCAGAGAGGTGATGACGTATTTCGTGACTTTTCTATTAACTTAGAGGAACATCTTTCTAGCAAGAAATTGAAAGGCATGAAAAATATTAGGGTCTGGGCTTCCATCAAGAGAGTCCTAATGATGCCCAAGAAGGACCACTTGATGAAGAATCAAACACAGGGGATTTTAGGGCAGTGAAACATCATATGGCAATTGAAGTATCATATTATAGGTGATACTATAATGGTAGATACATGATGTCACACATTTGTCAAAACTCATAGACCCATGTTGCACACAGAGTGAACTCTAATGTAAACTATGAACTGAATAATAATGTATCAATATTGATTCCTTAATTATAACAAATGCACCACACTCATGCAAGATGTTAATAATAGGGAAAGCTGTGCTGGGGTAGGGGACTGTATATGGGAACTCTCTGCACTATCTGCTCAATTTTTCAGAAAATGGAAAACTGTTCTAAAATATAAAGTCTATTAACTAAAAAACATTTCAAAAATACACACAGAGAAATACAGTGTATTCAGGAAGTAGCACTTGACTAGGAGTCTGGGTCCCGGAATGCTGGTCCTACTCACTAGCTGTGTGGCTTTGGAGAAGTCACTTCACCTCTCTGGATTTTACCATAGGGTTGGACCACATGATCTTTAAAGCGATTCTCCCTTCTGATAGCATAAGATCTCAGGATTACTTACTTTAGATTTGTCACCCGTGTCCAGACTGTGAATGTCGGTAGTAATCAAAACGTGCCTTTCACTTTGCTGTCTGGCAAGAAATAATGGAATGAATAAAACACACATCTTTCCCCCTTACCTTGGGGCTCAGAAGCCTCTCTAGAGCTAGCAAGACCTATATAAAAGTCAGGCATAAAGCAAATAAGGCAAGCTGATTTTTTTTTTCCAGAGAAAGCCACTTTTTTTTCTCTTTGCATAATTTGATTTTAGTGTTCTGCCCTTGTTAAGTTCTCTCCCACTTGTAGACATTTACACAATGGGTTATAATCATATTATTTTATTGTTGGTCATTAACCATGGGTTAACCTTTTACATGGACTTATGTGGTGTATTAAGTATGCCATTCACGAAGACTAGAGATAAGGCCTGATTTTGGATCATGGGTATGAATAAACATCTCTGGGTGTCTGTGCTTGGCCGGTAGCCAGCTTGATGCTGAGCTCTGATTGGTTGGATGCTCTTGGGGCCATGCAACCGTGACCTCAGGTCCAGGCAATGGTGCACATTCATGGGATGGTGGGCTGAGGTAACCTCACTGGTCTTGAAGGAATGTCGATCTCATTAGAAAGTGTATATAGCAAAGAATAATTTTCAATTTTCCCTAAGTAAATATCTGGCAAAGCCTAGAATTGGATCATGTCCAATTCTGCAGATAAAATGCCCCCAAACACGTTTCCTCTGAAGAAAGGCTGAAAATATATGGACATTTATATTTGTCTAATTTAAGTAAATCTCATTAATGTGAATAATGCAGAATAATGTACAGTGATATAGTGGTTTATATTCTCGTGCTAGTCTAGAAGGGAGTTCATTATGGTCCAACAGGAGGTTAGGACTTACTGAGGCCTTCTCTATATGAGGTCTTTACACATGTAAGCTCTTACATAGTCCAGGAATAGCAAATACACAGCAGCACTTGTGCCTCAACTCTCCCTCCTGAGCTCAAAGCAGACATTACTAATGTAAAATGACATTCTTGCCTGCAAAGATGGCCAGTAGACCTCGAACGGGGCTTTCAAGAAGACCTAATGAAGGCTTGTAAGAAGAACCTCCCTGCCCAATTAAGTCAACAAGCTTATCTTCATGGGAAGCCACCTTTCCTGGAGAAGAAAGATCTTGCTTCTTGGAGACGACTGTCTTTAAACTCATGGACTAATGTACCAGGTTGTTAAATTGACTTTCATTGTATTCTTAGAGACTTAACTGAGTCCCCAGAACAGATGTCAGTGATTGCTAAGCGCCCATTCTTTCTGGAAAACATAGATGCTAGACATATCCTTGGGAAGTTTCTGAGAGAGAGCAAAAATGGTCCCTCATGTCCATCATTCACATCCGTCCCATGTAAGAGAAAGAAGACCAGACATTTTAAAAGATAGAATGAAATGAAGGTATGTCTTGGGAGAGAGTAATTCTCCCCAACCACCACTACTACTTCCAGGCAAATAAAATAGCTGCAAGAGTAAATGGTGGAGGTATTTGGGATGCATTCCTCTGCCTAGAAGACTCTGAAAGCTGGAGGCTGGCTGGAAATGACAGTGATGGTGGAGCTAGGAGACAGGGTGGAAGTAGGAGCAACAGCACTTATATCATTTGTAGGGCAAGATGAATGGGTTTACCCATGGGCTGAGTAGACACAGAGGAGGGCAGTCAGGCTCAGCCTCTCTGAAAGCGCTCCACCCCAGAGGGCTGCCTGTCTGTTTCTTTTATGCAAATGTCAGTTCAAATGTTACATCCTCAGAGATGCCTCCCCTGACCACCAGGGCAATATAGTGTTCCTTGCAGTCACACTTTATTACACCACCTGGTTTATTTCCTTGACACCACTTACAATATAAACTTACATTTTCCTTTGTTAGTTTATTTATTGTCTGGTACCTGTCCAAAGTTTTGCAGGAAGAATTAGAGGTGGAGAAGTGAGGAAGGAATCTCAAAGAGGTCATTCTTTACAAAGTAAAATCATCTTATTAAATTTAAGTTCCATGAGAGCAGGACTTTATTCATCTTATTCACCGCTATTCCAGATACTTGGAACAGAACCTGGCACATAGTAGCTACTCAACAAAAATGTATAAACTAAGTACATCTCTGCCAAGCAAGAGCCCTAAGAGATAAATAGACATCAGCTGGTTCTGAGAATGGCATTTTTTCCAGTCCATGGCCTGCTTGTAAATGTCTATGTTAAAAGGGTGTAGAGGGAGAAGCAAGTAGGAACTATAAACTGGAATAATTTTTTTGTCCTCTCTGGGTTTCTATTATGCCTATGCTTCAGTGTCTGGATAACCAGTAAGTAACACTTTAGGGAAGTTTTTTCCTTCTCCTTTCCTCCTAGCCTCTGCTTATAATCTGCAAAGTCTGCTGGCCCCTGGAAACTCACGTGGGCACTTAGTTGGTTTTGACTGATTGGATTGGCAGTGATGAGCTCTCCCCAGCCTTGATATGCCTCCAGGCTTCAGGGAAAGTTGAGACTCTGGCCAGATGTTTGGAGACAATTTGGGAAGGTGGAAATATACAAAGGATATGCATTTGCTAGTGTTATTCATGGCTTTTGTGCACATCCTCCTGAGTCATGTTAAATTAAAATTGTTTACTTTGAGCAAGTGTATGTCTTCAGTGATTGGGACCCCCGAAAAACAAATTTATTGAAAAAACATGGGTAAACCAGGGTATTTTAAAAGCCATTCATTTCTCATGCTTTTGATTAGAGCCACAAATTAAATCTCCATAAACCTAGTCATACAGTGAAGTGAGAAATTACAGCCTTTCCTTTCTGTAAGAATTTTTTTGAAAGATTGAAATAAAAATCAAAATACATTTGAATAGCACTTTGCAGTTTACCGGCGCTTCTACCTATATTATATCATGTGGTTGAAAAAAGATATATCATTTAGTAAACTTTAAACTGATAAAGTCATAAAGCTGAAGAAACTTCTGGGTGTTCAGTGAGTAAATGAATGTTTGAGTGCAATGTGGAGACAGAATCATCATTGCACGTCTTATTTATAATTAGGATTGTTCATCAGGTTGACCTTGAATCATGGATCCCATAACAGAAAGTTAGATACGGCTGCTTTGAGAACTAAAAGGCCCAAAAAGTGCAGTCAGATCCATGTTAAGATTTGTGGAGCCCAGAGTAAGACTAATAGAGAGGCCTATTTACATACGTATGAATATTTTAAATGTGTAAATAAAGCTAGAAAACTGTTAAATTAAAATACAGTCGATCCTTCTACCTTGACAAGTAGAACTTCATGACTTTCTGGAAGGCCAGATCTGAACTGCGAATTCTTGGATGCCTCGGGTGGATGTTTCTGATGGAACATGGAAGGGTCAGACGAGTCTCACTTGGGTGCCACCTCCTTCCCTTTCCACTCCCAGCTCCATCTTATACCACAGGGGCCTTGAGTGCAGGCAAGTGGATATCCCAACTCCATATCCAGTCTCCATCCACACCTCATCAGAAAGGTGGGCCCTGGGGAAGAGGTCTGCCTGGTCCTCAGAAGTGAACTCAGGGCCATAAAGTCAGGCAATTCCAGGGTGCTGGGTACTTAGTATGAACAAGATGGGTGCAGGCTCTGGGTGGACATGTTTCCTTGGGCCCTGGGAGTGCTCACTCCATGAGGAGAGGTATAGTCAGCGGAGGAACAAACAGCCCTCTCTAAAGTGCAGGAACCTGGGCAGGGCCCCTTGTGCCTGGATCTAAAGGTAGTACTAAATTTAATGATAGTTAGTGCTATGGTCTGAATGTTTGTGTGCCTCCCAAGTTCATGCATTAAAATTCTAACCCCCAAGATGATGATATTAGGAGGTGAGGCTTTGAGAGGTGATTAGGTGATGGGATTAGTGCCCCCTATAAAAGAAGCCTGAGAAGGACCTTCACCCCTTTCTCCAGATTAGGTTACAATAAGAAGACCACTGTCTATGAACAAGGGAAATGGGCCCTTATTATATGCCAAATCTGCCAGTGCCTCGATCTTGGACTTCCCAGCCTCCAGAATTATGAGAAATAAATTTATGTTTTTCACAAGTCACCTAGTTTCAGGAGTTGTTGTTGCAGCAGCTCAAATAGACAAAGATAGTTGAAATTAAACTGAGCGTTGTTTGCTTCTCAACTTTTGTCTTAGGTACTCTTTTCTTTAAGTAAACCATTTGTAAATGCTATAGTACCTAAAGCTACCCTAACCAAAGACCTATTTTAAATGATGCTCAATTTAGTTTTAAAAAACATATTGAAAAGGGGCCACTTGGGATGAAGAATCCAGTAGTTAGGACAAATGAACCAAAATTTGAAATAGAAAACAGATAAAGCATTCCATCTCAAGTATAGACAGGTGAACTAAAAGAGCTATAATTACAATAATAGTGCCTTTCAAAGTATAACTTCTTGTTTCCAAAACACTTTCACTTGTATATGTATCATTGAGTTCTTATGAAATTAAGCATCAATTCTTTGAAGTTTGAAATATATATATATATATATATATATACTCCAGACAAATATAAAAAGGAACACTTGACACTGTGAAGAGTAAATTTATAGACTCCATTAGCCAAGGAATGGTGGAAATGAGAGGTGGAACAATGTAGAAAGAGAAATCAAAGGCAGCAAACAGGCTTCAGCCTGGGTCAGCTCTGATCTTTGGATAGTGGCCACTGAAGTGCTAGACTGAGAAAATCTTAGGTCATGCCTAGCCTCAGTGGTTAGTAATAAATTAGCCATGCCTGTTACAATCAAAGAAGGGGCCATGATGGCATGTGAGCTGTGAATGTGCCATTTCTGGGCTGGACAAATGCATGTGGCTGACAGTAAGGGCAAGCAGGATGCTTGGGGTTATCCTTAGTCTTTTGAGGTTGTTGGCAAGGAGAACAATCAATGCAAATTCTCAGAAAGAATTCTCATGTTCTTGAATATTTCTGTCTTTCTCCAGCAAAAACAATTTGGGTTTCTTTGAAAAAGACGTTGCTTTCAACTTACTTTCTGATATGGAAAAAAGATGAGATAGACACCTGTTAAGGTGTTGATTGGTGATAACTGGATGCATAGAAGACTTGGATTCTTTTCTCAACTCTGTCACTAACTAGCTGTGTGACCTTGAGCAAATCCCTTAACCCCTCCAGACCTCTATTTCCTTGTCTCCAAAATAGGGATATTATCTGAGTGATCTCTCAGAGATTTGTGAGGCTTAAAGGAGTTAGTAACAAGGCAATCACTTGAAATATAAAACATTACACCATTGTAAGCCATTATGATTCCACTGAAAAATTAGCACATTAGTCTAGGGTAGCATTTCCCAAAGTGTGTTTTTGGAACATCAGTTCTATGGGATGTCAACCGGTATTACGCTAAAGCTATCAAACAAACAAACAAACAAAAAAGTGTTTTCTGGCCAAATAAATTTAGAAAACTCAAGGCTAAGCAAGCTTACATAGTTATTTTACCACATAAATTATTAGTCTTAATAATTTAATGTGCACTGTGAATCATTAAAATGAGGAAATTATATGCAGTAATTCAGACACTTCTTTGGACACAAGACTCTTATTTTCTCAACATATTAGTCCTTCAGAACACAGTCTTTTGGAAATTATTAAACCATCTACTCTTCAAGTTCTCTTCTGACTTGAATGCCCTCTGATTCATTCATCTGTTTAACAAATATTTATAGAGTCCCTATTATATGCCAGGCACTGTTCAGTGTAAAAAAAATACATCAGTGTACAACACAGAGAAACAAATCCTTGCTTTCATGGAGCTTACATTCTAGCAGGATTTGATGTCACTCACTCAAAGTGTACTCATACTTTGAGAAGTGACTGCTATCCCTTAACTCAAAGATACAAAGTTGTAAAGTAGGATCATTAAAAACAAAGAAAGGCCAGTGGGGAAGGATAGTTTGTGGGGAAAGGAGGGAAGACTGTGTGTCACTCTGCCTCCCTATCCCTCAGCCTCTGAGTTGAGGTTAAACTATGAACTCAGATCTGAAGAAGCAGATGGCTTCTACATCAGGGGCGCACAATCCCATTTGTTTATTTGTTTATTTACTCATTAATGTCACTATTCAGCACATACTTATAGGCATGACATATGTCATACACAACAATGCATAAGACCAAATTTGTACCCCCAGAGCTGACTCCCAGGTGGGCAGGCAGATCAGGACATGAGAGATTGTGCCTGTGTGTTTTATGTGCTATGGGGGAGAGGACAGAGTAATGTGGGGGCACATTGCAGGGGCACTGAACCCTAGACATCAGAGAAGACATCTTAAAGTGACATTTAATTTGAATTATCCAGAGAGCAATAGGAGTTTGTTTAGCAAACTGGCTTAGGGTGAATTGGGGAAACAGTGAGTAGGAAAAGCGCTCTAGTCAGCGGACACAATATGTAACTAACAAAACTCCCATGACAAGTTTACACAGTGGAACTGGCATGGAAGACATATGTATATATTAGAGTTCTGTGTATGATTTTCTTTGAAAAAGGGTTCTGTTATTGAAATAAAACTTGAAAACCATTAGTGGTTTCCCAAAGGAAATTTTTGAGGCTACTCTATGTTTATAATTCTTAAATTCTACTGCTTATGTAAGTCTTTCTGTCAAAAGTATTTGCATTTTCATGGGGAGTTTAGGAAGACTGAGATTTCTTTCAAATCTGAGGTACACATTGCTGCTGGCAGATAGTATTCATTGAAATGATTTTTGTTATAAATGACAGAAACCTCAATTCAAGATGACTTTAGCAAAATAGGAAATTAATTATCTTACATGACAAAACAATTCAAATGGAGAGAGACTTCAAATCCAGTCTCTCTCCATTTCAGTTGTCTGGCCTTCATTCTCAGTCTTAGCATTGCAGCAAGAGGGCTGCCAATGTCTCCATGTCTGCATCTTTCATGTCCAAGTCTAGTGGAAAAGAGGGTTGTCTTCCTGAAGCTGCGACATAAATCCCTGTATTCACTCTGATTGTACCATCTTATCTCATGTGCTCATCCCCAAACCAATCACTGTAGCCAAGAGGGTGAAACTACAAAGATTGGATAGGCCTGGATCACATAATCCAATCCTGGAGCAGGAAGTGTAGTCCCATCCAAACCACATGACTGAGAATGATTTCCTAAAAAGTCCTGAGGCTATAAGCAGAAGAATAGGGAGGGAGGCAGAAGGGGAAGGAGAGAGAGATGGAGATAGGGAGAGAGAGAGAAAGAGAGTCAAGGATGAAGGGAAAAAAGAGAAAGAAGCATCACGGAAAACAGTGATGGATTAAAAAAGGGAGAAAGCAAAAAAGAAAAGAAAAAGAATGAAACTGGAAGTAATACAGTCTAGTGAGTTCTTCCTTAAAGCATCACCTTGAGGGTAATGTTTACTTTCTCCAGTGATACTGCTTTGGCTCAAAAGGATTTTCAAACTCCTCTTGAAATTTTTTTCAGAGCCTGAAGCACGTTCTTTGAATATGCTCATTGGTGGCGAATCCTCATTCTTTGGGGGTGGTTTTGATTTTTGAAAGAAGCCAAAAGTCACTGAGAGCTGAGTGTTGACCAACATGGTGGCTGCTGCATCTGCCTCATCTTTCTTGTGTCCAAAGTAAAGTGCAATGATGTGTTCATAAGTCTGAGATCCTTGTAGGTTCCTTTTAATTAATTCATTCATTTATTGTTTTATTTTAATTTCATTAACTTAATAACCAACACTTTCACATGTTTCACATTTTCAAAGGCACAAAAGAATATATAGTAAAAAGTCCTTTCCCTTCCCTTGCCGCCCAGCCACCTGGTTTACCTTCCATGTTTTGCGTGTATCCTTCCAGAAAGAGCCTACTCCTATCCCTTAATTGACTTGAAGAAGGCCCAGAGAGGTATCTCTAAGTAACTGAAGAACTGCTTGAATGCTGGCTGAAGAGCACTGCAGTGTGTGTAAGCTGTGATAGGTTTATGCCAAATGCAGGTGTCAATACTTTATCCTTAGGACCCTGAGAAGTCTCTGTAATATGAGGCAGTTTCCTGGCTCAGATACCTGAGCTGTGCGAGATCAGGTGGGTAACTTTTTCTCTTGAGCTTTGGTTTTCTCATCTGTAAAATGGCGATAATGTCAACAACCTCCTTCGCAGGGTATTATGCGGTTTAAGTGCAATGATGTACGAAAATGTCCTAAGGAGGTTTATTGTATGTGTCGACTTAGCTCAACCACAGTACCCAGTGGTTTAGTCAAATACTAGTCTAGATGTCTCTGTGAAGGTATTTTGTAGATGTGATTAACATCTGCAATCATTTAACTTTAAGTAAAGCAGATTACCCTCCGTATTGTAGGTGAACCCCATCCAATCAGTTGAAAGCTTAGAACAAAACCTGAAGTTTTCTAGAGAAGAAATTCAGCATTAAGACTGTAGCCTAGAAATCCTGCCCAAGTTTCCAACCTGCTGGCCTGTCCTATGGATTTCAGACTCAACACTGCAACATCAACTCTTACTTGAATTTCCAGCTTCCTGGCCTGCCCTACAGGTTTGGGACTTACCAGCTGCCACATTTGTGTCAGCCAGTTTCTGAAAATAAATCTCTCTCTCTATATATATATATTCTATTTTATTCTATTGATTGTTTTCTCTGGAGAACTCTGACTGATACAGAGGGAGAAAACTGCATTGCAATGAGGCGGGGTGTTGAAATAAACCTAGGTTTTAGTCCTAGGTCTCTTTCTGACTGGCTAAGCAGCTAAGCAGCCCTGGGAAAGACCCTTGATACTACCGAGCTTCTAGTGTCATCACCTGCCTAATGCCTCTCAACATTGCTGGGAAGATGGACATCATGAAAATGACTCGTCAAGCATCATATACGTGTAGGTTATAATTATTCGAGTCGGTCCTCCTTTGATTGCACACATATCCTTAAAAGTCGTGCTTTGGTGGCTCCCAGACCTATAACTTCTTCAGAGATGTTTCCTTCCCAGCATTGATTCTTGGCTCTGTCTCTATGAAGTTCATAGTCAGGGAATGAAATCCAGTCCAGCCTCAAGTAGTTGTCAAGGGGGCTAGAGGGCTCCACCCAAGGCCTCAGTGGGCTCTGCACCCACAGGCAAGGGGAAGCAGAGGGAGGAGGGTAGGGGAAAGTGGAGGGAGGAACTTATGGAGGCGGGAGTAGGAGGGGGAAGGGAACGAGAATGAGAGAGGAAGGAGGACATGTGTTAAGATGGGTCCCCAGGGGTCCAGGGCTGATTTGCTGGGGTTGCTGGGTCTGCTCTGCAGATTGCAGGCTGATTGCAGCAGATTAGCTGGGACCTAAAAGGGGCCTTGTCACAGCCCATGAATCCAGTGCTGAATATTCTGATATTTCTCTTATCTTGGGGTTAGAGCCAATCAAAACAGAGAGGACCGGGGGATGGCAGGGAGAAGCACTATGAATAACCTGCCTCCTTTGCCATCACAATGCGTCAAAACACCACTCAGTCCCATTTCCACTTGTTTTCTCCTTTGCCAGGGATTCAAGAACTGGCACTTGAGAGGGATGAAACTTTCTGTGGTGTCTAAGAGGCTCATGTTGCTTTCCACCCCACCTTGGTGTTCTTTATTTCATCACTCAAATCTTTTCTTTCATACCACTTATCATAAGCTGAACTTATTTGATAAAAAATTATTTACCAAAAACTGCTCTCTCAACCAGAAAGTGCCACCTTATCTTATTTGCCTGCCCCTGTAGTGCCAGTTCCCAACAGAGTGGTGTATGGTAATGCCCCTAAAAATGTTTATTAAGGAATGGGATGGATGAATACCATTTACTAATGGGATGGATGGATGAATACCATTTACTAAGGGCCCTCTTTGTGCCAGGCAAGGAGCCCAGAGCTGTACAGGCATTTGTCATCTGCTTTTAATGATAGTTCTGTGAAGAAGGTATGATAATCTTTATTTTACTGATAAGAAAACTAAAGTCCAGAAAGGTCAAGTAACAAGGCCATGGTCACACAGTCAGACCTGGGATTCTAATCTAGGTTTGACTGACTCCAAAGTACATGGTCTTAATTACTATACCATGGATAAAATATGCGTTTTCTGCCATGCCAGCATTGATTGGCAATTGCTGCCAGGAGCCCTTAACTGAGAAGAATATCGAGGCAATGTCCAACTTGGTGGAGAAGAGTGCAGAGATCAATTAGTAATGTCTGCAAGGGGTGAAGTAGAATGTCTAGCGGCACATGTACCATCTGTTTTTCATTTTAACACATATTATATCACCTCCCTAAAGATGTGCACTAGAGGCAAAGAAAAAAAAAAGAGAGAGCGAAACTAGGAGGCAGAAATGCTTAACTTCTTTTCTGGCCCTAGTTTTCACCCCTTCTTGTTGAACTTTTCTTTAAAATGAGAACACATCTATCTACATGCTTATTTGGAGGACAGAATGCAATCAGAAGTAGGAAAAAGCTTTGAAAAGTCTTGGAAGCAAAGGTTGTAATATTGCTTCTTAAGCTGACTTTATGATGCTTCAGGGGCTTTGGGTCACCTGATATTTCTGTAGGACTCCAACACTCCTGGCAAAGATGCTGTTATTATTTCCCAAAAGCCTTTCAAAGAAATCAGGGGCAGGGAATGAGGGGAGGTGACAGTCAGGCTGCAGAGCTGGACATTGGGAATTGGAGCCTATTGCACTTAAGACTTTGTAATCTGTTGGCCATGGAATAATCATCATGCATTTACCCTGCCAGACTAAAGCCTGGGAGTAGGACAGTAGATTGGTTAAGAGTGGGGCCTGTAGAGTTTAAGTCCCAATATTACTGCTTACTGTGTAATCTTGGACAAGTTATTTAATCTCTTTGAGCCTTGATTTCTTATGTAAAATAGCATCTATCCAAGGGCCTGATATGAGAATTAAATGAGACAGTTTGAGGCCAGGCGCGGTGGCTCATGCTTGTAATCTCAGCACTTTGGGAGGCTGAGGCGGGCGGGTCACTTGAGGCCAGGAGTTTGAGAGCAGCCTGGCCAACATGGTGAAACCCCGTCTCTACTAAAAATACAAAAATTACCTGGAGGTGGTAGCGCACGTACCTGTAATTCCAGCTACTTGGGAGGCTGAGGTACGAGAATCACTTGAACCCGGGAGGTGGAGGTTTGCAGTAAGCTGAGATTGCGCCACTGCACTCCAGCTTGGGTGACTGAGACTCTGTCTCAAAAAAAAAAAAAAATTAAAATAAAATAAATAAAAACATAAGACAGTTTGTAGAAGAAAACAATATGGCCCTGGCATACAACAAGCACAAAATGCATGTTAATTACTGTCTATGAGGAATCTGTATGCACACGTGGAAAATGGAAAATCAGAGCAATGATCTGAATCTGTGTTGTTCCAAGCCAGATAACTGGTGGTATTTTGGTTTTTGTTTGTTTTCCTACTTTTTTGTTTGCATCTGGATGTTCTGAATACCCAAACTTGGTGTTTTTCTCAGAAAGGAGACAGGCAAGCTTGTTCTAAACTGTTCATCTCCTTCAAGTATCCAGTCTATATAGTTCTTGCTGCTGTTAGGCCTCTCTCTAATTGAACAAGGGGAAAAATCACCCTCTCACTGCGTGTTGAAAAACTGGATTTTAAGAATATAAAGTTGGGCATTGCCCCACTTGCCCTTCATGAAACACACTGGCCCAGAACAGACTTTCTTCTCTTCATCTTCTGTAAGAAAGAGCTTAGGCCATGGTTATGTATGGTGATAGCTACCATTTACTATGAGGCACTAATTGTGTGCCAGGAACTTCATTCTCCTGATAGCCCTATAAGGTGGCCACTGTTGCCACTCTTGGTTTGCAGATAATGAGATTACAGCCAAGTATGTTTAGCTCACCTGTCCTAAGTCACACAGTGAGAAAGTAGCAAAGCTGGGATTCAAACCCAGGTCAGTCAGGCCTCAGTATCCCTGTGCTAACCACTTAGTCATATTACCTAATGGGAATTCTGGCTTAGTGAATAATCTGTTTGGCAGAAGGGATGAAATGTCAGATTCATAAAAAATGATAAAGGGGATATCACCACTGATCCCACAGAAATACAAACTACCATCAGAGAATACTACAAACACCTCTACGCAAATAAACTAGAAAATCTAGAAGAAATAGGTAAATTCCTCGACACATACACCCTCCCAACACTAAACTAGGAAGAAGTTGAATCTCTGAATAGACCAATAACAGGCTCTGAAATTGTGGCAATAATCAATAGCTTACCAACCAAAAAGAGTCCAGGACCAGATGGATTCACAGCCGAATTCTACCAGAGGTACAAGGAGGAACTGGTACCATTCCTTCTGAAACTATTCCAATCAATAGAAAAAGAGGGAATCCTCCCTAACTCATTTTATGAGGCCAGCATCATCCTGATACCAAAGCCGGGCAGAGACACAACCAAAAAAGAGAATTTTAGACCAATATCCTTGATGAACATTGATGCAAAAATCCTCAATAAAATACTGGCAAACCGAATCCAGCAGCACATCAAAAAGCTTAGCCACCATGATCAAGTGGGCTTCATCCCTGGGACGCAAGGCTGGTTCAATATACACAAATCAATAAATGTAATCCAGCATATAAACAGAACCAAAGACAAAAACCACATGATTATCTCAATACATGCAGAAAAGGCCTTTGACAAAATTCAACAACCCCTCATGCTAAAAACTCTTAATAAATTAGGTATTGATGGGACGTATCTCAAAATAATAAGAGCTATCTATGACAAACCCACAGCCAATATCATACTGAATGGGCAAAAACTGGAAGCATTCCCTTTGAAAACTGTCACAAGACAGGGATGCCCTCTTTCACCACTCCTATTCAACATAGTGTTGGAAGTTCTGGCCAGGGCAATTAGGCAGGAGAAGGAAATAAAGGGTATTCAATTAGGAAAAGAGGAAGTCAAATTGTCCCTGTTTGCAGATGGCATGATTGTATATCTAGAAAACCCCATTGTCTCAGCCCAAAATCTCCTTAAGGTGATAAGCAACTTCAGCAAAGTCCCAGGATACAAAATCAATGTACAAAAATCACAAGCATTCTTATACACCAATAACAGACAAACAGAGAGCCAAATCATGAGTGAACTCCCATTCACAATTGCTTCAAAGAGAATAAAATACCTAGGAATCCAACTTACAAGGGACGTGAAGGACCTCTTCAAGGAGAACTACAAACCACTGCTCAATGAAATAAAAGAGGATACAAACAAATGGAAGAACATTCCATGCTCATGGGTAGGAAGAATCAATATCATGAAAATGGCCATACTGCCCAAGGTAATTTATATATTCAATGCCATCCCCATCAAGCTACCAATGACTTTCCTCACAGAATTGGAAAAAACTACTTTAAAGTTCATATGGAACCAAAAAAGAGCCCACATCGCCAAGTCAATCCTAAGCCAAAAGAACAAAGCTGGAGGCATCACGCTATCTGACTTCAAACTATACTACAAGGCTACAGTAACCAAAACAGCAAGGTACTGGTACGAAAACAGAGATCTAGATCAATGGAACAGAACAGAGCCCTCAGAAATAACACCACATATCTGCAACTATCTGATCTTTGACAAACCTGAGAAAAACAAGCAATGGGGAAAGGATTCCCTATTTAATAAATGGTGCTGGGAAAACTGGCTAGCCATATGTAGAAAGCTGAAACTGGATCCCTTCCTTACACCTTATACAAAAATTAATTCAAGATGGATTAAAGACTTAAACGTTAGACCTAAAACCATAAAAACCCTAGAAGAAAACCTAGGCATTACCATTCAGGACATAGGCATGGGCAAGGACTTCATGTCTAAAACACCAAAAGCAATGGCAACAAAAGACAAAATTGACAAATGGGATCTAATTAAACTAAAGAGCTTCTACACAGCAAAAGAAACTACCATCAGACTGAACAGGC
The DNA here is from genome assembly GCF_000001405.40 of Homo sapiens. Classification (NCBI taxonomy): domain Eukaryota; kingdom Metazoa; phylum Chordata; class Mammalia; order Primates; family Hominidae; genus Homo; species Homo sapiens. The sequence continues at coordinate 159,502,158 of NC_000005.10, forward strand.
AACCCACAAAATGGGAGAAAATTTTCGCAACCTACTCATCTGACAAAGGGCTAATATCCAGAATCTACAATGAACTCAAACAAATTTACAAGAAAAAAAAACAACCCCATCAAAAAGTGGGCGAGGGACATGAACAGACACTTCTCAAAAGAAGACATTTATGCAACCAAAAAACACATGAAAAAATGCTCACCATCACTGGCCATCAGAGAAACGCAAATCAAAACCACAATGAGATACCATCTTACACCAGTTAGAATGGCGATCATTAAAAAGTCAGGAAAGAACAGGTGCTGGAGAGGATGTGGAGAAATAGGAACACTTTTACACTGTTGGTGGGACTGTAAACTAGTTCAACCCTTGTGGAAGTCAGTGTGGTGATTCCTCAGGGATCTATAACTAGAAATACCATTTGATCCAACCATCCCATTACTGGGTATATACCCAAAGGACTATAAATCATGCTGCTATAAAGACACATGCACGTGTATGTTTATTGCGGCACTATTCACGATAGCAAAGACTTGGAACCAACCCAAACGTCCAACAATGATAGACTGGATTAAGAAAATGTGGCACATATACACCATGGAATACTATGCAGCCATAAAAAACGATGAGTTCATGTCCTTTGTAGGGACATGGATGAAACTGGAAATCATCATTCTCAGTAAACTATCGCAAGAACAAAAAACCAAACACTGCATATTCTCACTCATAGGTGGGAATTGAACAATGAGAACACATGGACACAGGAAGGGGAACATCACACTCTGCGGACAGTTGTGGGGTGGGGGAAGGGGGGAAGGATAGCTTTAGGAGATATACCTAATGCTAAATGACGAGTTAATGGGTGCAGCACACCAGCATGGCACATGTATACATATGTAACTAACCTGCACATTGTGCACATGTACCCTAAAACTTAAAGTATAATAATAATAAAATTAAAAAAAAAAAAGAAATGTCAGATTCATAAACGAGGGGCTGTGAGAAATGGTGGAGGGGTCGCAGCCATGGTTCTCATGCCCAGCTGCTCAGCTGAATCCCCTGAGGAGCATTCATGAAATAGAGATTCCTGGTACCCACCCGCAAAACTGTTGATGCACTTGATCTAAGATGGAGCCAGAGCTTTCCAGGTGATTCTGATGGGCTTCTAGGCTTGAGAACCACTGGGGCAGAGGAAGAAGGTTTGGGGAGAGATTTAGCAAATTCCTTGTGGTTAGGAACTTTTCCATTCCCTCGTAGGAAGTGGCTAATTCACATTCCAGGTGGTGTACCTTTATCTCAGTATCTCCGTTTGCAGGATGGGGGCAGTGGAGCTTGACAACATTGCAGGCTGCTGTGTGGATAAACAGCTCGTAATGTGCCATTTAAATGGGAAGCATTGGGATGAAGTGTTCCTGGGGCTTGAAGTGACCCCATTTTATTTTCAGTGTGGAGGTGCCCAGGCCACATCTTAAGCAACTTTGAACCATCTGGAACCACTGGACAGCAAATGGTTAATCCTGTAAGGCCAGGGTGTGAGGGATCCGGTCATGCAGCTGGGGGTAACTGGGGAACTCTCATTGTCCCACCCTTTGGTTGAGGAACAGTGTGAGCCGACACATAATTAGAACCACTAACTGGCTTTCAATATGGAGAATGAGATTTGTGGCTCCTGCTCACTAAGGAAATATGAAACGGTAAACACACTTCCAGTTATGGATGGGGCTAAACACACCATTAAACTGAATGCTAATAGCTGCCTCCTTCTCCCTTCGAACATTTCACCGTGGCAACCAGTAGGTGCCCTTTTCTTGCCTTCTCTTTCAGCTTCCCATAATTCTCTTCTGCCGTGGTTCTTTGGATGATAATGGGCACATGCTTGAAATAGTAGTTAGAGAATAAGAATTTAATAACAACAAGAACAAAAAAGCAAATGAGGCTGGAGTAGGTTTCCAGCTCCTCATATTATTTGCTTGTAGGCTGTAGCAATCTCAGGTATTGAGAATAAACCAAAATAGACTGAGATGAACATCTTTAATTGAATGTGAGTGTCTTAAATATACTGCATGCTAAAGGCATTAAGCTTGACTTCTGAAGCTCAGTCACTAAGTTGTGGGAGCACCATTACTCAGGGTTTAACAACAGGAGGCCAGGAGTTTGACATACTTGAGTATAAATCCTTCCCTATTGCCTAATGGCTGTGTGGCCTTGGATGAATAACCTTCTCTCTCTGTACCTAAGCTTTTCCATCTATAAATCATGGCTAATAATAATAAACTTTTCCTCACAGAGCTATTGCTGGGGTGGAGTGGTTAAAGACACATGGGTATAAAGCTTTCAGTATAGTGTCTGGCACAAAGATTCTCAATAATCAATAGCTATTCTGATGATGATGATATGATTAACAACTTGCTGGGCAACGTTAGGCCTGTAACTTCCCTGAGCTTCAAATTTTTCATCTGCAAAAGGCAAGCTAATCACAGTACTTGAGTCATTTGCTTAAGGCTCTAGATAAGAATTAAATGATGAAAAGGACTTGGTACAGGTCTTGGCATATAATAAGAGCTCAAGGAGGACTTGCTGAATGAATGGGAAAAAAATAAATGAATGCTATGTCGGCTGGAGAAACTCAGTCATCAGACCCAAAGTGTTTAATATGAGACACAGAGGAAGAAAAATACAAACAGCCCTGGACTCTTTGTCAGTTACATTTTTTAGCAGCCGAAGACCTTCCGTTGCTTCCTTTCTCCTTGTTGCGTCCGTTCCTCCCGCCCCTTATCAAGACTGTCTGCTGGAAAAGAGAAAGCATAATGCTGACACACACAAATGAAACCCCAGTATCACAAGGGGCTCCTAGCAAGGCCTCAGACAGGAAGGGCCATAAATAACCGAGTGGCCTGTGCAACAGGCTCAGCCTGTAAAGCTGGTCAGTAGGACCTCTTCAGTCCCTGCCCTGGCCCCTCAAGTGGCCAGTGTCCTCACCTTGAGCCCCACACCTCCTTCCCCATCTAGTGCCCCTCCTAGGTCTGTTCCCCAGGGCAGTGACTCATACTCTGAATTGCTTCTCCCTCCTCTGCCAAACTCCAGCTTTCCCTGGGAGAAAACTATCTGGTAAGCCAGTCACTAAAATCATTGCTTAGTCAGCCACTCTCGTGGGGGTAATTGAAATGTCTTTTAAACAGCATTTATGGTTTTAATTTCTAATTATAAAAGTGATACATATTTATTTTAGAAAACTTTGGGGAAAAAATCTAGGGAAAGTATCCAAGCATGTGGAAGAAAATACGAATCCTGAGGCCCAGGTCACAGCCCAGGCCAATTTGATCAGAATTTCTAGGGATGGTATCCTAGAGCAGGATTGTTTTATTAAGTTCCCCAGGTGATTCCATTGCAGAAAAGGTTCTTTACTTAGAGATACCTGCCAATAATACTTTGAAGTATTCTCTTTACCTTTTATATTGATATTCAGATTATACTGTGTATGTTATTCAAAACGCGAATTTTTTTGCCCAGTGATATATTATGAACATCTTCCCATATCATCAAATATTCTTTGAAAACATGATTTTTAAAACGGGCATGTAATGTTCCATCTTATGGATCCACATAATTAGTTTAGCTAACAATCCATTATTAGACATGTTTCTAAATGTTGTCAATTAAAATAATACTGAGATGTATTTCTACTTCTCTCTCTGATCACTTACTTAGCTCACACATAGCATGTAATCGTATGCTGGACATCATTCTAAGGCATTCCATATATTTCATTTAATCCTCACAACCAGCCTATGATATTATCCCCATTTTAGAGATGAGGAAACTGAGGTTCAGAGAGCCTAAATCACATGGCTGGTAAATGGTGGAGCCCATTCATGCTCTGGAATTAAAATTGTGGGGTTCAAAAAAAAATGAACATTTTTAAGGCTTTTGAGGCACACTGCCAAATAACCTACCAGGAAGGTTGTAATGATTCACTTCTTCACCAGCAGCATGGGGAAGACAGTGCAAGGGTCTCTGAATTTGAAAATAATTCTATAAACCAATGGAATCCCTCCATTTAAAAACCCTCCTTATTGCAGGTCTACTATGTATGGAAAGAGTTTTTTGGAGTAGGGTTTTAAAAAATGATATCTAATAGCTGCATAGCATGGCTTTACAGTTTGTAAGTGATGTTCCAAGCATAAGACAGCATATTGCTTTTGTGGAGGGAGGGAAGGGGGACTGCCCAGAATCCTTCAGCTTGTGCCACCCAGTGGCCTGCCCTGTGGGAGAGTTCTAAGACTGTTCCTGAGCACTGGTCCCTCTCTAATTGTCTTTTCTTCCCACCCTTCTTTTGGGGAAAATGCTTCTGGTAAGACAGAGAAAAGAGACAAACATTTCCAAATGCAGTAGTTAATGGAAGAGGTGCTGTGAGAGGAGAGATGGCATTGTTAGAGCAAAATTTGCTGAGCTTTTGATGTTTTACCAAAGAGCCCAAAGCCCCCTTCCATGAAGGAATCTGACTCAACTCTCTTCAGCTCCCAATGGGAGTGAATGGAGCTGCTTTTCTGGGAGCCCTGGAGGGAGGGCAGGGGAGCCCAAAGGGCCAACTGGACAAGGGAATCCCAAGAAAGGAAGGAAAAGCTAGGCAAGAGAGAAAAGATGTCTGGAAGCCCAATGAGAGGCTCGAGGTGGGCTGATGTGTCTCAATGAGAAACATACAAAGCTCTGCGCACCACCCTTTGGCTCCTGTGTGTATCTGTCAAGTGTGATAATTAGCTTGGTCATTATTATTTATCTTTTGGAAGAGGATTGTGCCTCCCCTGCCATTCCCTCTCCCACCACACATACCTACACTGACATCATCAACCTTTCTGAAGGATTTCCTATTTGTAGCAGGAAAGCAAAAAACTTCCCATGACTATGAGTTTCTTGAGGACAGAGCTCCATGCCTTTTTAAAAAAATTATATTCATTCTCAGCGGCTCCAGCAGGTCAAAATTTTAATTTCCATTCACAGGGCAACCTATTGAGGTTTGATTGAGGCTTCAATGGGAGTTATGTTAGTGAACTCTATTTTGGCTGCCAGCTAGAGAAACTCACTTCAAACTTCCTTAAATATAAAAAAGAGTACTATACACCCATAAAAAAGAATGAGATCCCATCATTTCCAACGACAGGGATGGAACTGTAGGTCATTATGTTAAGTGAAACAAGCCAGATACAGAAAGACAAAAAGCACATGTTCTCACTTATCTGTGGCAGCTAGAAATGAAAACAACTGGACTCTTTGATTATGGCCCAATAAAGGAGAAAGTCCAGGATGGGGAGCAGATTTGGCTAGATTCAGAGTTTTGAAGGTTGTTGTTTGTTTTTCTCTCTCTCTCCATCTTTCTTTGGACTGGCCTCATTTTTTCCTACTTATGAATGGGCTTCCTTCACATGTCCAGAGATCCTTTCTTCGGATTTTACGTATGGGTGCTGAGAGAGAGAAATCCCCTTTGCCCAGGTCATTGCTAATCTGTGTTGCTCATGCGTGGGGGGCTGCTTAAGCCTTTCTCTTGCGTGACCCCAGCTTCACAATCTAATGGAGAGAGAAGACTGCTCTTCCAATGCCCATACACCAATCTCAGAGAGACAGACTGGCTGGCTTAGTTTGAGTCACATTAGGTCAACTGACTACTGTTTCCAGTGGCATGAAGTATCACAAGTGGCCAGACCATTTACAGGACAACCCATGTGGTCAGGAATGGCATCTGTTGCCCAAAGAAAAGGGTGAACAAACAGTGTGTCAGGAAAGATACAACTCCCCGAGAACCCTGTAGTGGTTCAGACTCATGTTTTCCCAGTCCAGAGTCTCAGCTGGTCCAGTTAATTTGGATTTTTATTTCTGTCTCTAATAGCATGTCTTTCTTGCACTTTTCTATCTGCAAAATAAGATAAGCACTCATTTTTATTAAAGTCTGATTTTTTAACCTTTCCTCTTGATTCATTGCTTCCCTGTAATTTTAAAACATGCAGATATCATTATATTTACTGCTATTCTTGAATGAGTAGGTCTACTTTAGAAGCCTCGATTTCTCAACCAGTTGCTTGCTGTAAACTGCTTTAAATATCAGGTCTGGACACACTCCTCTGTTGAAGCAGCCTCTTGAGGGCCACTAATGACCCCTGGGTGCTGAACCCATTGTCCTTTCTTGGCTGCATTGTCCTGGCTGCTGCAGCAGTTCGTGATGGGCAATCTTACTTTCCGGCACCATCTCCATTTTGGGAGTAAAAATGTCCTCATAAAGGACCCAGAAAAACTATTTTCCTTCTTGGCACTTCTGCCCTTTTGGGCTGTCTGGTTTTGTTCTCTGTCTATAAATAGAGGAGGGACTCATTGTTCACCCCTCCACCTTTCAGCAGGGCTGCAATTTTGCCTTTGGAACGCAGACCGAACTTGTAGAAAGAGCATGAGCTTTGGAATCAGGCGAACTTGGAATCACATCCCAGCCCCACACTTACTAGTCATAGGATTATCAGTGAGGCCTTTTTGTTTTGTTTTTTTGTTTTTTTTTTGAACACTTCTCTGAGCATGAGTTCCTGCTCCTGTAAATGGAGGGAAACAATAGTGTCTGTCTCATAGGATAGCAACAGAGTTTCATAACAAGGTACTGCACCCAGTAAATGTTCAATGCATGTGAGTTCTCTTCCTCCCTCAAAGATACTTGGTTTGTCCTCTGTCACTGTATTAGTTCTGTGCTGACTCACTCCTTCTGTATATCTTATGAGAATTGCCACTCATTAAATTGTTTAAAGTATATCAATGTCTTCTGTATTCTAATAAAGCTGGCCATTAGCAACAATCCTAAAACTACTCTTTGGTAAAGTCCTTTTCTACCTTTTCTTTTGGAAAACAAGTTTTTCCTTTTATTCCTTCTGGTGTAACAGACGTCTCTCTCTGCCTCCTCCTCTCCATCCTATTCAGCATCTACTCCCTTTCTATGGAAAGGCACCCTCCTTGCTGTGGGGAACTGTTCGTTTGCACCATGTGGTTCTGGTGGGTGAGCTGTGTCATGTGACCAAGGTTTGACCAATCATGGGATCTCACGCATCTTGCGACAGTGATTGGCTTCATGATGGCCACATGACCTAAGTTTGGTTTATTGGTGTTCTTCCCTTGAATTTTACCTCTGAGTGCTAGGAGAGAGAAATCTTTGTTTCCTTGGGAGTTGCAAATCTAGGTTGATGAAGCCTGGAGCTGCCCATGCCACGTCTCCTGCAGTGTGAATAAAGCTCTGCTATGTGAGGAAAGAATGAGTCCAACAGATGGAGAGAAGCAGAGATCTGAGATATGGAATGAGATGGGGTGGGAGAGGAAGGAGAGAGGGAGAGACGATATCATTATTTGAATTCCTGAGGACAGCTCTAGTCCTAGCCTTTGTGGATATGAGCCAGTAAATTCTAATTTTTCTTTATGCCAGATTGGGTTAGGTTTCTGTTCCTTGAATTCGAGGGTCCTGATAAATTCATCAGTTTATTTAAAGTAACTGTTACATTATAAATGAGAGTTGTGTATATGTTGCAACAAAATCCCAACAGTTAGTTTAAGTTGCTAATAAGGAATGGATTCCTATACTGAACTCCTTCTAAGAGCACAGAGGTCTGGGGTTACAGAGCCCCTTCTATGTTTGTATCACTGGAACCTAGCATAGAGCTTGGCACATGGAAGTTCTCAATATGTATTTGGAGAACACAGTAAGGCACGAGAGAGAATCTGATTGGCTCAATGGGTCAGTACCATCCAGCACAGGAGAGTCCTACTGGCTGGACCACGGTTCCCACATGGGCCAACATCTTGGCTACCTATGGGTTAGGAACCTCACCCACGGTCTGGCCAGCTGTGAGTAGAGAATAATAACTTCTGGTGTAGAAAATCACCTCTTTTTCTCATGGTGTAGAAAATAACCCCTTTTGTTAAATATTTATTTAAATTTGACTATGGGTATGGCAGGTACTCTGAGTCTCACAAAGGGAACAGAATAGCAGACAAGTGCTTCACTTGGCTTGTTCAGGCCGTGTGAGTCCTCCCATTAAATCCCTCAGTGAGGGGTCTGAAGAGCGACCGGGGAAGTTCCAGAAAATGCTGGTCTGCTTCCTGCCGAGGGTCTGCCCTTGAGCTTCTCTTCCAGAGGAGAACCGTGACTCTGACCAAGGGGGCAGTTCTGGGAAACTGTGGGAGCCTGCAGCAAATGACAGAAAAGGGGCTGACTCCAGAGTGACCCTGCCAGGCCTTCTGGTGAGAAACACGCCCCTTGCTATGGTGAGGCCGGCCACAGCCTGACACTGCCTCTGCTGGGGATGAGAGCATGGGGAAGCAACAGCATTCCAGTGTCAGCCTGGCTCTGGCTGTGCCCCAGGCCCTGTTCCCACTGTAAGCTGACACTGGCTGGGAGGGGCCTCTCATCTCCTCTTTGAGGGCTCCAGGGCAGAGTCTGTTCTCAGATTTGAGCAGCAGCCTGTGGATGCTGCAGAGAGTGTGAAGAAAGCAAACCAACCTCTGTGGGCCCAGTGAGTCGGGTAGGGCCCTCTGATTTGTGTCTGAGAGGTTGGCGTTTGCAGTAGATTTTAGTCTTGACCTTGTCGACTTGGCAACAGGGTTAAATGGGAGACAGTGAACTGTATCTGGAGGGTCTGGATTGGGGCCTGAAGGCCTAGGGGTTAGCCCAGTTCTCTCTGTAAGCTGTTTTGGGGCCAGGGGCCAGCCTTTGGTACCTGGGCCTCAGGCTCCTCAGTGGTAAATTGAGGAGGTTTGTCGGGCCATGTGCACTTGGAGGTTCCTTCCAACCTGAGTAATCCCCACTCACCATCAAGTAATGGCTCTAAATTCATTTGCTCTGTGGAGATAACCAATATGGAAAAGATTGGCCTCAAATTTAACTTTTTTTTATAGGCAGTAAAGGATAGATGAGAAGTAACATTATTCCAAATAGAATGACAGGAATAATAATTATTACAGTAATAACAATAACAAAACAATGCTTTCAAAATAGTCACTGTAGGCCAGGTACTCTAATCAAGATTTTACATACCTTACCTTATTTATTCCTTTCCAACACTCCCCTGGGTGGATATCATGGTACTTGTTTAGGAGACGAAACTATTGAGGTGCAGAGAGGCTCAGTTACTTGCCCAACAGCTCATTGTTCAAAGGTAGCAGTGCTGGGATTTGAACCCAGGGTCCACTTGATTCTAAAGCCTACATTCTCACCTCCTCCGTTATCAGGTAGGTGAGAGGTGCCTTCTACTTTCTGCTGTGAAAGTGCAGATACAGAGGAGCAGCAGCTGTCCACTTGCTTCTCCAGTGTTCATATGTCATAAATCCCTCAGGGATGTAGCCTTAGACTTATTGTTCCTACCCCATTACTGGCCATTCCCTACCATCCCCACCAAACCCATGCTCCTTCTCCACTCACCACTTCTCCACAGGTCACAGTGGTCTGTGCCTCAGAGCCTTCATAGGTGCTGGTCCTTGTTCTTGAAACCCTAGTCATCTCTCTTACTTCTGGAACATTCCTACTCGGCAAGGTTCAGATGCCGTCTCCCTTTTAAAAGATGCTCTGATTTTCAAATAGCCACAGCCCACTTTTGCTTCTGTCATAGTCTGTATCATGTTCTGTAATTATTTGTTTTAGTCAACTCTCATTCAATAAATATTTGCTGAGTGACTCTTTGTGCTTGGCACTGTGTTAGGTGCTGGGGAATTTTCTCCTGTCCACTTTTCCTGTCCTCTAGACACCCATCACACAATCAAACTCATAGTTTTTTTTTTTTTTTTTTTAACAGAGATGTGCCTTATTTCCCCCGAATCCCAGGTAACTGACAAAGCCTAATACATAGAAAATGCTCAATAGCCACTTGATGAGTGGATCCATGACCCAGTACTTATCTTACCTTTGAATAATTGCCTCTTTCTTTCCATCCTCTACTAGATTCTTAGACTCTTGTGGACAGGGGTTGGGACTTATTTTGCTTTTGTCCCTGTTGCTTAGCACAGAGAAGTAATTTAATATGGTTTGTTGAATGAACGATTATGAGAAGTGTGAGTTCTGGGAGTGGATATGCTAATTCTACAAGCATATGCTAATTTGGGGAGTGGATATGTTCTGGGTTCTGGGAGTGGATATGGTAATTCTACAAGCTAATTCTACAAGCATGTGACCCACTGTGTATCTAGTGCCAATCATTGCTTGGGTGGGCACCATGAAAAGCAAATACCATGCAGATCTCACACCCTCAGGATCCTGAGTGCATGGTGACCGGGCGTATACACACAAAGTTGCAAGAGAAAGATTCAGCAGGGGAAGAGCCCAGGTGCCAACCAGACAGTCACCTTGTCCAGAATCTCTGCTGGTCCCTGGCCCTGTCCTCAGCCGCCTGTGGCTCTAATTTCGATGAATGACTTCCTTCCCTTAGAGGGCTCCTTGCCTCTGGAGAGAAATGAACATCACCTGTGAAAGAGGCTTGCAGAGATTATTGTTCCATCTAATTGAATGTGAATTAAAGTAGAAAGAAAGATTGGCATTCTTACTGTGCCCAGAATCATTGAACTTATGACTGAAAGATGCCACAACTGATCATTTGGCCTTGTTCTCATCTTCTGTCTGCAGAAATACATTGTAGTGGGCCAGCCTCAGAATTCTCTTTTGGGAGAAGACTGCCTTGAAATCCTGAGGGCAAAGTTGGTAGGAGACAAAGTGATAAAGAGAGAAATAATTTTTTTTTTTTTGCATAACATAGGTAGCTTGGATGAGGGGGTTTCAAGAAAGAGAAGAAATAGAGGCAGAGAGGATCTGGCAGAGAGAAACTAGAATTTGAAGTTTGCATTGGTTAAACCTTTTAAGAACAGGGTTGTCTAACTTTTTATTGTACTTTTTTTTGTGTGTGAGTTCTATAAACCTTTTTCTCTCTTTATCAAAGACTGCTACACACACACACACACACACACACACACACCACCTTGTATAAGTGGGCTTTATTTGGGAGGGGGTAGAACAGAGAGAAGTTGAAGAAAGTTGCTGAGTTTTTTTTTTTTTATTGGTAAAGACAGCCCACAGAGGATGGTGAGACCATCGGTAAACTAAAATAACTCACTGGAAACAAGTGAAATAAGGCAAGAGATAATACGAATTCTCCAGAAGGGTGAGGGTCGTTCATCGTGTGTAGGTTGGGGTCTAAAACCATATTTTTATTTGACTCTCAAAGAACAAAGGCACTCACCAGACTTCTTTAGTAGTAAATAACAGAAATCGATAGGCTAAAAAGCCAACAAAGGGTTCCATTGGGAGGATTCTGGGTGGCACGTAGAACTGAAGGGGAAGTTGAACAGTCAGGTCCCAATAAGCAGGAACAAGTAGACCCCACTTCAGGGCAACCCCATGGGGGTGAATTGGCCCAGGGGTTTACCATGATAAGGAGGCTTCCACCAAGTTCAAACCTTAGGAAGAGAAGTTCGATGGCCTGAGTCTGGGTCACATCCCCACCCTCCTTGTCTGGGGTAGCATGGAGTAAGGGTGTCGAAATTGACCGGCCATCTTCTCGGGACCACATAGGAGAATAAAAGATTTGACCAAGGAAGGAAAGGGGGTACTTTTGCCAAAAAACTTGGAGGAAGGGATGCCAGGCAAGCAGAATTAGCAGATGCCCATGCTCACAGGGTACCTCAGCTGTGAGATGTTGCTGCTGACACACAAGAGTGGAGCAGGTGAAATGACTCCCCACCTCTACAATTAATTTCACAATAGGTCTACAGTTAGAACTGAGCAGTGCTGTGGTGTGTCGCTAACAGACGAAGGAGGAAGGAGAAGGGCTGAGGGACCAATCCTTTATCTTCCAGTGCTAGGCCCTTTCCCAAACACCAAGCTACTGCCCTGGCGCCCCTATACCTCCAAGCCTTTGCTTGAGCTCCCTCTACCTGGAGTTCCCTCTTCTTTCTTCGTTACCTATTGATTTTGTTCTTTAGAACTAGAGAGTATCACCTGGAAGAAATCGTTTCTAATCTTGCCCTTCTCCGTGGGTTAGGAGTCTATCCTCTATGTAGACCCGTATTTTATTTCATCATTAAAAGATGTATTGTTTGTAAAAATAGTTAACATAAACACACGGTAAAAAGTTCAAGCACACAAACTGATATAAATGGAAAAGTTGGGCGTTCCTTTGCCTCTGACCCCAGTTTCCCTCTCAGAGGCCACCACTGTTTCCTGTGTCTCCTTCCAGAACACACACGCACACACACACACACGCACACACACCTCTGCACACACCCCCACTGTAAATGGCCTACCTCCCCAGACTCCGAACCCTCCGAAGGCGGGGTCTCCTTGTTTGCCTCCAGGGCCCTAACGACTAGGGCAGCCTGATTCCCTGCACAAATTCAGCAACAGACTGCTGAAAGCCATGCTCTTGCACAAGGAAAAGTGGGAGGGAAGGGGATGGATTCTGTCTGAGATCACTGGGTGCCACGCTCTATGATCTACGAGTTGCTTTTAATTTCCTGTGCTCGGCCGCCGGCAGCCTGATGAAATGAAGCAGATAGCAGGGCTTCAGATCTAGCCCTTCCTGGGCTAGGGCTTGTCTGCTTGCTGCAAGGTTATAATCTCCAGACTCTGAAGAGAGAAGAGCTACGTGCACTGTACCCCCACAACCACCCCCCACCCCACCCTGTTGCTGCAGCCTCCTGAGCCAGGGAATAGGCAGAAATGAAGCTGCTTGATGTTGCCTATGGTTCCTAGGGCAGTGGTTCTGAGTTGGCCATTTAGGCTTTGAGGCCAGACAGAGATGGTTTGGATCCTGGTTCTGTTGCCTCTTTGCTGTATGCCTTTAAGGCAAGTTGCCCTAACTCTCTGAGGCTCAGTTTTCTCAACTGTAAATGACGGCTATAAGTACAATCTACTTCATCCAGTTCTTACGAAGATTCAAAGAGAATGAATTCAGTGTCTGAGCTGAGGTGCCTGGGACCTAACTCCTGCTGAGTTGGTGGCAGGCGCCCTGGTTGTCTGTATCTGCCATGTAGTCACCAGGATCAGCTCTCAGCAAAATGGCCCAGTTGGTGGCTTTCGTCTTCTATCTGCTTTCCTTTTAGTACTCCTTTTCCCTTCCAGGTACTGACTGGTCTTACTTCTCCTCATCTCTTTTGGTGTGGACAACAATAACTCCTCTCCTGCTGCTGCTACTATGACTCCCACCACCACGCCTTCCATCGCTTCCATGTTGACTGTGCCAGGCATTGTGCCCTTAATGTGGGCTGCATCAGCTAATCTTTACAGTCACCATTATTTCCACTTCACAGCTGAGAAAACAGAGTCACAGAGAGTCGAGGGGTTTTCCCCAGATTTATAGAGTGAATAATTAAAATGAGCAGCCTGATGGTCATTTACACTATGTGATAGAGACTTAATGGATTATCTCTATCACAAAGTTTGCATTTTCAAAATGCTCTTCAAAAAGAGGTCAGAGCCTAGTCCAAAGGAGTTAATTGATAATAGCAAGTAAATCTTTCTCAACAGGCTTAGGAAAGAGAGGATTTTGTTGAGGGACATGGAATACCTTCATACTACCCTTAAAAAATGAAACCAAGGCCACTGCTTGCTGCATCTGAAATTTAGATCAGTCTTGAATGTGTCTATGAGAGAACAGTACAAATTTCCTTGCTGCATTTCACGAAACAGGTAGCAGAGTGGAAATTCCTGGGAATTATACTTCTTGATGCATGAGATTGTTTAACAAACACGAACTCTCCCCCAGACTTTCGATTTAAAGAAAATCAAAGACCTTCCCTCAACTCAATGAAGTGTTAATAACACCACGGAGTCCTGAGCCTTCGTCCTGAGCAGCTGCAGGGCTTCCCGCCGCCTGCAGGTGTCGCTGGTGGCTACTGACCCATCTGCTGCTTGGCAGGTGATGGGAACAGGAAGAAGGTATGAGTCAACTCAGTTTTTTTTTTTTTTTTTTTTTTTTTTTAGAGACAGGGTCTTACTTTGTTGCCCAGGCTGAAGTGCAATGGTGCAATCATAGCTCACCACAACCTCGAACTCCTGGGCCCCAGCAATCCTTCTGTGTCAGCCTCCTGAGTAGCTGGGACTACAGGTCCCATGCTCAGCTAATTAAAAACATTTAGTAGAGATGAGGTCTCACTATGTTGCGTAGGCTGTTCTCAAACTCCTGGGTTCAAGCAATCCCCCTGCTTCGACCTCCCAAAGTGCTGGGATTATAGGCATGAGTCACTCCACTCGGCTAGGTCCCCCATTATGACACATTCTTTAGCTCTAGGGACTCTTCAGGGATAATCAACTCTGTTCTTTTTGCAGAGAGGGTGCCCAGGAATGGGAAGTGACCAGGTTTAGGTTCCCCATCCATAGTCAGTGGCCTGGCTTGCCCAGAATTTAGTGAAGAAATGTCTTTGGTGGAAATAATCGGAGTGTTGGATGTTTTTACAGCTTATGCTACTGTTAATCAGGGACGTTGACCTTCCTTCCCCTCCCGTTCCCTCTCTCTATCTCTTCTTTTTCTCTCCTCTTTATCTCTTCCCCCATCCCCTTCCCATTTGGTCTTCACAGCAACCAGGTGAGTCTCCAACACTTTAACAATGAGTAGCAGAGGCTTGGAGAAGGACATAATACGCCTGAATCACCTGAAAGTGGTTGACAGAGGAGAGACTAAGGCCCACCAAACATGTCCCTCTTGGATGCTCCACTGCCTTAGTGGGGCTGTCTTGGCTCAGTTACTGATTTGCTAAGTCCTGGAGCAAGTTAAATTACTTTGTTTCTCTGTGCCTCTGCTTCCTTGTCTGTAAACAAGACAGTAACTATAGCTACCTCACAGGGTGGTCATTAAAGTATATAAAGTGTTTATCAGAGTACCTGGTACTTAGCAAGTACTTAAAAAAGGTCTTTGTCCTGACAACACTAACATTGTCATTATGTAGATTGTGTGCCCTCTAACTAACGTTATATGTTGGACTTGAACTTGTTTTGTGCTTTGCAGTGTAAAATATTTGTTTTGCAATGCGAATTTAAAAGCAATCAATTTTTCACTTGTTGAAGATGTTAATACCTAGTGCTGGTGTGTGTGTGGTAATGTGGGAGATAGGCACTTTCATTGGGGCTGCTGCATTCAAACAGTGCCAGCCAAGGGCACCATCACTTCCCCTAGTATTGTATAAAAAGGTGGGCCTGGCCCTCATGCCCCATTCACGGGTAGAACTCGGTGTCAGCTTTGGGAAGCTGACCAAAGTGCCAACTTTGGTGTTGTGCATTAGATGCTCTCGAATGTTCAACTTGAGACAAAGCAGGATAAACAAAGCCCCAGTGTCTAAAGATGACAAAAAGTCACCTGAAGGGATTTGGACAAAGCAGTAAGCATTCTTCAGGGAGTGACAGTAAAACCAGGGAAGGAAACTGAAGATGCCTCATGCTGGTGTGGTCCAGTGGAGAGGGACAGGTTCAGACTATTGCTAGTCGAATATTAAATAGAAGAGTGACCGCTGAAGAAAGGAAACCTTAAAAGCAACCTGCCAATCCTATGTAGATGACTCACAGACCTCCCAGACTTACCTACCCTCTCGATTCCATCCATCCTATTAAGCTTATTGCTCCCCACTCATCTACTGAACCCATTTCATTCGTTCCATGAGGATGATAAGCACATCTTCCTCACAGAGCCGCTATGTGCAACCATACAGAGACCTTTCCTCAAAGGTTAGCACATACTCAAAAAAAGGCAGCTCTTCTTTTTGGGCCTTCTCAGACCAGATTCCTTTGATATTCCTTTGATACAGACTAGGAGACAAGAGGACTGTCTTCATTTGCTCATTAGTCAGCTGTCCTCATTAGCTCTGTAGTCCTGGATAAGGCCCTTAGGACCTTTGAGCCTCCGTTTTGCCATCCATGTGTGAAATGTGAATAATAATGGTACCTGCCTCACAAGGTTGTTCTGAGTATTAATTGGGATAGTGCATAAAGCACTTGGCATGATGTCTGTCTCAGAAGTGGTCTGGAAGTCCCCTTTATAATTGTTACATAACAATGTTATAATTATTACATAATTGCCTCTCTGAGAGTCGGCTGACTTCCACTAATCTACATCCCTGGTGTTACCCACTGGTTTGATTTCCACAGTTTGCCCACCTCTGAGATGAGGAATAGATTCCAATACCCTCCATCTAGCAAGAAAAATGATGATGGGCACACTGGGAGCATTTCCTTTTGCACTTGCCTTGTCCTGTTGCTGTTTTAGAGCTATGTGCTGCGTGCCATTTGCAGGTAAGGCCATTGCCACAGCAAGATTGGGACATCAGGCACAGGGTGCCTGGCTCTAGGTTCTCCACCTCATTGTTGACTTTGGCAAGGGAATTTTAGAGGAGGGCTGCCATGGTCGCATTCTTCAGCACAGCAAAGAGAAGAGAAAACAGTGCGACTCTTGCCAATTTCCTTGAGCTCCAAGGGAAAGAAACAGAAACAAGTAACATGAGTAAGAACACTAAAATGAGTTTGGAAGTGTGTTGGAATGAGCTGAAAGCCTTTGGGGCATGCTTCAGGAACAATAAGCTGTTCCTGTTTGGCTGCCCAGGATTTTTTATTAGGCTGAGAGTAGCAAGTTAGGGAAGGGAGGTGGAATCTCGCTGGTGGAGGTGATAGGGCACCTGCGGGGAGGGGATAGATGGTGGGAAGACTAGAAAGAAAAGGTGGTGATGTCTACGGTAGACTCCAAAAGTTTTCTTGTGTAATGGGAAATGTACCTGTCTCTCCACTTTCCAATTCAACTTTCAATAATGTCTGCATTAATCTCTAATGCTTTGGGAATTGGGTTTTTTGGAGGGATGTGGCAGAGTGCTGCATATAAACTCAAGGTTGGCATGAAGCATGAGCAGAGGCGGCCAATGGGGACCTGCACTTATTCATCACCACTGTATAAAAACGCACTGACCTGCTTACTTTTACAGACCTCACCTTCCACCTGACATAAAAGCCTGTTGTATGGGGAACACTCAAATTACTGTATTCGTGTAAATTCATAAGAAACACTGGTTGGCATAAACCTCTTCTCCCCCCACCCTTACCCCCTGGCAAGAGAAGCCAATATTGTATAACTAAAGACAAATGGAGGGGAGATTTTATGGGATCTTTCCAAACGGGGAGGAGGAGACAGAAAATGTTCCTTAAGGTTAGAGAAGCAGAAGAAACTGTTGATACCTCAAGACGGGTGTTCTTTTTATCCACTGCTGCTTTAAAAAATGCCCTGGCTTAAAACAACAACATTTATTTTACTCACGAATTGGCAGTTTGGCCAGGATGCTGCAGGAACAGCATGTCTGTCTCTCCGCTCAGCTGGGACGGCTGGAAGGCCAGGGCTGGACTCCTCTCATGGTTTGCTCACTCACATACCTGGCAATTAATGCTGGCTGTCAGATCTGGGGCCCTAGCTGGGGATGCCAGCCAGAACACCCACACCTCTCTGTGGGGCCTGGGCTTCCTCCTCACCATGTGGCGGCCAGGTTCCAAGGGTGGGCGTCTTGGGAGAGAACTAGGCAGAAGCTCCATCACCCTTTCTGACTTAGCCTGAGAAGCCAGGCGGCATCATTTTGGCTGCATTCTATTCTATAGAGTGAGTCCCCAAGGGCATTAGTTTGCTGGGCTGCCATAACAAAGCACCGCAGAGTAGGCGGCTTGGACAACAGAAATTTGTTTTCTGTTCTGAAGGCCAGAAGTCTGAGATCAAGGTGTCGGAAGGGTTGTTTTTTTTTTTTCTGAGGCTGCTCTCCTTGACTTCTGGATGGTCATCTTCTCCCTGTGTCTTCATGTGGGCTTCCTTCTAAGTGTGTGTCTGTGTCCTAATCTCCTCTTCTTACATGAGGAGAGCAGTTAAATTGGATTAGGGCCCCACCCTACCACCCTATTGGTCTTATTTTAACTTGATTACCTCTTGAAAGGCCCTATCTCCAAATACAGTCACATTCTGAAGGTACTGGAGGTTTCAATATATGAATCTGAGAGGAGGGGAAGGACACAGTTTAGCCCATGACACCAAGGATCGGCCATACTCAAAGGGAGAGGAATTAGGCTTCACCTCTTAATGAGAGGAAGGTCTGAGGGTTTGCAGACATGTTTTAAAACCACCACAACTGAGGAAACGGCCAGGTTTGAGCAAGTTCTCTAGTTGTCAGGGCCCCACACTCCATCCATACTCAGCACCCTCAGAAAGTTGCGGGATCTCAGAGCACAGTTGGAACGTAGCTTTCAGGAAACACCCAGCAGCACACAGGAGTGAGCAGCACATTTCAAAGGGCCATGGGTTTCAACCATTGGCGTGTCAGCAGTGAGCTCGCTCAGGATGACTCTTCTTCTGTTACCTCATCTCCAAATAAGATCCTGGATTCTGGTATGAATTCAGGGGCTAGAAGGGCTCTCAGAATCATGACTGAGACTGAATTTCCTACCAACCTCTGAGTGAGGACTTAAGAGTTAGATTTCATTGGACTTGAAGTAATGCAGCGTTTCTTCTCACTGAGTTGGGAAGCAAAATTCATACCCATTTCCTGGGGTATGGGCACAGGGTTATGAGCAGGATGTGAGTTATGCCAGCTTTCCATCTTAGATAACTCTATTGCCCCCTTTCTGTTCACCCAAAAGCAGTATAGTAGAGTTCCCAACTCATCAACTCCATTCTGACAAACCATCTGGGATCCGAACAGCTGCAGTACCTGGTGCACCTCCCCGCTGACCACTACTGCCGTCGGTGTGATTTTAAAAATCAAATTAGGCCGGGTGCAGTGGCTCACGCCTGTAATCCCAGCACTTTGGGAGGCCAAGGCAGGTGGATCATGAGGTCAAGAGATCGAGACCATCCTGGCCAACATGGTAAAACCCCGTCTGTACTAAAAATATAAAAATTAGCCGAGTGTGGTGGTGCATGCCCGTAATCCCAGCTACTGGGGAGGCTGAGGCAGGAGAATCGCTTCAACCCGGGAGGCAGAGGTTGCAGTGAGCCGAGATTACACCGCTGCACTCCAGCCTGGCGACAGAGTGAGACTCCATCTCAAAAAAAAAAAAAAAAAATCAAATTAAAATGGCATTTTTAGAGGCGGGGCTGCGCTGAGCAGTGGAGAGCAGTTAGGGGAGCTGACCCTGGGGCAGAACCCGGGGCAGGGTAGATGTGCTCATACGCTGACCATCTCCCCTCCACCCTGCCCACAAGTGTCCTTTCCCACAGAACTTGAATGTTTGTCACCTCCCTTTTTATACTTCTTGAAGTGCCACCAAGAAGAGATTCAATTAAGTCGACATATTCCTCTGGAAGGTTTAAGGGGTGATCAGTGGGTTCATTAATTTTGTACCAAGACATTTTGGTTGAATTAGGGACTTGTGTCTTACTCCTCCATTAGTAGTAAGAGGGGACCTTCCTTTATGCTGGGGAGAGATGGATGGGCTATTTGCACCTATACTTTTAGGAGCACAGTGGCCTCCTGGGAGGAGAAAGACAACAACTTCAACTTGTTCTCTTGCAGATTCAGTTATGACATTTGTTTGGTGGGTGACCCCCACCAAGGTCACATTGCAGAAAGAGTAATGAGGCCCCAGAAAGATAATTCTCCACGAGGGTAAAGGAACGTGGACCAACCAACTGTCTTTTGCACCAAAAGTGAAAAGTGAAATGAGTGTTGCTCTGGGTCTATGAAAGTAGCTGACCCAGCACCAGTCATAGCCTTTCAAGCAGGTGGACCAGTACAACCTTCCTCCCACTCTTGTTTCAGCCTTGTGTCAACTCCAAGTCTCTGGCTTCAGAAAGGACAAAGGGACAGGCAAATACCATCTGAAGTGGGTCATCTCATTGCCTATTCTTCCCCCATCACACCAGTCTTCATAAAGCAAAATATCAATAAATGTGACTACATAAAATTAACATGTCTTTGTGGAAGCAAATTCCACAAAGTCAAGAGACAAATGATAAAGTGGTACACGATATTTGAAACACATAAAACAGACAGAGATAATTTCCTTATTTTACAAACAGCTTACACAAACCAATAAGAATAAATATGAACAGGCCAACCAAAAAATGGGCAAAGGATATGAAAGGCAGTTCCCAGAAAAACGAATGCAAATATTCAATAAATGAATGAAAAGATGTTCCAGTTTCATCAAATTAAAGACATGCAAGTCCAAACAACAAGGTGCGATTTTTCACCTATCAGATTGGCAAAAATTTAAAATATATGATAATAGTCATCCCTTGATATTCTCAAGACTTTGGCTCCAGGACCCTCCAGTTACCAGAATCTGAAGATGCTTAAGTCCCTCATATAAAATGGTGTAGTATTTGCATATAACCCACACCCATCCTCCTGTGTACTTCAAATCATGTCTAGATTATTTATAATAGCTAATGCAATGTAAATGCTATGTAAAAATTGGTTATACTGCATTTTTATATATTTTTTGTATTGCTGTTTGTATTTGTGTTTTAAAATATCTTCAGTCTGAGGTTGGTTGAATCCATTGATACAGAACCTACAGATATGGAGGGCTGACTGTACTCAGTATTGACAAATGAATGAGGAAACAAAGGCTTTTATTCAGTTACTGTGCAGATAACTGGATGCAATATTTTAGTTGTGCGTTTTGGTAATGTCAATCAATTATAAATGCATCTACCCTTTGACCCATGGGCAAGAGTTTAATTTACTTATACATTCACAGAAGTACATCAGATTATTGATACTAGAATGTTCATTGCAGCATTGTTTGTGAGAGGAAAAAATGGGAAAGGGCCATAATTGGGGGTTGAGTATTCCAAGTATGGTACATTCTTGTGGTGGAATATTATGAGGCCATTAAAAATTTGCTAAACTATTTCCAAACCTATTAAGTGAGTCAGAACTTACTGGGTAGGGCAATGACCAGCAAAAGACACCCCTTGTAGAACAGATGACACATGATAATTGTCAGCCCAATTTATAAGCATCTCATGAGACATGGGCAGTAGGCTCGGGATGCTGCAGCCCTCTCTGAACAAGGCAGAGTCAAAACCGAAATATCTGGGTTTGTTCTGAAACCCCTCTGTATTTATAGCTTGGTGGGATCTAGGAAAACTTGAATCACAAGAATATATTTTCTTTCCAGTCCTCCAGCCTCTGTCCAGTTCCGGTTATAGTTTAAGGTAGAATTGCAGTCTGGGGCAGAAATTGAATGTACCATTTATTATTGAATGAAAATAGGGCTTTGAGAATGTCAGTTCTTGAGAACAAACCCCCAAGGATGAAAGATAGGTCCTTCCACTTTATTTACATCCTGTGATTTGTTTTCAAAGCAGCAGTGCTGACCTGCTCAGGGACAGATGATTGGCTCTTGCAGGGTGATTCTGCATAAGAGCAAGGCAACATCCACGGCATCAGACCACCCTTCCAGGCAATGAACACCAGTAAGAAAGGTGCAACCCTGTCCCATTGGTGATGTACAGCTTCCAGTCTTAGAGCCAGAGTATGCACAGAAAGAGTCGAATTATTTCAAATGAACTCTAGTTTTTTACCTCCCATTCTCTCTCTCTTTTTTAAATTATACTTTAAGTTCCAGGGTACATGTGCACAGTGTGCAGGTTTGTTACATATGTATACATGTGCCATGTTGGTGTGCTGCATCCATTAACTCGTCATTTACATTAGGTATATCTCCTAATGCTATCCCTCCCCCCTCCCCCAACCCCACAGCAGGCCCTGGTGTGTGATGTTCCCCATCCTGTGTCCAAGTGTTCTCATTGTTCAGTTCCCACCTATGAGTGAGAACATGTGGTGTTTGGTTTTTTGTCCTTGTGATAGTTTGCTCAGAATGATGGTTTCCAGCTTCATCCATGTCCCTACAAAGGACATGAACTCATCATTTTTTATGGCTGCATAGTATTCCATGGTGTATATGTGCCACATTTTCTTAATCCAGTCTATTATTGATGGCCATTTGGGTTGGTCCCTAGTCTTTGCTATTGTGAATAGTGCCGCAATAAACATACATGTGCATGTGTCTTTATAGCAGCATGATTTATAATCCTTTGGGTATATACCCAGTAATGGGATGGCTGGGTCAAATAGTATTTCTAGTTTTTTAGATCCTTGAGGAATTGCCACACTGTCTTCCACAATGGTTGAACTAGTTTACAGTCCCACCAGCAGTGTAAAAGTGTTCCTATTTCTCCACATCCTCTCCAGCACCTGTTGTTTCCTGACTTTTTTATGATCACCATTCTAACTGGTGTGAGATGGTATCTCATTGTGGTTTTGATTTGCATTTCTCTGATGGCCAGTGATGATGAGCATTTTTTCATGTGTCTGTTGGCTGCATAAATGTCTTCTTTTGGAAGTGTCTGTTCACAACCTTTGCCCACTTGTTGATGCGGTTGTTTGTTTTTTTCTTGTAAATTTGTTTGAGTTCTTCGTAGATTCTGGATATTAGCCCTTTGTCAGATGAGTAGATTTCAAAAATTTTCTCCCATTCTTTAGGTTGCCTGTTTCCTCCCATTCTCATGCACTGTGGAGATAGTAGTCTATAGCACAGTTCTCAAACTTCAGCAGCTATCAAAATCACTTGGAAAGCATATGAAAAAGAATTTCTGGATCCCATTGCCAGGGTATCTAATTCAGTAGGTCTGGGGTGGGGCCTGAGAATTTGCAAATTCCCAAACCACAACGATGCTATTATAGTGGTCTTGGAACCCTACTTTGGGAACTACCAATTTATAAAGATACTTTATCAATTTTTTTCTCTCTCATCAACAACCCTCACATAATTTAACTATTCTCATGCTTTTTCCTTAAAACTCAGCTAAAAAGATGCCTTCTTTCATAATCACCAGTCCTTGGACCTCTTCTCCTCTTTTCCTTTTCCAAAGCACCCATCTGACAATGGCAGAAGCCTCCATGAAAGGGTGCAGAAGAGGAAAAAACTCAGCAGGAGAAGCCACAATCCTTTTTTCAGATAGGGGGAGGACTGGGAAGTTGATGTGTTAATTTTTGACTTCTCATAAGACAAGCAGACATTCATCGTCTATCAGGGTCTGGGCATACCAGCAGCGTGCAGCAGGGGGTAGCTTTGGTCTCTGAATCTCCCCTGGGGCTGCCTGAGGATGGGGGCAACAGTCCTGTGGCCCCATTCCCAGAAGGAAAATTTTGGCAAGAGAAGAGGAAAAGCGATCCAGAATGTTTGTTTTTAGAAGCATGCTCAGTGGGGCCTGGCTCCCTGCAGAGCCCTATCAGTGCTGCTCCCACTGGCTTCCCCTTCTCCCACTTCCAAAGCCTCTTCTACCTCCTCAGCTGATGGCTCCCTTCATCCAGGGGGCTGCGCTGGTAGGCAGGTCTTGGGCCACACACGCAGTGATTATCCCAGGGGGACCAAAGCTGCTGGAGAAACAGGAGCAGATAAATTCTTTTGTTGGAAAATGGCAGGATCTTTTTTTCCTCTCTCCATTTTTCTAATGGAAAATAAAAGAAAAAAGAAGAGAAAAAAGAAGGAAAGGAAGGGATAAAGGAGGAAGAAAGGAAGGTAGAAAAGTACAGAAAGAATCTGATTTGGAGTTTACTTAGGTAGTAGGAGTTGAATAAACCTTGTCCAAAAAGCTATCCCTCCTCCTTCTCTAGGTGATATTAGTCTGCTAGGTGGAAGCAGCTCTTATCTAAATTCAAAAGTACTTTTCTGGAAGTAGGAGAGAGACTCAGCCCAGCTGTTAATCAAGTGGTAACACAGAGCACAGGATAGATACATAGAGCTTGAGGTGTATGGGAATCCTTTGGGAGTTTTGTGAAATGTAGATTCTACTTCAAGAGGTCTGGGGTGAGACCTGAGGTTTTGCATTTCTAACAAGGACTCAAGTGATGTTGATGCTACTGGTCTGAGGACATTGCTTTGAGTAGCAAGGTCATAAAATACTAAGGGTTAGAAGCAACCTTGGCATACATTTGAGTGCAATCATTTTACAAATGGGAAATCTGGTCTCCCAAGTGGTTATGTGACTTCCCCAAGGCCACCAGATGGTTAATAGCAGGACCAGGTCTAGAACTGGGTCCTTGCACTCCTAGTCCCATGCTCTGTCTACTTCCTCAGGTAGGAACTGAGGCAGGAATATAAAATGGGTGCTGGACACACTGGAATATGAACATTGAAAAGGAGCGTCTGGACCTGAGGAAGCCAGTATGCACAAGTCCACTCTGCCAGTGGTCCCAAAATTGGGACCCAAGACTGCAAACCTCTTCACTATGGAGCTGGTTGGTTGCTACCGCCCAGTCACCTGACAACCTTACTCCTGGCCCATTAGGCAACCCCTGGAAAGAGAGAATTCCATGATACTGTATTCTCAATCAGCATTTGGTTAAAAAAAAAAACCCTTGTGGCCGGGTGTGGTGGCTCACACCTGTAATCCCAGCAATTTGGGAGGCCAAGGCGGGTGGATCACCTGAGGTCAGGAGTTCAAGACCAGCCTGACCAACATGGTGAAACCCCGTCTCTACTAAAAATACAAAAATTAGCCAGGCGGGGTGGCGCGCACCTGTAGTCCCAGCTACTTGGGAGGCTGAGGCAGGAGAATCACTTGAACCTGGGAGGCAGAGGTTGCAGTGAGCCAAGATCTCACCACTACATTCCATCCTGGGCCACAGAGTGAGACTCCGTTTCAAAACACACACACACACACACACACACACACACACACACACACACGCACACGCACACACACACACACACAACAAAAACAAAAACAAAACCCCTTATATAAGTGGACCCGTGCAGTTCAAACCTGTGTTGTTTAGAATCAACTGTATTTGAATTATCCTTATTGACTGAGCATCCTTAAACCCCAAATCCAAAATCTGAAATACTCCTTTGAACATCCTGTCGATGCTCAAAAAGTTTTGAATTTTGGAGCATTTTGATATCAAATTTTTGGACTAGAGATGCTCTACCTGTGTATTATAAATGAGTGGATGTACAATTCCTGAGAGCCTTTGCCACGTCCCAGACCCTCTCATTTTTTACATTGGTATACTCCTCCTCATGGTTTCAAAGGTAATACTTTGCCCAAGACATCTGGGAATTCTGAAATTGGAGGTCAGACTTTCTAGAAAGAAAACCATGTAGTCTGCAGTGTTGATCAGGGCAGACCACTGTAGTGAGCCAGGTTACTACAGGAAGGCACCTGGGATGGATGCGTAAAGACCCGAATTTCAGGCCTGGTCCTGCTGCCTCCTAGCTGTTGAGTGGGTTTCTAGGGAGGCGGTAGCATTCACTCATTCACTCACTCACTCGCTTCATTCAAACAATCAACAGATATTTTATTGAGCACCAGCTGCTGTGCCAGAATTTAAAGACACAAACAATATCTTCTCTGCTCTCAGGGAATTCATAGTCTAGTATGGGAGGTGGATAAATCAACTAATAATTACAATATAGCTATGAGTGGTGCAGGAAACACTGTGTGCTCTGGGAGGGTCAAGGAGGGGCTGTGACGTCAGATTGGTGGGTGGAAAAGCTTTCCTGGAAGAGGTGCTAGCTGGTCTGCGTATTGAAGGAAGATTGGGGAGGGGTTAGGGCCACACAAAAGAGCCTTCTAGGGAGAGAGAACAGCATGACACAGTCTAGGGCCTTGAAACTGCACAGAACACCCAGGGGATTGCAAGCTATTATGTGTGGTTGGATCACAGGGTCCCTAGTGGTGTGATGTGGGTGGGGTCAGGTCACAAAGGCCCTTCTTTACTGAGCTGAGGTCAAGTTTCAGTTAGACAAAGCTGTGGAGATAATGCTGGTATTATTAGTTATAGTAATAATTGTAATAATCATCATGATAGTTACATTCATGAGCCCAATGCTATCATTTGCTCCGCACGGCAACTCTGTGAGGCAGGCACTGATGCTATATCTGTTTGTACAGATGTAGAATTTGAAAGGATGAGTAACTCACAGCCAGGCAGCTGATGTTCCAATACAACAGTATTCACAACCCCATTACATTTAAAGTACCCTTTCATGATTGATATTTTTAAACTCTCTTTAATGTGAAATGAAATTCAAACATAATATAACCCATTTAGAATGTACTTTGAAATATGTGTAATACTCATCTTTATTATAAAGAAAATGTAAAAGAAAAATAATTTAGAATAAAATAATGTGTATTTCGATAAGGAAATGTTCAGACCTCACTATTCTAGAAGCAAAATAATCAATGTGTTTACTTATTATGTAAAACCACCTTGAATGCAGCAGCTCCAGTTGCTGATGGACACCTGTGTGCTGAGAGAGTGAAGTAAATACTATCAGCAGTGAAGCTAATAGTGAACTGATTTTTTCAAATGGTGATCCATCCTTGGTAAAGTTCTGAATGACAAGGTACAATATTCCCTTAAAAACTGGTGGGAAAACTGGGATTTGAGCCCTCATCAGCTAATTCCAGAGTTTAAGCAAATAATTCCTACCTGGGGATGACTGCTCCCTCATGGAAGGGACCTCGTGTCTCAGAGGTACCAGGGGCAGGCTGGCAGGGACCTGCAGAGAGCCCTGGGAGAGCAGAGTGTGGTTTTGCTGAGTCCCAGGGCTCCCCACAGAACATCAGAATGACAGTCAGTCTGCTTTGCTTGCCTTACATTGTTTTCCCAGTGGGTGGGATCTCTTCAATTCTGGGCTTTTGACTGAGTAGTTTTTCCATTCCTTCCATGAAGACTTCCACATTTTATGACCACGCTCTTCCAGGGCTCTAACATTATGTAGAGGTTCCACATATGCACTATGGACTGAATAAGACTCAAAGAACAATGGACTATTTATTGATTTTCCATGTATTTTTTTGAACCTCTATTTTTTTTTTTTTTTTTGCTGACCTATGGTTGCTAACAAAGCACTCCAAAACTTGGTGTACTAAAATAATAATCAATTTTTCAAGACCTTATGGGTTAAATGGGAGATTCTTCTTCTCATGGTGTTGGGTGGGGCACTTAGATACCAGTTGTTCAAACAAGGGCCTTGTTTCTCTCTTATGTGAGTCCCTCCACAGAGCTGTTTGGGCTTCCTCACAGGATGTCTGCTAGATTCCTGAAAGAAACTCTGTAAGTGGCCAAGGCAGAGGCAGAGGTTACAGGTCTTTTAAGGCCCATCCTCAGGAGTTGCACAGTGTCATTTCTGTAGTATTCTAGTGATCAAAACAAGTCATGGAGCCACCCCAGATTCAAGGGGAAGCAAAATAGACTCCATCCTTTGATGACGAGTTGAAAAAAATGTGCAGCCAGCTTTAGTCTACCAAAATCTACTGTGTGCCAGGCACAGTGCTAGGTGCCTGGGGATATGAATGGTGAACAGAATCATACATAATCTTTGCTCCCATGAGCTTATAGTTTAGTGGGGGGAAGAAGAAATCAATTATCCACACCACTAAAAGTGTAAGTAGAAGGACTACAAAGGGATATGCTCAATGCCAGAAGAGCATAAAACAGGGGAACAAAGTCATAATCAAGAATGTCGAGGAGAGTTACCTGATAAAGGAGCACTAGGGCTGACATCTGAAGAATCAGTAAAGTTATTTAAGTTGTATGTATGCCTAGCACATGGTAGATCCTTGACTAATATTTGCTAAATGAATAAATGATGGCATGAGAAAAACTCTGTGACAAGAAAGACAAGGGACTGGGGAACAAAGAAAATGGAGGGTTGTAGTGTGGGATAAGGCCAGTGAAGGGTAGATGGTATAGATCTTTGAAACCACATTGAGTATCTGAGTCTTCAGCCTCAGAGCAATGGGTTTGAAGCCAGAGCAGGTTGGTTTAATAAGTTTTGGGCTCTGAAAAAGTCACCTTGACTACAATGTGGAGAATCAAATGGTTCGGAGGGCTAGGTAGTAGCTGGGAGGAGCAGAGAACGAAAGGAGGAGGGAGATTGGCTAGGACACTCTGCAGTAGACCACACAGGTGGTGGCGATGAATATGGAGATGGAGAAAACTCTGAGGAGATCTATCAAGACTGGGAAAGAAATGGCCCTGTGCTGTGGCCAGTTCCACGCCTGTCAGCCCCTCCGGCCCTGGGAGCCTGTGGAAATCTATAAGTAGTCTACACCAACCTGCGGGCATCTGAGCTCTGAAAGGGAATCTGTAGCACTCTCAAGGAAAGGCAAAGAAAGTGAGGCCAACACAACTCGCTTTTTGCCCTCAGAGCTGCAGTTCAGACTAGGTGCCAGGCGCCTTCTCCCACCTCAGGCTCTGAAGAGGAATATTGATTTCTGCAGCTGAGAATATAATGTTGGTGCTTGCTCTCAGGCCTCTCATTTTGCACTGCTTGTACCCTGGGGGAGGAGAGAGACCATGACTCCTCTGGAGATCAATGGCTGTGAACGGGATCGAGGAGAGGAGACCACGGTTTCTTTATCAGCCTATGCCGTCCCAAGGTGGCCACACAAACAAGGGCCATGCATCTAGGATTCTCCATCAGTGGCACTGTGAGAGTTTTGCTTTTACCCTTTCTATTGGAGAAAATATCAAACTTATCTATAAGTAAACTAGTGAAAGTTACCATTTTACCATCAGCTCCAACAATTATCAGCTCACGGCCAGTCTTACGTCATCTGTTTCCCCAACCTCTCTCCCCCTGCATTACTATGAAGCAAATCCTAGACAGCATATAACTTCGTAGGTAAATATCTTAGTTTTATTTTTTAAAAGATAGGCGCTCTTGAAAAAAAAAAAGCACAGTCATGGCATTATCACACTTAAAAATATTAATAATTACAAATGGATTTGTAATTATGATGCATCATACATTATATGATTATTTGATATCATCAAAAAAATAATATAATAGATGTTTGTTCACTTTTCCCTACTTGTCTTATAAAAAGATGTTGTTATTTGTTTTTGTTTGTTCATTTGAGTCAGGGTCCACACAAGGCCCGTACGTTGTAATTGATTACTGCATCTCTTAGGTCCCTTGTAATCTACAGGTTCTGTCTCATTTCTCTCTTTAAATAATTTTCCTCACCAGTATTTTGGAAAAGAAACTGGGTGGGTTGTCCTGCAGAGTTTCCCACATCTTGATCTTGCTGATGACATCTTTGTGGTGATATTTAACAGATTCCTGGTCCCCTGTGTTTTCTGTCAATCAGTAGTTGGATGTTGAATTTTGATTAAATTCACTATCAATTTCTTTTGGCAAGGCTACTTCATCGGTGGTGCTCTCTTTATCTAGCAGAAGGCACACTGTATTTGATTGTCCCTCTCTGAAATGTGAGCAGTCACTGGTCATTGCTTAGGTGCATTAATTCATTAGGAATTGCAAAATGGTGATAGACTAATTCTATATTCTGCCTTTTTTTGTTAATTAGGTAGAATGCTTCTCTACAGAGAAACTTTCTCTCATGATTATGCTGAGGCATAATTCTCATAGAAAAACATGATTAATATTCAATTCTTTACCCTTTACCTTCTTTTTTTTTTTTCACCAGTTCTCTAAATAATGTGCTGGTTCTGCAGCAACTTCTAAGGGTGACTATGGATGTTTTTAAATATCATGGATTTAAACATACTAGATATCATTTGTAAGTTATTAATTCTCAAATTATCTCATTTTTGGCCAGTAGGAGTCTCTTCATATTGGCTCCTGAGTTCATTTGACAGAATCCTAGTAATTTTTTATAGTTTCCTTGCTTTTTGATATGACAGATTCTCCAGGCTCATTTTGCACATTACCTGCCCCAGACATGAAATGAGTCACTTTGCCAAGGATCCTGGACTTCTTTTAGCAAGAAGTGGTATTTATAGATAGCAAACTAGGCACAAGGAGTGCTCAGTGCTTCTGGATTGCTGTTGCTAGGCCTTTCCTGTACTGATATGCATCATACAAGTAGTTTTTATTGAAATTCAGAATTCCAGGATTTTAGCTACCATCATCTATCATATATATATATATATATATATATATATATACATGTTTCCTTTCTCCCATGTTGAAATTCCTGGTTTTCAATGACACCCACAAAATGATTCATTTGATTTATCCCAAACTACATTCACAACCATCTCAGGCTAACAATACTAACACTACCACCATTAGTATAATTATTATAAATAATTTGTTTTCTCCAGTTCTCTTTTTTTCTTATGCTATATCTTAGTAGGGATGTACAGTCACATAACTGTGCTTTGAAGCAGAGCTGAAGCACTTTAAAGCACTTTGAGAAGTTCTTCTCTATGTGGTTATGTCAATGACTGGTTACAAATTTCTGTTTCGTTTCATTTTACTTTGGATATTTAGGGAGTACTTTTTAAAACAAGATATGTTAAAAGAAGTCTCTGCCATCTCCACTCAATTTCCTCACTCCCACTATAAGTAACCACTTAACATTTTTACAGGTTTTCTATTGCATAGATATAGATATAGATATACAATGTTTCCTGTGGTTGTATGAGTTGTACTCACCACCTCACTTTTCTTGGCTAAATTGTAGTATATTATACAAATCATTTACCATTTTGCTTTCACTTTTTAAACCAATAATGTAACCTGGATCACAAAAAAATGGATTCAAATCCCACCCATGCCACTTACTAGCTATGTGACCTTGGGCCTGTATCTTAAATGCTCTGAGCCTAGTTTCCCTATTTGTAACATCAGAACAATAATATCCACCACCTAGGGTTGTTGAAACGGTTATGTGTGCAAGTGTGAACATGGCAGGTGACATAGAGTAGGTGCTCAATGTATAGTAGCTCTAATGGTTTTATGGATGTTATAATGCTTAATAATTTTTATGCACTTCTCATTTGATGAGAGCCTTGTTCTTTCCCATCAATGTCACATAGTGAAGCCTAAGAGGGGTAGGTGGGGAATTTGAGAATCATTGAATGAGGACTCGAAGAATTAGAATGTTAATACAGTCAAGAACCCTTAGAGACCTGAACAATTGTCCTGCTTATTCTACAGGAAGAGAAATAGATACACAGAGTGACAAAGCAATTTGCCCAAGGTCACAAACCAGGGTGGGGAAGTCTGCTGTTGATGCCTTGTTCAATTATTTTTCAAGGTAACTTTTCTCTAAAACAAAGTTCATCTTCTGCTGTTCATAGAAGTTTCTCTGTGCATTCCTGCGTTCTCTCTGTAAAAGGAGAAACCGGGTGAGGGACGGGTCAGAGAAACTATGCCTTGAAGAAGCGTTTCTTCACCCTCTTGGTATGTAAACACAGCAACAGTCACTGAGGCTGATCCCTATCAGTGAGTAAGGTCTCATTAATACAGTCAGCAGGGGATCCTGGAGATAAAGAAGTTCAAGGAACAGTGCCTTGCCCTCAGGGGGCTTTACAACTATTAAGACAACGTCAAGCTTATTTGAAAACCAAACATGGCAGCAAAAATATGTGGCAGTGTTTAAAATAATCGTTCCTTTTAATGACTTTGTTTTATTTTCATTACAATAACCCTAGGAGATGGCCACTATCCTTGCATCTCTTTTACATGTTAGAAAACTAAGGTTTAAGTAGATTTTTGTGACTCTCCCAAAGTTATACAGCTAATGAGCAGAAAAGCTGCTTTTGAATTCAGGTATGTCTGACTCCAGCTCCTGTGCCCTTTAAACAGATGCTAACAGGGGTGTGATGCATTTCCACTTCAATCCGTTGGTTTTGAGACAAAGAGAAGGATAAAACCTGATAGGGTATTCCAGAACAGTTTGCAATCATTTGATATTTTATTCATCCACTCATTCATTCATCCATTATTTATTCTTTGCTTACTAAGTGCCTTAAGAATCTGAATGCCAAAGCCAGCCTGGGTTTGAATGCTGACTCTACCACTTATTGGTAAGAAGGTGACTTTCCTTCCCTGTGCCTCAGTTTCCTCATTAGGATAAAGAGAATAATAGTAACTACCGTATGGGCTGTTACGAGATTTAAATGAGTTAATATGTAAAAACACTTACATATAGAGCTTTATAATTGCCACTTGTGCCTCTGCTGCTGCTACTGAGCTTTATGCTTGGTGATTTGTATTTTAATGTTAAGAACCAGCAGTCCTGGATACTGCTTTAGCTCTGCCACCAGTGAGCCACGTGATCATGGGCAAGTTATCTTTAAAGTTTCTCCACCTCTGATTTTCTTTTTTGTTTTATTATTAATATTATTTTTATTTTTATTTTTTTTGAGACAGGATCTGGATCTGTCACCCAGGCTGGAATGCAGTGGCACAATCACAGGTCACTCAGCCCCAAATGCCTGAGCTCAGGTGATACTCCCACCTCAGCCTCCTGAGTAGCTGGGACTGCAGGTATGCACCACTGTGCTCAGCTAATCTTCATTTTAACTTCTTTTAGAGACAGGGTCTCACTATGTTGCCCATTTTGGAGTGCAATGGTGCAATCATAGCTTACCGCAGCCTCAGCCTCCTGAGTAGCTGGGACTAACAGTATCCACCACTACAATCAGCTATTTTTTTAAAACTTTTTTTTTTAGAGACAGGGTCCCACTGTGTGGCCCAGCTTCAACCTCCTGGCCTCAAGTGATCCTCCTGCCTCAGCCTCCTGAGTAGCTGGGATTACGGTGCCTGGCCAACCTCCAAGTTTCAAGGTTTAGAGGGGTCTGTTTTCCCTCTTCTCCTTGTTACAAATGTGGGAACTGATCTTAAAAGCAGAGTCTTTTTTTTTTGTTTTTTGTTTTTTTTTTTTGAGACACAGTCTTGCTCTGTCACCCAGGCTGGAGTGCAGTGGCGCAATCTCAGCTCACTGCGACCTCCACCTCCCGGGTTCAAGTGGTTCTCCTGCCTCCAGAAGTCTCACTCTGTTGCTCAGGCTGGAGTGCTGTGGGACAATCTCAGTTCACTGCAACCTCCACCTCCCGGGTTCAAGCAATTCTCCTGCCTCAGCCTCCCAAGTAACTGGGATTATAGGCGCATGCCACCATGCCCGGCTAATTTTTGTATTTTTAGTAGAGATGGGGTTTCACCATGTTGGCCAGGCTGGTCTTGAACTCCTGGCAGCAAGTGATCCACCCGCCTTGGCCTCCCAAAGTGGTGGGATTACAGGCGTCAGCTACCACACCCAGCCACTAAAAGCAGAGTCTTTATAAGCTAGAAGCTAGTTTTTAAAATATCCTATTTTATTCTCAACAGATAGGAAAAGTGAGGCCAATGCATTTTCTATCTTGTGTTTCTCAAAGTGTGATCCTCAGACCTTCCACATTAGAACCATTTGGGCTGTTGGTTAAAAATACAGATTCCTGTGCCTCAGCCCTGAACTACTAAATCACAGCATCTGATGGTGGAACTTCAATAAGTAACTACCTGTTTAATATGGATCTCAGGTGACTATTGTGGGAACTCATGTTTGAAAACTGCTGGACAAGAGAGGAGAGAAAGAACCCCAGCTTTGAGTCAGGAACACTAGGGTAGGGCTCTCAAACTTGAATGTGCACATCAGTCAGTTGAGGATCTTGTTAAAATGCAGATTCAGATTCAAGAGGTCTGAGGTGGGGCCCAAGAGTCTGCATTTCTTTTTTTTTTTTTTTTTTTTTAAATTTGAGGCAGAGTCTCCCTCTGTTGCCCAGGCTGGAGTGCAGTGGTCCAATCTTGCCTCACTGCAACCTCCACCTCCCGGGTTCAAGTGATTCTCCTGCCTCTCATGCCTCAGCCTCTTGAGTAGCTGGGATTACAGACATGCACCACCACGGTGTCAGCTCTCTCTCTCTCTCTCTCTCTCTCTCTCTCTCTCTCTCTATATATATATATATATATATATATATATATATTTTTTTTTTTTTTTTTTTTTTTTTTTTAAATAGAGACAGGGTTTTGCCACGTTGGCCAGGCTGGCCTCGAACTCCTGACCTCAAGTGATCCACCTGCCTCGGCCTTGCAAAGTGCTAAGATTACAGGTGTGAGCCACTGTGCTCAGCCCAAGAGCCTGCATTTCTAACAACCTTCCAGGGGATGCCAAACCTGCGGGTCCATAGACCATACCTTGAGTAGCGAGATTTTGGAGCCCCACTCATGAGCTGTAGAACCTGGGGGAAAGTATTTAACTTTTCTTATATGCAGTTTATTTATCTATGAAGAGGGATAAATGTGATGCCTACATCATAGAATTGTTAGTTGGGTTAAACCAAATAATGTATGTTAAGCTGCTTGTCCGAGCACTAATCACATGGGAAGCTAAAAAAGGTCCTCTGAATAAATATCACAATAGAACTTTTATTATCTGTAATAAAAGTTCTATTGACTCAGACTCTCATGGGGTAGGATGCTGGGAATGTGCATTTTTAACTGAGATCTGGAGGTGACTCTAATGAACAAGGAAGTCGATAACCCTGCACTCTGTACCCACTAAAGACAGGAAAAATCCTCAACTTGATTTGAGTTCCCTAAATCCCACCAGCATCTGGTTTGAAAATGTTCGATTCAGGAAGCAATGTGGTGATACCTTCAATAAAGCTGCAGCTCCCCAAACAGCACAGGTAATGAGAGCTTTCTGAGGCAACTTTCATTACTTCCAAGCAAAGGTCCATGGGAAGGTGCCTAGTCCCCTGAGAGTGTCAAAGATGAACCCAAATCATCAAATACATAAGCATGAAAACCTAATCCTACTATGAAGCATACACACTGGGAGATAAACACGAGAGGTACCTGGGACGGAATGCCGAGTCATAGGCTCCAGGCTCTTGATGAACGGAGATTCCTGTGGGAGAGAAAACCGTTAATAAAACAAACCATTTCCCTTTCTATGTAGAGCCTCTGGCTATAAACTGACCTGGATTTAGATTCTGAGGCTTTCATTTATTAAGTTTGGGAAATGCAATTCAACAAATCTCTAATGAGCATCTATCGTGCCAGGCATGGCACGCGTTAGGTGCAGGGACACAAAAATAGCAAGACTGTGTATATTCCTGGTTTGGAGGTGGCAGGTGATAAGTACCTGTACTAATGAATGAATGAGACCATTTTAGATTCCAATGGATAGGAAGGGAGTAAGCAAAGATATACAATAGAAAGAGACAGAGTAAGTCTGTATTTGGAGAGGATCAGGGAAGGCCTCTCTAAAGAGG
This sequence comes from Homo sapiens, assembly GCF_000001405.40. Classification (NCBI taxonomy): domain Eukaryota; kingdom Metazoa; phylum Chordata; class Mammalia; order Primates; family Hominidae; genus Homo; species Homo sapiens. The sequence continues at coordinate 159,537,201 of NC_000005.10, forward strand.
TGATAATTTAGCTAAGGCTCCAGCATGAACGTGAATTGGCTCTTCAAAGATGGAATTCTGGAAGAGCGTGCCAGGAGGAAGGAACAACATGTGTGAAGACTCTGAAGAGGTAAAGAGCTTGGCTTGTCGGAATAACTGGAAGAAAACTAACATGGCTGGGAATTGTGTGTCGGTGGATGATGGAGGGAATGGGTGGTGGCCTCAAATGAGGTTGAAGGGATGACAGATAATAATGGGTAACACTTCTTAAGGACTTTTGTGTGCCAGGCACTGTTCTAAGTGCCTTTCTGGTAATACTTCCTCTAATGCTCTAGAGGAAGGACAGGAAAAATACCCAACCTGGTTCGAGTTGTATCTACAACAACTAATTATATCCATTTTACAGATGATGAAACTGAGGCTCAGAATAGTTAAGCAGGGTCAAAGTCAGGTAAGACCTAGTCTACCAGGAGTTACAATGCAATGTCTGTTCCCTGCAAAGTGAGATCAGAAAAGTTAATTTGGGGACCCTTGCCCCAATGCCTTCATTTTTCTACTTCCCTCTCCTTACGTTTTTGGTGATTTACCTTCTCACCGCCAACCCTCACTCTCCAGTTCCCACCCCTGTCAGTCATACAGAATATTAGAAAGAAGCTGAAAGGCTGAAAAACCATAGAGGTAAGGATTCTTCTGCTCATTTGATCTCTATGCACAGCCATTTCGGTTTTGCTAAAAATTTTTCTCTTTATTTATAATGACATTTAATAAAGATTGATTCAAGGCAGTGTGGCACAGTGATTACAGATAAGAAGTCAGATGGAGCAGGTTTGAAGGTCAGCTCTGCTGTTCTTATGTGTCCTGTAGCCTAAGAAGCTGTCTGGTATACGATACATTATTAAAGTCATAAAAATGGGTCAGGAGAGAAATACTACACTGAAAAGTTTCTTCTGTTGTGAGATAATCTTTATTCCAGAAATGTTAAAATGTGAGGGGGCTAAGCATGATGTTTTAAAACAGGAAGTAGCATGTGACAGTGGGATGTTTCCTCTAAACCTCAGGTGTCTTATCTGTAAAATGGATGCAATCACATCACCTCGCTGGGTTATTGTGAGCAGTTCTAGATCTGTGAACACAGGCGGAACAAGTATGTGCTTCAGGCCCTAGCAAGAAAGAGAAGGAAAATGTGAAAAGTTCCACTTTGATGCTTGAGTTCCAGATTTTGTAATGACACATTGGGAAAGAAGCTATTTTTCAAAATGCATGCGGATTTTAAATATTTTAATTTAGCATGTATAGTTGTTCTTATGTTGAATATGGTTGAGGGGTACAGTGGAATCTTTTCTGTGCCCATGTCTTCTAGAAGTCTTATCTAAGCCTTGTTGGGAAGAATAAATGAAATAATGCACGGTGGATGTTCAACACAGTGCCCAGTATATATCAAGGGCTGTGCAAATATAATTTTCATTATTACTACTCCAGGTTGGGGCTTGGGTTCTCTGCTGGGGAGACAGGAAGACCCATAAGTAGGTGACAATCTAATTTGTCACCCAAACTGGCGCAGTTTTGAGAATGCAAGAAAGTGTTACTGTTAATTAAACAACAATGATGGGCATTAACTGGGACTGTCATGGGCAAGCCAGGGTGTGTAGTTTCTGTAACCACAAAGTCCATATATATACTAGCTAATGGAGCATTATCAACAAACCCCACTGACCCTCCCCTCATTTCATGGCATTCAAACCCTCTCCAAGGCATGGACAATAATCTACCCATCTGACATTTCTCTACTGTAGTTGAAGTTTCCTATAACAAAAGATCTTGCCTTGCCCATTTTATTATAATACGATTTTTTTCACAAAAATTTCAGCAGCCATGAGGATACTGTTCTCTGTGATGTAACAGTGAAATTCCTCTCCCATCTAGGGAGAAAATACTTACATTCTAAATTATAATGTCACAAGGAGAAAAAAGACAATTAATTTCAGACTCCACTAACCTGGGGTTTGTATGAACTTGGACAGAGCCTGGAACTGATGCTTCCTTTTGCATTAGCTATTAGTAAAATACATTTTTAAAAAGGCATTTTTTTTTCTTAATGTGCATTGAAGAGAGGCCTAGATACAGTGTTTAGAGGGTGTTAAAACTACATGGTAATAATATATTTTGAGCGCTTGCTATGTCTCAAGCTAGGCTTTTATGTGTATGAATTGATCTAATTCTCCAGACAGCCCTGTAAAGTTGGTACAAAAGCAGGAGGCTGAGGCCTAGAAAGGCTTGTTTCATTTTGCACAATTATTAAGAAAACTATGGAGCCAAAAAACAACCTACTATTCTCTACTGTATCTCAAGAAAAATAAACTATTTTACTTACAGATAATTGACATCTGAGGTTATCAGACTTACCCAGGGCATGCGGAAGAAATAAAACGACATGTAGCTCAAATTTTACCTTTACTATGAAGCCCACAGAACCTTGGACATTTAGCTTATATTCTAAGGTTAAATTTTTCATTTTTGCCTCCCCCTTGACTTTGAGCATCTTGTAGTTTTATGCACATTTGCCACACTTGGTATCTCACACATTGCCTGGCACTCATGTCAGTGCCCATTCATTTGCTTATGCTGATTGTGGGCTGTCTATGTGGCAGGTGCTATGCTGCACGCCAGTGATAAGCAATGAGGAAGACTCACATGGGTCTTGCCCTCACTGAGCTCATCGGCTCACACCCCTAATGCGTCATCGTTCAGTGAATAGTCCTAGGAAGAGCAAACTGAGCCACCAAGTTGAAGAAGCCTTAAGTTCCCTCTAATTTGCCTCATAGTCTCTGTCAGGACACAGCCTTTAGGTTAGGGTAAGAGTGAAAGCAGGGCTCTTGACAAGGCAGGTAAAAATAGTACACTTCTCACCCCCCAGGATGTGTACTTATCATCTGAGGCACTCGTGAAAAACACAGATTTCAGGGCCAGGTGCGGTGGCTCACGCCTGTAATCCCAACACTTTAGGAGGCCGAGGCGGGTGGATCAAGAGGTCAGGAGTTTGAGACCAGCCTGGCCAACATAGTGAAACCCCGTCTCTACTAAAAATGCAAAAATTAACCAGGCATGGTGGCGGACGCCTGTAATCCCAGCTACTTGGGAGGTTGAGGCAGGAGAATAGCTTGAATCCAGGAGGCAGAGGTTGCAGTGAGTTAAGATCACGCCATTGCCCTCCAGCCTGGAACAGAGCAAGACTCCATCTCAAAAAAACAAAAAAAAAAAACCCACAGATTTCAGGCTCTGCTCTTAGAGAATGTGATTTAGTGGGCCTGGGGCACTCCAGAGAGTTGATTTATAATTTATATATTCAACAAGTATTTCCTGAGATCTTCTTATGTGGCAGGCACCATTTGGGACCTTGCAGTTCAGAAGTTAATAAGCTAGAAGTGTCCTTATTCTCAGGGAATTTACATTCCAGTGGAGAAGATGAAGAAACAGATGAATAAAGAAGATGATTGCAACTTTGAAAAAGTGTGATGAAGTAGGTGATGCGTTGAAGGATGGCCTGAAGGAAGGGGTAAGAGACTACTTTATGCATGGAGCTGGGAGACTGGGTCAAGGGAGGCCTAAGTGAAGAAAGGACACTTGAGTTGATTCTTGAACTACGAGAATAGGCAAGTCATGCAAAGAGATGGGGAAGAGGGTCCCAGGCAAATATTCTGAAAGATTGTCATGTTCAAAGAATAGAAGGGAGACCAGTTGTGGGGGCTGGGCGCAGGGGCTCACGCCTGTAATCCCAGCACTTTGGGAGGCCGAGGCAGGCGGATCATGAGGTCAGGAGTTCGAGACCAGCCTGGCCAACATAGTGAAACTCTGTCTCTACTAAAAATACAAAAAAATTAGCTGGGTGTGGTGGTGGGTGCCTGTAATCCCAGCTACTTTTGAGGCTGAGGCAGGAAAATTGCTTGAACCCGGGAGGCACAGGTTGCAGTGAGCCGAGATGGTGCCACTGCACTATAGCCTGGGTGACAGTGTGAGACTCCATCTCAAAAAAAAAAAAAAAGAAAAAGAAACAAAAAGGAGACAAGTTTTGGAATAAAGCAAACTGCAAGATGAGGGCAGAGAGGTAGGCAGGGGCTAGATCCTATCTTCTAGGCCATGGAAAACCGTGATCCTTGCTCTACACTTTGAGAATGAGAAATATTGACCCAATGACTCTGCCTCAGCCAAAGAAATGGGCTCCCAGGAATTTTAGCTTCATGCCTTTCCACCTTCCCAGCATTAACTGTCAGAGTAGCTGCCATGCAGCCGTCTTCCATGCAGCCATCTTTCTCTGTCACTCCCATTACCTGAGGGCTAAGAGCAAGTGTTTGGTGAGGAGCTGTGACAGACAGTCAACACAGTCACCTCATAAACAGGTTATGGCTCACTAAGTAAGTGGTATAACACTCTTTTGGAAGCCCCAGTGTCCTGAGGAAGAGAGAACAGCTGTTTCCTCTGCTCTCATTAAGGACTTAAGCCTTCTTCATATTGAAGAGCTTCCATAAACAAAGCTAGAGATTACTGGACATTCCCACAAAAATTATTTGTGTAACTGAAATGTGTCTGTATAAAGGGGAGCTCTTGGTGTTGGCAAATGGCATAACAAATGTTCTCTCCTGAGGCCTGGAGGGGGCCAGAAGGCCAGAGCAGGTTCCCAAGCGACATGGGATTGTCCTTCCTGGATTAACTTAATTCTAAGAGATGAGTCTTGAACTTGAGGAAGTGAGCCTCCACCTCAAACTTCTGATCCACCACTGATTTTATCCTGCATGTGTCTTCTTTCTGGGCAGCTCTGGGTCTCTTTTGAATTAGAAATGCATGCTTGATTTATCTTTCCCAAGTGGCAGCACACTATTCTTCTTGGGTTGTTCTTGCCTTTGAAACCTTTTTATATTCCCCCAAATGGAAGATTATGGAGAACTCTGGAATCTTCCAGAGAATGCAGGTGACATTAGATGGTTCTTCCTAAAAAGTCTTTTGTAAACACTGTGTTATATATCTTTTAGACTCAGGCAAGTCCTCCATCTTTGTCTCTGAGAACAGCCCTGTCCTTTGGCTGCCATGTCTATAAAATGGGATCCTTGCCTTCCAGGTGGCTATGTTGTGAATGTGTCCCCCAAATTTCATGTGTAACAAATCCCTTGTAAACATTGTGTTATATATCTTTTAGGCTCAGGCAAGTCCTCCCTCATTGTCTCATGTCCTTTGGCTGCCATGTCTGTAAAAAGGGATCCTTGCCTTCCAGGTGGCTGTGGTGTGAATGTGTCACCCAAAATTCATGTGTTGGAAACTTAATCCCCAGTGCAACGGTGTTGGGAGGGGGGATCTGCAAGAAGTGATTAGGTCATGAGGCTCTGCCTCATGAATGGATTAGTGTCGTTATTGTGGGAGTGGGATCCCGATAGTAAGCATGAGTTTTGCCCATTTTTTTCTCTTTCTTTGTCTCTCTTCTCTTTCACCTTCTGCCATGGAATGATGCAGCAAGAAAGCCCTCATCAGATTTGATCTCTTTGACCTTGGACTTCCCAGCCAACAGAACTATAAGAAATTGATCTCTAATCTTTATAAGTTACCCAGTCTCAGGTATTCTGTCATAGCAGCACAAAACAGACTAAGACACTAGCCAAGGCTGACTGGATGAGGTATGAACAAGTGACTCAATATGAGCCAATCAGATTATGTCCTGAAAGCTTGACATTCAGGACATTCAGAGATGCCAGACCTTTCCCTGCTGGCTGCTAGAAAAAAAAAAAAAGACATTGAACTCTAGATCTGTGCTGTCTGGTTTGGTAGCCACTAGACAGTGGCCATCTGAAATGTGACCAATCCAAATTGAAATATGCTATAAACGAAACTACAGATTGGATTTCAAAGACTTAATATAAAGAAAAAATTCAGAACACTATCTCATTAAATTTTTTATATTAAGTTACATGTTAAATGATATTATAAATATATAGATTAAAATATATTTTTAATATTAATTTTACTTTATTCGGCTTCTTTTAAATGTGGCTACTAGATACAAAAGATACAATTACATTTGCAACTCACAAATGTACTTCCATCAGCATGTGCAGCTCTTGATCTTGTCCCATGTGCCTGGAGAAAGAAAACCAATCTACAGAGAAAGAAGGATGGAACAAATGATCAGAGAGATGCAGATAAAAATGAACATGTGTCTCTGAAGAGAGTTAGAGGAGAGAGAAAGAAAGAAAATAAAGAGAAGGAGTGGGGTGAATGGGGGGACAGAAGAGTTAGAATAAGGCAGAAGTTAAGTGACAGAAAGATTCTGCCTGGGTTTCTGATGACATTTCATTTCTTGGTTTCAGTCCATGGAGATGACTGTCAGCACTTCCTATCCCTGGGTTTCAAGAGACACCTCCATGCTCTTATATAATACATTCTCCTTTTTTTGGTTTAAGTGTATTTCAGCTTACTTGCAACTAAAATATATACTTCTTATACTTCTAAGACATAATGATCGATAGATTGCTGAAATGTAAGAAGGTTAAAGAGTCTAGATATCATGATTCAGTGTAGGGCAGACCCCTGGTGCATAGGCTACCACTTTCTTATCCCATACTGCATTAGACACTGCTACTCAATCACAACCTTATGTGTGATCTTATAATCTTTTCAATGCTAGATCTTTGGCCAGCCACCACCAATAGACAAGAGAAATGTCATATGAGGAAAATCCTATTTGTCGTTCTTGGGAAAAATCATTGAGGTAGATGTCATAGGAGACACAGGTTTTTGGTCTTGCTGAAACATGAACTTGTTTTGCCTTTAGTGAAATCATTTTCCTTCTCTGAACCTCAGTTACCTAGTTCATAAAATGGCAATCATAATCATATCTACCCACAGGGTTGTTGTGAGAAGGAGATATAGTAATAGAAATGAAAGCCTTTGGGAAACAGAAGCACAGGTGTGTGTTGCTATTCTGACTGAAGCCCTCGGCATTCAGAGCCAAGTTAAGTCACACCTCCTTTCAACTTAGCCTCAAGACTAAGGAGAAGGACCCTACCATAAGTACCTAGGCTTTGGACGCAATTCCCAGTAACTCTAGTAAATTAAAGGAGGTTGTTTCTAGAAGCCAGCCGGGCACATCAATTTCATGTCTTCTTGTTTTAATTTTCTGCACAGAGGATGTTGGCACTAAGAGGCAGGACTTGACAAAGAAGATTTGGGGAAATGACTCATTTGGAATTTGTTGGCGTCTGAAACTGGTGAAACTTCAGCCTTTGGAACAACAAAAAAAGTGTGTGAGTGTGTGTGTGTGTGTGTGTGTGTGTGTGTGTGTGTGTCCCTAAGTACTCTGCTGTCCCTGCAGCATGTAGAAAGCAGTTCTCAGGGAGGGAGGGCACAATATAACTGGTTCTGGGTGAACATAAGTGATGTTTTTTCTACAGCAGTTACAGTGTTTGCTGAAGGGACAGGACTATGGATTCAGGCAAATGAAATGTATCCATAATTATGGCAAGAATGTAGGGCAGGCAGGTTTTATTTCAAATGGTCATTTCTGCTTGCTTGATAAGTGTAATCAGACTTATGAAATTATATAGTTTAATTTAAAGTTCTGAAAAAAATATGCCCACCACACCCACAATGCACTGCTTTCCTTCCTCAAGCCAAAAGGAGACTGTCATTGTGACCATTTCTGAATTATTTACATGGCCAAAGAAATGTATCTGTCAAATAGTGTCCATCTTTCCATGCCCTGGCTTCAACAGCCTCTTATCCTAAGAGAAGCCATAAATTAACACAGTGAATAATTCTGATAGTACCTAACAGTTATGTGGCACTTAAAATTTGCCTCATACTGTCCCAAGCACTTTGCATATATTCATTTAATTTAATCCTTACAACAACTTAAACAGGTAGGGACTATTATTATCCCCATTTTATAGATAAAAAAACTGAGGCAAAGAGAGATTAGGTAATTTGCCCACAATCCCACAGCTGGTAAGCAAAAGAGGTCATACTCTTAATGACCCTGTAAAGACCTAGTCCACTAGACAGGGAGAAGTAAATTCCAGAGCTGTTATGAAGGAAAGATCAGTTATACTCAGATCAGAAATAGCAGTGCAGAATGTCAGATGGAAAAGGAAGTCAGTGACCATGCAGCCCTCCTGACTTATTTTAGAAATGAGGAAACTGAGGTCCAGAAATGTTAAGTGAATTGCCCAAGGTCATGTAAAGAGTAAGTCACAGAGCCAAAGAGATAATTCAAGTTTCCTGACTCCTATTCTATTGTCGATCCAATGATGTCCTCACAGCCTGTGGGCCTGAGGGTAAGTGCTGTCCAAAGGCTGCCCATGAACTTTGCATTTTAGGTCTGATAGAATTCTTCCTGTTCCTTTGCTTTGACTGATCTTTCCTGAATAGGGTGAACTGAGGTTCCCATCTCAGAGTTCAAATGCCGTTTTAGACTTCCCTCTTTTGTCTGGCACTGCCATCAGCCCACCCTTCACATGCCCATCAGATTGCTTTTCTCACAGCACTACTTGACAATTCACCTCTCCTCTGTCTCCTCTAGGATGTACTTCTAGGTACAGAGGGCCACATTCCTGGGCCACAGTGATTGGTGCAGGGTTATGTTTGTGACCTCAGCTGAGTCAATGACATTTGATCCTGGATCTTAGCAAAGAGTAAGGGGTTGCTAAGCTCATAGGATAGAAGCCTGGTGGGCCACCTGAGACCCTGTCTAGGAATAAGCAACACAGTGGCAAGCAGTACCAACAGAGAGAAAGTAGGGATTCCCAACGACATGGAACTACCAAGGGGCTTCTCTATTATGTCACCAATATATTCCATTTTTTTTGCTGAAGCCAAATTGAGTTGGATTTTTAAGAACTTACAACCAAACAACTCTGAGAATATTTCCTGTTTTAAAACAGAGGAATATATTGGTATTTTCTCAAGTTTGTTCCCAGGCTTTCCACTAATTGCATAAATATTGAGTATGCACCATAAGTAAGTATAGGTAACAAAGACCAAGAAAGATGAATAGGGAGCAGTCCTTTCTCTTAAGGGCTTAGTGGTCTAGTAGTGAAGCCAAGACTCACATATATTGTCTATCACACAAAGTAGAACATAAGGAGTGGCCTGAGAAAGATGCAGACTGTACACTGTGAAGATATAAAGGAGGAAGAATCCACACTGAATTAGAGAGCAGAGTGGAACATTTCTTATAGTATACAGGATTTGAGATAGATTTGAAGATTGGGGAGGAACAAGGAGACTTTCAGACAAAGAAGCCAACATCAATTAAAATGTAGAAATGGAAACTTTCTGCAAATAAAAAGGGAATAAATTGATAGTCTAGTTTATTTGGAGTGTATATTTCAAGAGAAAAAGAAGCAGGAAATTAAATTTGTTGTGTCCAGTAAGGCACAATGTGGACATATTAATGTTATATTGATTAAAGTCTTCCCACCTAGAATGGGCAGTTGTATGTGCAACACTTGAAATGTTTTTTGAATGAATGAGTGACTGTTTTCCTTTTCCCCACTAAACAGAAGCTCTGTGAAGGCAGGAACCTTGCTCATCTTGATCTCTGTTTTATCCCCAGTTCCTAGCACAATGTTTGGCACAGAGTGGATGCTCAATAAATATTTATTGAACAAATGAATGAATATTATAGACATCTTTTAATCTCAGACCAAGGACTTTGTCTCTAACCAAACAGATAAAGGAGAGTCCTCAAAGATTTTCAAGAAAATCCAATCTTTAAAGAGCACCTACTATGTGTCATCCCCTCTGCAGATTTGTGAAGGATCAGGAGTTGCTTTAGGAAGGAAGACTGGGTAGCAGTAAAGAGGAAAGAAGAGAAATTGGAGTAAGAGTCAGCTAACATCACCACTAACCCATATTGAAAGTTATTTGAACCTGCTCTTAAAGAGAGTGTTATGAGAATGGAAAGGAGAGAACAACTGTGGAAGTAAAATGTCAGGATTTGGTCCCAGTCACAGAAAAGAAGCAGGGAGGAAGATCTGATGGATGGTGTGGCAAATTGTATCGTCCACAGATAACTACAACAGGATCTTCTTTCCCACCACATCATAAAGTCAGGTTCCACTGCTCTTGGTTCTGAGAGGGCTAATCATTTTTGTAGGTAACCAAGAGAACATGGTGGAAGTGATATTACATGACTTCTGATGGAAAGTCACAGGAAGTGACTTAGCTTCTGTCTTGCTGTCTGGAATAATTCCACCCTTGAACCTTTAGTCACCATGTAAACAGCCTGACAGTCCAGAGGCTACCATGCTGCAAGGAAGCCCAAACTTTCCATCCATGGAGAGGCCACAAAGGGAGGCCTTGTGACCACACTTGGAGATAGATAGAGAGAGAGAGACAGAGAGGGAGAGAGAGAGAAAGAGAGAGAGAGAATGCCTTGAACAGACCCAACACGTGCAGCCCCTCTCACTGTTTCAGCACCAGCCTCATTTATAGACCCTAGGGAAGAACCATCCAGCTGAGCACTTCCTGAATTTCTGGCCCACAGAAACCATGAGAGATAATAGATGTATTTAGTTCTGGTCATGGTGAGTGTAAGTTTACAAATGGTCCTGCAGACATGATATCCAGCTGTCTGTTGGAAATATGGATCTGGCATGTGTACAACAATAGCAACAATTTCCCTAGAGAATATGTGCGGAAATTGAATTGCTAGGTAATAAGATATGCATATCTTTATCTTTTTATGATAATGCCAATTTGTTTTCCAGAGCAGCTGTTCCAATCATCACTCCCAGCAGCCAAGTATGAGTGTTCCTGTTGCTCTACTTCCTTGGCAACATTTGATTTGATCGGATTTTTTAACATTTGCTAATCTTGTGGGTACAAAATTGTGGTTTTAATTTTTCACAAGTCTTGTCTGTTTAGGCCAGAGGTCATAAGCCAGCTGTGCCTGGCTGGATGAGGTCTTCTGTCTGGATGTCATCCACTGAAGTAGATTTGAGGGGCATTTGAAGAGAGGTGCTTCTGGAAGTTATAGGAATAGATGGAGTTGTCAATTCAGAGAATGTAGCCAGAAGAAGGCAGGCTCAGGGCCACATGTGGTTGGATGAGGAAGAGGAGTTGGTGTAAATGGAAGAGATGTTACATAATTAGATGTTGCCTAATGTAAAAATAAGTAGTTACAATAATTATTAGTTGGCTCATATGTTTATTGTGTGCCTCCCCTGGCTAGACCATCAGGTCCATAAGAGAAGTGATCAAGTCTGTTTTGCTGCATTAATAAGTGCATTAATCAGGCTTGCTAACCTAATAAACTACCCAATCATCTCAGAGGCTTTCAGCAACAAGCATTTATTTTTTCATCCCTGTAACACTCATGCTCCCCTGCAGGTCGGCTGTGGTTCTGTTCTGGGCAGCATTCTGTTCCATGTGTCTTCTCATTCTAGGTCTGGTGGAGAGAACAGCCTTTGTCTGGGACATGCAGTTCTCAGGGAAGAGGGGGAGAAGCAAAACATCTACAGAAACTGGCAATGCCTCTTAAAGCTTCTGCCTACATGTGGCTCATATCGTGCCTGTTCTAATTGTATTGACCAAAGCTTGACACGTGGCCAAGCCCAAAGTAATCCCCAGAAAGCACAAGTTACACAGCAATGGGTGAATGTGGGTGGTGAATAATTGCAAGCAATAACTCACCTCTTCATTCAAAGTAATGCCAGTGCCTAGCACAATCACTTGCACTTAGATCATAAAAGCAGATTATGCAGTATTTTCAACCTTTTTTCATGGAAAATTTTGCAGACACCTGTCTCAGTTGTGGATCCTGCAAGATAATTCATCTGCCCATAGTTCCAGGATGCTTTCATTCTGCATGCATCTCCTGAACCCCACCCCTCTTTGCTTGCTAGTTTCATTTAGAGCTCTTAAATGGGACCTATTTGGTATGAGGTTATGCTCCTTGCTGAGCTCTTGGCAAATCAAAAAGCTGCAAAGATGACAGCAACTATAAAAACCAAGTGTCTGTGTGGTAAGGAACAAGCCATTCTCCACATCTTTTGCTGGGAGCAAGGTCAGGCCACATTCTTCCAGGGCATGGAGATGGCATTGCCAAACTGACTGTGGATATTAAGGGGTTTCAGATGAGGAGAAAAGGGAGTGAGGTCACCTCTGAAAATGCTGGTGTGGTGTAATTTGGAAACATTCATGCAAACCATGTTTGTTAGCTTTTTTATTTTTAATCCAAACTAATGAAAAACTGAAGGGAAACGAGATGTTCCATGAGATTTAGCCAAACACTAAATAGGTCTTGTGGACTCTGACTGCAAAATTAGTTATAGAGGGCTTTTGGCAAAAACCATTATTGAAATTAAAATACTGCTTGCCTGTCCCTAAAAAGTGTTGATGCCAATTGTGAAGCCTCTGGTGGGCTATTGCAGGAGCCCCTGTTGCTGTCCCATTCATAATTACCTAAGAGATGAAAATTTTAAAAAGTTTAACTGTAGCATATGAGCTATGCTTAGTTGGGGTTTCTGGCCAAGGCACCAAGGATCAAACAGCAAGGACAGAAAACTTTTAAGTTAGATTCTGAAATATTTGTGTGTCTATGTGGTATATGTATATGTGTGAGTACATATACACACACATACACCCATATATAGATATATGGAAATGGCATAGAGAGGAAACAATTTGTGAATTGGAAACCACAAGAAAAGCCATCATTGAATGGTTATAATACTTTCTTGCATGGAGCTGAGTAGCTCGCATGAATTTGTCTAGCTTTAATATCTGAAGATATTTTGGGTAATGAACTCTGATCCTCTGAATGTCTGGACTTAACCTCTGGTCCTTCAGCGTAGGCAGAAGGGGAATATTTGAGCTTAATATTCTCTTCCTTCTAACTGATTGGTAGTTTAGTAGAATGTCATGTTAATACAGTGAAAGCCTGTGGGTTAAATCCAGTTCATTTTATTTTGACATTTAGATTTCATACATCATTCTGGCTTGCTTGTCAACCATCTTGAAAATTGGGTGGAAGGATGAACTCAGACTTTTCCCTCATTGCAAACAAGCTTTCCAGTGTGAATGCACCATGCTGCAGCCACAATGAGCTCCTCTCCATCCCTCTGAGCAGGTTAAGCTGTTTGCATGCTCAGAGTCCTTGCAGGGCTGTTCCCTCTACCTCATATGTTCTTTTCTCCTTTCCTGGCTAACTTCACAGACCTCAATTTAATTGTCCCTTCTACAGAGAGGACTTTTGTAACCCTTTATAGTCCTCCCTATTCCGTCTAAGCTATGTTCCTCCTCCATTGTGTTCTCATAGCATCCTGTTCTTTTCACCATTTATACATCTCTATTTGTTTATTTGATTGTTTAACATTGTCTCTTCTACCACACTGTAAGGACAGGGGCAATATCTGGTTTGTCACAGCATCCTCAGCATCTATCAGAATATCTGGCATATGGATGGTCTGTAAATAGTTGCTGAATGAATAAAGGTTACACTAACAATGGGTTAGTAATATCTAGGATTGCTTCACATTAGAGATGAGAAGATCTTAGAGGCCTTAGAAGAAAGATCTTACTTAGAAGTGTATACCCAACCCTTCAAGACACCAGATCCATGTTAATTGATAGCACTTTAGTTATTTTTATTCTGTTCTATGATTATGCCAAAGCTTATTTAATCTTTTAATTGGCATTTGATTTGTTTTCAGTTTCTTGCCATAATAAACAATGCAGCTATGAACATTCTTGTATGTTCTTTATATGTTATATGTTTCTTCGTGCACATTTGCAACAATTTCCCTAGAGAATATGCCAAAAATAGAATTGCTAGGTAATGAGATATGCATTTCCTTATCTTTACAAGATAATGCCAATTTGCATTCCAGAGCAGCTGTTCCAATCATCATTCCCAGGAGCTGAATATGAGCGTTCCTGTTGCTCCACTTCCTTGGCAACATCTGATTTGATCAGATTTGTTAACATGTGCTAATCACATGGCTGCAAAATGGTGGCTTTAATTTTTCACAGGTCTAACCTGTTTAGGCCAGAGGTTGTAAGCCAGCTGTTCATGACTGGATGAGGTCTGCAGTCTGGATGCCATCCACAGACCTAAAGAATGTTTTTTGAGCCTAAAAATTGAATTAGTTGCCAACATTTAAAAACTGGAAGACTTCATTTCAGAATCTGGATCTCTTTATTTTCTTGGGGAGTAAAAATCACTACACAGGGCTGGTATTCACACAGGACAACAACTGACAGTAGTTGAGTAACAGCTGCCTCTGCTTGTCAGGCAGGAAATGTGCTTTGGAATTGGCCACAGTAAACCTGCACCTTTTGGTTATCTTAGTTTCTTGGCCCCTGCAGGCTTTTAAATTGTCTGTCTTGCATTGAGCCTTCATGAAATAGAGAAAGGGTTCAAAAGTGGAGTGGTGGTAGGTGGGCACCTCCCCTACTCATATTTGACCCAGGAACAGTCCTTCCCAACAGAGCACTGGACACACGGCTTCCATATAAAGACTAGAATAGCTGCTGGGCTCAGGGCTTCCTCCCTAAAACTTGTCCATACCCTTTCTCAGATGTGATCTCCCTTTCTCTGAACTTCCTTAGCCCCTTTGTCTGTACTCCTTCTCTGCCCTTTTTTATTTTCACCATTATGATTCTCATGTACTTGTCCTCTTTCCTGTATTTTGCTGAAAACTCTCTAAGGGTTGGGACCATATGTTTATGTGCTTGGCTTTTTGTTGTTCATGTAACTTTTTATTTGTGGTCCTTCACAGTACTTTAAAGTGGAGACTTGCACATGGAAGTTTCACATTCAACAAACATTTACTAAGTGCTCATATGCCAGGCATGGCACAAGGCACTAAGAATATGAGACACTATCATGGCCTGAAGGATCTGACAGAACCCTGAAGGAAAGGACCACATTTGTTCATTTATTCATTTATTCAAACCACAAACACATACTGAGTGCTTACTTCAGGCCAGGCACCATGCTAGTTCCTGGGAAGCAAAATCAGACAAGATCCCTTGCCTCATTGTATTTACAGACTATACATTTTCAGTTGCCTAGGATTTAAAAAGTTGGCCTAGCCTGGGAGTTGGGCTTGGGAGGGCGGGGTGAGACTTGAGATTGAAGGGTGAGTAGAAGCTTATCAGATGATGGAGGAAGGTGGAAAAGAATATTTGTTCCATGCTCATGCAGAAGAGTCAGCACATGTGAATGCCTTATGGTGGGAGAGAGGAGGCCCAGCTCACTGTCTAGGAAGAAGAATCAATGCGGCTGGACCTTACAGTGTTAAGTGCCGGGTAGTGGGAGATGAGGCTGGAGATGTAGGTAAGGGCCAGATTCCAATAGAAATAAGTACAATAAAGTGTACAGGTGCTAAAATAGAGGTGAGTACGTTGAGCCACTCAGTTATTGATTGGATTAATGCACAGGTAAGTGATTGTATGGGTAACATTCTAGAAACTTAACATCTAATAGAGAAGATGGATAGGCTAATAGACATGTTATTATTGTTGTTGTGTAATCAGGAAGGGGCAGAATGGGTGTTGAACATTTCAGAGACCTGCAAACTCTACACTTTCTAGCACTAGCTACAGTAAGAAGAATCCTGTGAGCTCAGAGATTTATTAAAGAAGGATGGCTCTTCCCCCTCAAGCCTGACTAGAAAAGGAATGGTTTTTTCCCCAGGTTTCCACAGTCCCAGAAAAGAGGAGGATTGTTGCCTGTGGAGGATTAGCTGAAATAGGTCCATAATGAGCCAGCTCTGAGTCATTCACAGCACTTGGTACTTAACTGTGAGGAGCTGGACTTATTTTCTAAGCTCCGACCTCGCTGGTGTACCTCAAAGCTTTCGAGGCCAACAATTCTAGTAAGTGTGTTTTTTCTTCCTCACCCTCTGCTGCACTGAGGCTAACTGAAAGCTTCCTGCCCCTGTGTTGATATTCTAGGCCATGCCAATTGCAGGGCTTTCTCAGGCACACAATTGAAACCTAAAGCATCTTTGGTGAAAGCTCCCCTTCTACCCAGTGCCACTCTTAAGAATGGAGGAACTTTTGCCTCACAGAGTTTATTATCATTGATCTCTGAAAATTATAGCTAAGAAATGTGAGACCCTGCTGCCCTTTGGGTGGGTGTTTTGTTTGTTTTGTTGTTGCCAATTGATCAGGTATTAAGAAGAGGAGTCTCTGCCACTCAGTGCTGGGTGTCTCCTCTATCACTTTGCTTGCTTTGTACTTTTGCCTGCAATGTCCTCCCTCCTTTCAAGGGTCGTGTCTTCCAGGAAGCCCTCCCCAGTAATGCTAGACCAACACTCCATCTCTTTCTTGACCTGCTCATAACTCTTACCAATTGCTCTGTACATTTTGGTATTTTATTATATTGTTTATTTGTGGATTTTTTCAGATGCATATCTCTTGGTTCTTCATCAAGATTACCACTTGGTAGTAGGCCAATAAGTATTTGTTGAACATATTAATGACATGTAAAAGTCAAGGACAAGGACTAAGTTATATCAATCTTTGCTCGTTCCTATGTGCTGAGTCCATTGATGGGATCATATGAAATATTCAGTAAATATTTTTGAAGCAAATTATTAATAAATCAACTGAAGTTAGACTGGAAAGTAGTGTACCACAGTGATTAAGAGCATAGAGTATGGAATCAGGCAACTCCAAGCTACCAGCTGAAGACATAGACAAGTTCAATAATTTCTCCGTGTGTCAGTCCTCACATGGAGTTTGCAGTGGTTTCCACTTAAAAAGATGTTGTTGAGATTAAATAAGATAATGCCTATGCACAAAGCTAAACCACAGCTAAGATTATCTGCAGATGAAACTGTGAACAACTTTACTTATGAAGGTTGATGGTTTAAACAGAGCTTTCAGAGTGTAGAAGGAAGCAAAGAAATGAAGAGTTTTGTGGGATCGTAGAATCAACCTCAAAACACAAAGTTTCAGGAACTATTCCCTGGTGGGTGACAGGTAAGAGATGGTGTAGGACAGACAGGATGTCACAGGCTAGTACTTCCCAAATTCACACCTGTCCTACCAAGCCAATGCAGTTATTCCTTTTTCATTCCTTTTCTATCCTCTTAAAGAAAACTTTGATGGACTTTTTGTTTGATGGAATCTTAGACTGCCGGTTGTCTATCCTTGTTCAGCCCCTCTTGAACCCTTGCTAATTTCTTTTGTTGTGGATGAGAGCATTTGCTTCCATCTCTGATCCTTTGATAGATCGTTGCATTTCAACTAGAATTTAATTATAGGTCTGCTGTTTATTTTTTGACTATCTTTTATTTCATTTAATTAGTAATACTGTTTTTTATCTATTAATGTTTAGTTATATAATATTTCCTTTTACATTTATTTTTAGTAAAAAAAAAAGAAAGATCAAGTAAATAGGAGTCTAGAAGATTCATGGATCAATAAAATATCATCAAGGTGAAACACAAATGACCGATTAGAAAATCTGTGGGTTGATGATTAGAAGTGACCAGGTTCTGTACATACCAGTTCTGCCCTTAAGTAGATATGCAAACTTGGAAATTCATTTCACCTGCCTAAGCCTCCCATTTTCTGATCTATAAAGCAAATGAGCTGGACAAGAGAGAATTACCATGGTTCTGTCTAGCTTACATGTTCAGACAATTGGTTGGGGAAAGTGTCAGAAAATTCTCCTTGATGGTGGTGGTGGTGGAGGGCTGACTTGGCGTGGAAGGACCTGCTTTGCAGAAAGGTGGGCAGTGTTGAGGCTGAACAGGGGAATCATGCCAGAGACATGTAGAGTGTGTTTATTCTCTGAATATATTTATTCATGTTCATGAGCCCCAGGATGCAATCCTCATTTTAGGACTGAAAATGTTCATTTCAGACACCCAGATTTGGAATTGGCAAGTAAATTGACACCAACATGTGGTCAATTCAGATACTTCTTTATTTCTCCTGATTTCCTTTCTTTATAACCTTGGAAAAATAACGTTTTCACCCCTTTTAAAGAAAATGCCTTAGGTGGATCCAACTCTCTGTTTCCTGTCTATTATGCCAAGAACTGTCATTTACCAAGCTTTTAGCATGTACCAAGCACTCTGCAAAGCACTTTAAGCACAATAATATGCTTAATCTTGCAACAATTTGAAGAGGAAGATACTGCTATTATCCCTGTTTTACAATGAGGAAACTAGGGCTCAGACAGCTTGAGTGATTTGCTCAAGGTCAAATAACTTGTAAGAGGTAGAAATGGGATTCAAGTACATGTCTGTTGGATTCCAAAGCCTATCCTCTGAAACCCTTAAGTCATACATTGTTAGCATTTTTCATATCAGTTTTTTAAATGTTAAAGCAAAATTCAAAGTGTCAAAGATCAAAAATTGAGTTTCTTTTTTTAACTTAAATGCATTCAAGAAATGTTAACAGAATGGAATACTACCAGGTTATTAAAATAACAAGAACCTGGGCCATGCCAATGCACAAGAATGTTTATGTGAAATACCATTTGTGAAAACCAGTGTGAAGGGGAAGATACATACTAATTGCAATTCTGCAAAAACATTTTCAATATACATTGGCGAAGGCTGTACAGAACTTGAGGGATACAGATTGTTCAGAGTTTAATGTGTTTTAGACTTTTTTTCCTGCAAGTTATTTAATTCCTAATGTACAAAGAAGGAGTAAGGAAGTTATTTTTCATTTTGTTTTGTTTTGAGTAAACCTGAAATAATTCTTAAAGGATTCCAGCTGTGGCTGGACCTCTGGACTGACACATCATGGGCCCACCTAACGCATTTAGTGAGCAAGTGACTCCTGTTTGAGACCAGACTGAATTAAAAATCTTTCCTGAACTTCCCAGTCCCTTATTGTTTTGAGTCAACTCTACTGAATCAGAATTTTGAGAGAAGATTCCTCTTCCCAGAAGCTCATAAACATTTTGGGTAATCAACCTCAAGAAAAAATGCCATGTGCACATACATATGGTACTTTGGCAGTAATTACAGTGGACGCATGGGTCCCTAGGCAGGTGAAGGGGCCTACTAAGGAAATGCCTTCTGAAGACCCTGATTGGATAGTTGGAATGAAGTCATAGTGAACCTGAAAGGGTCTGGTCTCACGGCAAGAAGGCAGAGCTGTTTATTCTGGTGGCCTCTGCCGGTGAGGCCTTGAGGGTTTTACAAAGGTCTTCTGTGACTGTTTGATCTTCAGAACCACTTTCTGGCTGCACAGAGCAAATGATGCTGTGATTTTTAGAATGCAGATTCTGGAGGCAGTGGCTGGGATTCAGATGCCAAGTTTGTTACGTATATTACACATGTAAAAGTGGGCATGTCACTTAATTTTTTGAAGCCTCTGTCTCTTCCGTAAGGTGGAGATGATAATAATGATGATGATAAGCAGGACTTTGGGTAGTTCACTGGCTGGCTGCAACAATTCAGTGGTACATGTTGGGTAAGCACTTAGCACAGTGCCTGTCACAGAGAAAACTCTGAGTAAATGATAACACATTTGCTTAAGATAATATAGCTAGTAGTGATCAGGGTTGAGCCTCTATCTCAGATCATTTGTCAACTCCAAGTCTACTTCTCCTTATTACAAATTATAATGCATTCATTTATTCATTTTCTAGCTATCTACTACATATAATTATATAGCTATATATAATTATATATTTTTTCCTTTTTTTCTCCTTTCACATAAATTAAGCATCTTTTCAGAGAAATCGGTAACCTGATCAGGAAGTATTTCTGTCAAGTCTTATTTCATAGCAAGATTAAAAGTTTTTTCTTAAGATATACTTGGAAAATTTTGTCATTTAATCAAGGACTTCGCTGTATGCCTACGTGGGATAAAGCTTGCCAATAACTTATGGAAAATTGCTGGTGATTAATCCAGCCCCATTTCTGCCATGCTGCCCCTTGCTCTCTCCAATGGCCTCTTTCCCTGATCCTGCCCTTCCCAGTGTCTACAATGTGGATTCCTCCCCGCCCTCTTACCTCTCAGAGCTGGGTTCAAATGTTGCTTCCTCCATCTTTCCTCCTCGCTTCCCTGACCTCAGTCTTTCTCCCGTCTCCACCAAGCTAGCAGTTGCTCTGCGGAAATTCTCACAAAATTGCGTTCCTTCCCTTTATTGTACTTACCTCTGTTTGTAAGTAATTTGGGGGATTATTTGATTCATATCTGTTTTCCCCATCAGATTATAATGGACAGGAAAACAGGGCCTGGATATTGCATGTCCACTCTTGTGCTTAACTTCTGGTTGAAGCAACAAATAAATGATTTTGTTTGGGCACTGACTCTGTGCCCGGCCCCTAGAGTAACACATGCTCTCATCCTTACAGCAAATTTTCAGGCGGGCAGCATTTTCTTCATTCTATACTCCAAGGAAGAGGAGGGTCAGAGAGGATAAATAACCTGCCTCGGATCTCAGAATAGGTAAATGACAGAGACTCCACTGCCTCTGTGATTTCTCTCGAGGCCCTGGGACCCTCAGATGGTGAAAGGCAAGAGTCTGCGAACCCCTGGAGGTCTGGAAGCAGGATTCATGGAGTTCTTTCCCCAGAGAGGAGCAGTCAGCTCTGAGTCAATTAGCAGAGCAATCATCGGAAATCAAGTCCCTGACTAATGAGGTGCCTGAAATTGAGATGTCACTTGTAATCTCTTTTCTCCTAGACGATCTGGATTAAGATTCCAAGGTATTAAGAAATCATTTTTATTTTTCTCAGGGAAATCTAAACACTTCAATGTTAAAAAAAATCTTGTTATTGGGGAGAAAAGTAAAATGGGCTTCAGTATTAACTTCTTAATGATTTTTGAAATATGCAGATCTTGCTGGAGCAGACATGCAAAAGTGGTTGGTTTCCAGTGTCCCTTTAAAATCTGGGATGCCTTGGAGGCTATAAAAATAAAATTCTAAACACAAATTAATCCTGGCAAAGGCTGGGTAGCCATTCTGGATTGAACCAAAATATCTAATTGGCTCAGGCACAGAGGATCAGTGCTGTTCTTCAGTTGGTGAACTCCTTATGTGGAGATTAAATGGAATCATAAGATTGTAATTAGTTGTAATTATAGAAATAGTGTCTTCTGGTTTTGTCTCTTTGCTGAGACAGTTGCTTGGGATGGCTTTGGAAAAACTTGTTCCTGAGGCCAGGAAGGGCTCTGAAAAGGAAGTTTTCCAGTCAGCTCTCGAATACCCCACTTATGCCCTCAAACAAAAAAATGAGTTGCCTTTAGGATGATTCATTTCAAAGGCTTTTTATTTCTTCTCCCTTAAACTGCAGCTGTTTGGCTCTGCAGGGGTTTGGGGAGGCAAGGAGGCCAGCTATAGGTGCAAAACAGCTTCATCGCTGGAGGGACACCATGCCCAAGGTGGGAATGGTAATAACGATGAAATAGACCCGAGAAACATCCATTCCCTTGGAAAAACCAGGAGTAAGAACCTACTGCTCTTGCACTAGGCCCTTGTCATGCCCACTTTTGTGCTCTTTTCCAGTTACGGGGTTTTAATACGAGGGTAAATTACTACCAGGACGTCTGGAGAACCTCCTCTATGGGAGACTGGTTTTACTCTTCCATTTCCCATCCGATTGCTGAGATTCATTATTCCATTATTTCCTTCCACTCAGTAAGAGAATTCTTGGATGAAAATATCCACCATGTTACTCTTTTTGTAAGCCCATTCTCTAAAGAGATATAAAGTAACATCAGCCCTGCCAGGTCTGCACAAGAAAAAATCTAGAAATGCCTTACCCAAAGCAAAAGTACACTCTTTGTCTGAATCTGGGCCCTATTGAGGTTTAGAAACATAGAAGACAGGGTAAGAGTGCATTTACAGCTTATCTTGGAGCCCTTTGGAAGGAAGCTCTGTCTTGTGAGGTTTCTATTCCTCAGAAGTAATAATAACAAGCAACAATTATATAGCAGTGACTCTGTGCCTGTCACTCAACAGATTTTCATTGCGTGCACACTGTTGTCAACACCATTGAAGCCACTGGGAAGAAGGCAAGGAAACCATTACTGGCCCTATCCCTACCCTTGTGATCTTATATTGCAATGGGGAGCTGGGCTTAAGTGTTTGAAGTTCTGCACACTGGAAAGGGAATTAGACTTGCTGGGTCATTCTGGGAATTACACGGAAGAGGGAGTGGAAATTACAGGGAGATGGATGGGATTAAGTCACCTGTGCAAATTCTAGACCCCACCCTACATCTACTGAGTCAGAAACTCGGAGGGTAGGACCCAGCAAGGCAAGTTTCACAAACTCTACACTGATTCTTATGTGCACTGAAGTTTGAGAACCACCTGGATTTGACATATGGAGAACACTCTATCCAGTGGAATTTTCCAACAGCAAAATGAGCTGCCGCTGCTGATGGCATAGCATTCTCCATTACTGGGTGTGTGCAAACAAGACCACTTGAAACAGAAGGAATGAGGGTGTGAATTTCAGCATTTCCCAAGTGCATTTAATGATGAAATACTTTTATAATTATGAGATGCTGATAGGACATTGATAGGAGCTTGACAATTATGCATTAAAGTCTATTGCAAAAAATACCCCCAAATGAAATAATTGCTGCTGGAAATTGTCAAAAGTTGTTCTTGTACTTTATAACATACAAACAAAACAAATTAGAGTAATAAGGTCATTTAAATTTATTAATACATCAATGTGAAGATTACTAAAATAAACAGCCTCCTCCATTCCCCCTGACCCCCATCCCCCGCCCCAGAAATATCTATGACTGTATCAAGGATGGAAAAATCAAATGCTCTGGTGTTCCTTCCAATCTGGGACAACATACTTTAGAAAAAATACTGGAGGGTAGCAAACATTGTATTTGAAATCACCTTGCCCTTTTCTGTGACTTCTCCAGCTCTCCATCACTTTCTTTTCCTCTTTTCTGGGCAATACTCCATCCTTGCCTCCAAGCCCCCTAGTACCTAGGTGCCATGTCTTCATCTCTCTCTCCCATTCGAACCTTCCCAATTTCCTGTGTATTTGCTCCCAGGAGGCTCACGTTCAGTCCCGTAGCCTATCCGCCCTTCTCAGCCCAGAGCTCTTCCCTCAGAGTGCAGTGCAGCCATCTGCTCGGGAACCTGTGCTGATGGGATAGCAGTTGATAATGAGTTACTTGTTCATCTCCTGGGTAACCTGTTTGCTTTTTAACTGGAGCCTCCTAGGGCCAGTGCCTGTGAGGGGAAGAGCTTTAGAAAGTCAGCCTGAGAGAGGGGCACCGTGTGGAGGGAATTTCTCGGTCAAGTTCAAACTTGATCTGTCTAGTATTTTCCAGGTCTCTGGAGTTCCATCTGCCTCCAGAACTGAAGTCAAAGGTGAAACATAACCACCAGCTTGGCCTGAATTTGATAGGGGCTGCAGAAGAGAGGATGTTCTGGCCACACTTACATTACTCCAGCAGTCTCAATCGGCTACCTCCTTGGGGTTATAATTCTGTTGGCTTTTTTCCCCAGTTGGTCCAGAAAGGGGAATGACAAGATGAAGACAGGAAGACAGGAACACTTTTCTCTGCTTTTCCCATAATCTCTGCATGTGAATGGAGACCTGTTTATGGTCACTTATTACCACCCCCTGTCTCTCCCCGATATTTTGGCTTCATTTACAGTGGGGATTAACATGATCTAGAGGCAGCCTTCTGGGTTCTTTTGTGATAATCTAAAAATAAACAAAGCCCAAAGGATCCATTTCTTCTTCCCATTAATTTGAAGAAAGGCAGATGGTGCCCAATAACCTGATTTGAATTGCCAATAAAGTGCGTCATTTTTTTACTAACTTGCCATTAAATTTTAACGGATGGTGTCCATGGTGCAGAATGAGCTCCAAGAGAGGTTATTCAAAGCCCGTGGGGTGGGATAGTGAGCAGTCAGTCTGTGTCCACACAACCTCCCTGAGGAGGAGGAGATTTGGAGCAACGAGAGAGGCTGCAGAGGGCTCTGAACTGTTGAGAATCTAGGGAAAAATGCAGAAAGGGGTGAGCTGGCAGGAAAGTGGTAGTTTTCAAGAAGCTTGAGACCCATGTTGTAAATTTGAGGGCACCAACCATATCTCACCTATTACTACTTCCCCACTACAATTAGGTGTTCCGAGGGCAGTCACTAAAGGCTGGCTGAAGGAGTGATGCAAACTTTTGATGGGTGGAAAGCATACATTTTAGTGAAGAGGGAAGAAAACACAACCAAGGTAAGAAAAGGAGATACCTCCCACAACGTACTGCAGAGTTGAAAGAGTCCTAGACTTGGGGACTTGGGTTCTACTCCTGACTCTAACAGTACATCACTGAGAAAAGTCTTATAAGTCTCCAGATGGAGGAAGATAGGTAACAAATTGCTGAAGGGACTTGCCTCCTTCATCTGCAACCAGAACCTGAGACTCCAAAACCTTCTAGTGATACTTCCACAAATGAACACGTTTGCTCTTTGCTTATGTGCTCAGTGAATGGTTTATTGAATTTTCTGACTCAAAATGGTTAATTCTGTTGATTTTTTAAAATGTCAAAATTAAATGGCTGGACTGGAGATCGATAAGATCCTTTTCAACCCTAAAATTCTATGGTGTGTTCTACAATGTTTGTAAAAAGCCAAGTTTTGTTTTGCTAGTGCAGAGTCTCAGGGTCCCCAGGCCAGCCTAATTCAGTTAGGGTATGGGAATACCTTGCTGGATCATCATCTGGGAGGAGAATAAATAGTGGCATGGCCATCTCTGCTCCAGGAATTAGACATGTTGCTCCAGTGTGCTGGACTTCGGTAGTTTTCCCTGCTTGTTATCCTTTCCTTCTATTCCTTTCAGCTCTCCCCTTTGGAGAACCACCTCTCTGCCATTCTCAATCCATGTGGTGATGGTCAGGCTGAACTTCTCACCCATTCGTCAAGTGGGCACTTGACTAATGTTCGGCCAACCAGAATATTCTACACCCTCTAGCCACAGTGTTTGCTTCAGGAATGAGAACTTAAGACAGCCTAATGAAAATCAGCCTATAAGGATTTTTGCCAGAACAATTGAGAATGAGACTCTCTCTTTGCTTTAGAGTCACTAAACTACATGGATATAAGCTTGAAGCTGCAGGTGGCCATCAACCCTTGAGGGGATCCTGGGCCTGAAAATGAAGGCATAAAGGAAAACAAAACTGAGACATAGAGAGAGATGAATTCCTTGAACATGATGCCTGAAGTTAGATTTGCCCCTGGCTGTTTCAGTCCAATGAGCCAGTAAATTCCCTCTTTTACTTAAGTTGATTTTAATTGGGTTTTGTCACTTGCAATGAGAAATGTCCCAACTAACACAGTCGCCTTGATACTCAGGGTGATATGCAGGGAGAGGAGAAAGAGACACCTGCAATATAGTGAGCAAATT
This sequence comes from Homo sapiens, assembly GCF_000001405.40. Classification (NCBI taxonomy): domain Eukaryota; kingdom Metazoa; phylum Chordata; class Mammalia; order Primates; family Hominidae; genus Homo; species Homo sapiens. Next base: position 159,562,534 of record NC_000005.10, read on the forward strand.
CAGTGAGCAATAGCATAAATACAGCTAAAATACAACTGATCAGTTAATACTTGACCCATTGTAGTCACAGTGATAATGTGGTGGGGAGGGTTTGGTAAAGCAGAATCCTCAAGCAATTGGCATCAGGGTCATCCAGGGAGGTTTTTTTTTTTTTTTCTTTCTTAAGAATTTAGATTCCAGGGCTTTACCCAGACCTACTATTCAGAATCTGTGAATAGAGGCCTGGAATTTGCTTTCCTAAAAGATTCCCAGGGTATAAAGTTTGATATTCACTGTCCTAGTAATGAGAGCTCAGACTTTGAAATTAGAAGGTTTGGGTTTATATCTAGTCTCTGCCATTTACTACTTGTATGACCTTGGGCTAATAACCTTCAGTCTCAGCTTTTTCAGTGGTTAATAATGCCTCATAGGGTTGTGAGAATAAATAAGAAAATGTATTCATGTAAAATATTTACCCTGCTGCTTTTTTATATAGGGAAATTTAGAAACTATTGTTATTACTAAAACCTACACCTATAAGAGAAGGGAGCAGACTTAAGAAAATGCAAAAGAAACATATAAGCATTACGTTTGAATTATGGTGCTCCTTGGAATCTATGACATAGCAGGCATAGTGGTTAAGACTGAAGTCTCTGGAGTAGGAATGTCTGAATGAAACTCTGGTTCTGCCACTTACCAGCTATGTGACCTCCTGCTGAGCTGCTTGTGCCTTTGCTTTTTCATCTGTAAAATGGGATTAATATTGGTACTTAACTTACATCTTTTTTTGGGGTAATGATGAAATAAGATCATGAATGAGAAGGGCATAGATGATACTTGCTAGTTTTATTACGACCATTTTCTTCTTTTCCAATTACATTAATGCTTTTCCCTTGTGGTTAACCCCCACATAGCTTTATTCCTCTGAGATCCTCTTCCACTGGCCTCTGCTCTTTTATTAAATAAAGAAATTAGATTCAGAGATGGCCTCCCACTCCCAGCCTTGAACTTGAGTTGAATCTCCCTAGAGAGGGCCCAAGGCTGGGGAATGGTAGAGATACCTGCTTTGTGCTATGGGGCCCTGGTTTTTATGCTGACAGCCTACGTGCTTGGAGAAGTGTCTGGAACTTCAAGTTGACATTTGCAATGTGTCAAAGCCCTGAGCATTTCCTTTCTAACCGAGCCCTAGGAAACCTCAGGGCCCAATGTATTAAGCACATGAAGAACTCAGGGCCCAATGTATTAAGCAAATGAAGAAAAAGCAGCCGTGTTTGGGCAGTAAGTCATGCTGATGGATGTAGCACTCCAGTCCTGCCTACTATATCTGTGTAGGTATTGAACATCCAAAGATCTGTTCCATACAACTTTTCAAGTGAAAAAAAAATAACAGCAAGCCTCATAACAAGAAAATAATTGCAGGAGCAAAATGACAATGTTTGGCAGTGCTGCAAAAGTGCTTGGAAGAATTTGAGGAAATATCTGTACCTGAAATACAAGTTGTGCCTCATCTTCCTCATTTATTAAGTTGAAACATAATATTTAATGTTGCTTTTAATCTGGATTATTTAAGATTCTTAGATTCAAGATTCTATGACATTATCCAAAGGCACTTCTCTTAGGAAGTCTCTCTGTTCCCACTGGTTTCCAACAGTGGGAGGTGGGATGGGTGACATCTGCAGATAAAACCAGGCCGTGCTGTTGAACAGTTGGCAAATCCAAGTGATTCTCTTCTCCCTGGAATGGGTGCAGGGTTGCATATTAATTTACAATTACTCATAAAGTAGACAGCAAAGGCTTCTCTTTTGTCAACACTTAGACATACAAATTAGGTAATATTGAATGGGCAATGAATATTTCATTTCCACCTTGCCTCCTGGTGCCAATCACTGTAAATGAGGCTAGATTAATATCCGAAATGACTCACACTCCGTTAGGTATCCAAGTCTGGGCCCCTCAGACTCGCTCTATTTTGGCCTTAATTTGTCAGCTGGATTTTGTTAGTGACTATGCAAGACAGAAGCAGGAACACATAGTTTACCTCAACTTTATGCTGGACATGAACTTCAGTGTTTCAAAGTGATCTTTGGTTCTGATAATATGGCAGAGCAAACTTGTACAAAGGATGAATAAAAAATAGAAATAGAATTTTTAAAAATATTCCGGCATAAAAGAAAAAAAAAATCCCCAGGTACAAGAATTGAAGAGAGAAATCAAAGCCAGGGCAGTAATGGAGAGTTGGTATTTCAGCAAAATTTTCTGACCCAGATATAAGCCCTAAGAGCTGAAGGTTGGGGATTTAACACCCACTGGGGTACAGGAAATGTGGCCTCAAGCCCTTGCTAGGTAGGGAAAATAGAACTAAGCTTCAGCATAAAGCCATGAGCCTTGAAAAGTTGCATTGTCCGTGGGATGGTGACTACAAAAACTCCACATCTGAGTCCAGGAAAGAAGCAAGTAAGCTTGCCACCCATCTAGAACCCCAGTTAAAAAAAAAAAAAAAAAAAGAAAAAGAAGCTGTGTCCAAAAAATCAAAACCCCAGGTCTGGGCCACATATGGGCATGGTATCTAAATGTATACCAGTGATAAGTTAGCATAGATTGCCTAAGTCTATGAAACCCCTAGGATATAATAGGGGAAATTGTGAAACTGAATTGTTGGGACATTTTTACAAATCAGGGCATGAAGTACTCACACCCAGAAATTTACCATCATAAGGAAGATACTAAATGCTTCAAAAGGATAATTAGCACCTTAAAGATTCGAAATAATAGAAATATCTTTATGAGACTATAAAATAAGAGCATTTAAAATTATTAAAGATAGAAGAAGTAGTATGATACAAGAAGCAGAAAATTCAAAAGAAATATATAAATAGGACTCATGCATAAGTTGGTTTGCCCAGCACGGAGGGATTTCTCAGGAGACAAGATTCTCAATACTAAGGGAGACTCTCATTAGGCAAAGCATGTGGTGGTCATGTTACTTCCACTGGGTAACCAAAGAGGTTTTAATGAAGAGACCGTTTACAAACGTGTGGACAGAATTTGGGGAAACCAGCAAGGAACAATACAGCGCCCTGGACCTAACCACAGGGAGCCACTACTACCAACTCTGGGAGGGAAACGGCCGACAGAAGTCAGGACTAACTTGCAGCTCCCACTCAGGCAGGCAGAGCAGCGTGTGGAGACCCACATCGTAAACTTTTGCTCCATTACTATCCTCAAGTCTGAAGGGGCAAGGAGAGGGTGCCATTACTGAAACTCCGAGAAATAAGCCCCACGGAGAAGCCCTTAATGGAAGGAAATAGGAAAGAAGCAAGGAGAATAAGCACACCATTTTCACTCTCCACCTACCTTCCCTCTGAACTCCTGTTGAGACCTCCCATTGGCCAGACTCAGCTAAAAGCCAGAGAGCAAAGAAGTTCTTTGACCTAGTCTACACAGGCCAGCCTCCTGAAACACAGATCAAGAAGGGTGCAGAATGGATCTTGAAGGGTAAACGAAAAACAGTCGGGACAAAAGCACAATGAAATTGACCATCTGAATACCTGTATATAAAACCTTGCAAGTTAAAGCAGGTTGTGCAAAACCAGAGTTAGGAGGAAAATAGCAGGCTAAAAGTTAGAAGAGCTGAGCCCTGGTGACACCTTTGGTATTTACAATCAGTGTGACTTTGAGAAAGTGTCTTTGTTTACTCAAGCTTCTATATTATTAATTAAGAATGAGGCTGGGCATGGTGGCTCATGCCTGTAATCCTAGCACTTTGGGAGGTCGAAGTGGGTGGATCACTTGAGCGCAGGAGTTTGAGACCAGCCTGGGCAACATGCCAAGACCCTGTCTCTACCAAAAGAATACAAAAATTAACCAGGCCTGGTGGCACACACCTGTAGTCACAGCTACTCGGGAGGCTGAAATAGGAGAATCGCATGCACCTGGGGAGGTCAAGGTTGCAGTGAGCCATGATTGTGCCACTGTACTCCAGCCTGGGTGACAGAGTGAGATGCTGTCTTAAAAAAAAAAAAAATTAACAGTGAAATTTTTCTAGAATAGAAGTCTCACACTGGAAGCCCTTGGATCAAATCTTAGTGGAGTATATTGTTTACAGAATGTTTTAGACTAAATCTGAATAATTCAATAACATTGAAAAATTGAGGAAAATTCATAAAATAATGTGGATTTCTAGCTTTCTTTGTGTTTTCGTTTGGCAACAATTGTCTAAAGGCAAGGTCCTCACTCCCATTTCTACACCGACCATCCCTTCTGGCCCACTTCACTCATTTCTGTTACCTGCCTGCAGCCCTGTGGGAACTGGTATTTGCAACCTTGAATAGCACTTTCAACTTTCAGGTTTAACAGTCTGTGAAATTTAAGGCATCACTGTAGGTTTTGACTATGAACATGGGCTTTCTGAGTTTTTTAATCGAGGTGGATTGGGAAGTTGGCAGGTGGCTTTTTGCATATCTTCCTTTACATCTTAAACACAGCACATATGCAGTTTTATGAAGCATATGGTCTTCCATGTGCATAACTACACTTTGTTGATTTTTCCTTTTCCTAAGTTCTCCAAAAGCCCAGTAGAATAAACACAAGCTGCCACTTGGAAAACAATTCTGAAGAAAAGCCCATCTGGGGAGAAAAAGTGAGGCAATCCAAAAAGCCGCCAAGTGACCACATTTCTGGAGTAAGTTTTTACAGTTCACAGAGACCATGACTCTTTTCTCCCCTTGGCATGATATATGATGAGCATGGTGTCAAACAGCTCGTGGTGACATTGCCTTTGCTCTTTGGGCTTGTGGCAGGGAATGGGTGAAAAAGGCAAATTCAACCTTTCTGTGGCAGACCTTGATTGGAAACAACGTGTGAACATTTTACCTGGTGATGAGCCCTGAGTTTTACATCAGCCAACAGCCATGGCAGCAGATGACAGAAAAAAACGGAATCTTTTCCAGACTTGGAGAAAGATAAATCTGAAAAGGAGTTTTTCCCTATAGACCAGCTCTGCTTAGGAGATACTCACTGTGAGTTGTCAGATCAGGGAACTTTGAGGTAAGCATTAATGAGAATTGCACTAACTTTCCCTGAGGGACCAAGAAACTGGGATTCTCTAGCCAACATTTTGTCCTGAGAACGATTGCTCACCCAGCTCCATGGAGGATTTTCCCTTCAGCCCATCCCTCAGGGCTTACCCTGTGCACAGTTTCAGCTACTACTGGAAAATGACTCAAAGAATTAAAGTGTTGAAATAGATGCCCCTAACTCCTTTGCTAGAATAAACAAGGATTGTGGGTAGAATGTAAATTATTAAAATGCATTAACTTTCTCCTGGACAAGTCTGGTGCTAATCACCTTTGCCGCGAGGAAAGATAAATGGGTTGTGCGTGTTGCAGGCTGAACTGGCACCTGACGAAATCGTGAAGTAGCAAAGTTTGTCTTGATGATTCCTGTTCCAGAACATCTCCTATTCCCTTTCTGGAGTCCTTTTGTTGTCCACCATTTCCCATTCCTGTGCCTTCCTGTTGCACACCTGATACCTCCTATTAGCTTTATATGCCTGTCTCCCCTCCAAGCGCAGCTGTCCCCTGGCCCTCATCAAGGCTCACTTCTCCTCTGTGCCACTATGTCAATGAGATTTCCTGATGGATAGGGTGATCTATAATTTAGTATCCAAAATTGGACACGTTTGAGAGTAAAAGAGAGTTAATAATAATCATCATAGTCTGTTTGGGCTGCTGTAATAAAATAGTATGGACTGGGTAGCTTATAAGTAACAGACATGTCTTTCTTACAGTTCTGGGGCCTGGGAAGTCCAAGATCAAGATGCTGGCAGATTCAGTGTCTGGTGAGGGCCTGCTTTCTGATTCATAGATGGTGCCTTCTCACTGTGTCCTCACATGGTGGAAGGAGCAAACAAGCCTCTTTGGGCCTCTTTTATAAGGAAACGATCCCATTCATGAGGGTGGAACCTTGCAAAATGCCCCACCTTCTAATACTATCACCTTGGGAGCTAGAATTTCAACCTATGAATTTTTAGGGGGACATAAACTTCACATGATATCAATCATTATACCTACATGACAACATTTTAGTCCACCCCCAAGAGTATATTTGTATTTCCACAGGGTCTTCTAATGATATTTTGTCTTGACTCCGAAAGGGACCCTTAAGGTTGAAGATTCTGATATTCTGACATAGTAGCAGGTGAGCTCAACAATTTGGGGGCAGGTAAGGCTTTTGTAGCAAATCAGAGCAAACCATGTAAGTGTCTAGGGAGTCCCATTTAGAAATAAATAAATCTAACACCTACCTTTGGAAACTTTTAGTTTAATTTGGAAAGTCAGGACCAACAGGGATGAAAAGTGTTTGAGACAGGTTTAGAGAAAAAAGTGATGGGTGTCACTTTTTAATTAAAACAAATTTTAAACCTCCATCCTCTTCACCCCTACAACAACAACAACAACAAAATACTAAACTATACTATTTATGGAGGTGGGAACTTACCTTCTATGGGCTGGCAAAAGTAAGTAGATTGACCAAAAAATAGCAAGGATTATTAATAAATGCTATGAGAGAAACAAACTAAGGGTGAAGACAACCAAGTAGGGCTACTTCAGGTACAGTCAAGAAAAGCCTCTCAGACAAGCTGGCATTAGTCTTAGACCTGAAGTATGAGGATGGCCCAGCCATGTGAAGAAGCAGGGGACAGCACCCAGGACAAGAAGGCAACACATGCAAAGGCTGTGATTCCTGGGGTGAGCTTGAGGTGCCTGGAGGATGGTCAGGGAAAGATAGTGTGGAACAAAGTAAATTGGAAAGGCAGGCTGGAACCCTGAAAGTCTCCATAGAGTCTGGATTTTATTCTAAGTGTAATGAGGATCACTTGAAGTTTATGAAATTTACATATGCTGAAATGTACAGAGCTTGAGTGTGCCATTCTACCAGGAGTGATAAGTCCATATGCCCTACAACAAATTCCCTAGTCACAACATAGAATATTCCCATCAACCCAGGAAGTTCCCTTATGCCTTTTTCCAATCAATTACCACCCCCAATAGGCAATCACTCTTCTGATTTCCATCACCATATATATGTTTTGCCTATTCTTAACTTCATATAAATAAAATCATACACTATGTATTGTTTTGTGTCTCGCTTTCCCTCAGCATAGTGTTTTTGAGATTCATCCAAGTTGTTCATTCCTTTGTATTGCTAAGTAACATTCTATTGTATAAATGTTCATAATTGGCTTATCCATTCTGTTGAAGGGCTTCCCCCAGCCCCCAGGTTTTGGCCATTATAAATAAAGCTGCTATAAACATTTCTATATAAGTCTTTTTGAGGACTTCTCCTAGGTAAATAACTAGGAGTGGAATTGCTGGATCACAGACTAGGTATATTATTATTTTCTTTTATGTTTTGAATTAATTAGCTTTATTGTGGTATAATTTACATACAATAAAATTCACCCTATTTTAAGTAAATTATTTGATGAGTTTTGACAAATACATGCAGTGTGTAACCATCACCACCATCATAATATAGAACTTTTACATCATTCCCCAAATTTTCTCATGCCTCTTTGCAATCAATGTCCTTCCCCTACTCATTGTCCTTGGCAGTCATTGATTTGCTCTCTGTCATCACAGTTTTACATTTCCTAGACTTTCATATATTAATGAAATCATATGTTATACTGTCTTTTATGTCTCACTTCTTTTACTTATAATGCTTTTGATATTTATCCATATTGATACATGTATTACTAGTTCACTCCTTTAAATTGCTGAGTAGTATTCCATTGTATGGATATGATACCATTTGTTCATCCATTCATTCATCAGTTGATACACATTTAGGATGTTTTCAGTTTGGGGCTGTTATGAAAAAAGTTGCTATAAATATTTAAATATGATTTTTAAGAGTGAAATTGCTTAGTTATGTGCTAAGTATATGTTAACTTATATGAAAGTGAAAAATATATTCCAATGTAGCTGTTCATTTTACATTTCCACTAGCAATGCCAGAGAGTTCCAGGGGCCTCACAACCTTCTTAAATTTTGACAATTCTAGGCCGGGCACAGTGGCTTATGCCTGTAATCACAGCAGTTTGTGGGAGGCCAAGGAGGGAGGATTGTTTGAGCCTAGGAGTTTGAGACTAGCCTGAGCAACATAGTGAGACCCCATCTCTACTAAAAATATAAAATAAAATAAAATAAAATTTGACCATTCTAGTTAGTGTGTAGCAGAATGTTATTTGATTTGGCTTTTGACAATTTGATTATGGTTTCTCTAGGTGTCAGTCTCTTTGGCTTTATCTTACTTGGAGTTTGTTGAGCTTCTTGGATATGTAGGTTAATGTCATTGTTGGTTTTTTTTTTTCGTCAAATGGAAAATTTGGTGATTATTTCTCCAAATACTCTTTCTACCCCTTACCTACCTTGTCCCCACTCCCATTTGGCATCTCTTGGTATGCTTGGTGTTATTTCATGGGTCTCTGATGTTCTGTTGATTTTCCTCCATTTTCTTCCCTTTTTATTCTTCAGACTGAGTCATTTCAATTGACCTATCAAGATGCTAATTAATATTTGCAAATTCTTTCTTTAGCCAGTTCACATATGTGGTAGAGCCCCTCTGGTGGATTTTCGCTTCAGCTATTATGCTTTTCTACTCCAGAACTTGTATTTGGTTCTTTTACATAATTTCTATCTCCTTAGTGATAGTCTCTATTTGGTGAGCTATTAGTCTCATAATTTCCTTTAGTTTTTTGGACATGGCATATTTTAGTTCTTTAAAGACATTTAAAATAACTGATTTAAATTATTTGTCTAGTAAGTCTAATGTCTGTGCTTTTTCAGACAGTTTCTATTGTTTGCTTTTTTTCCCTGTATATGGGTCATATTTTCTTATTTCTTTACATATTTCATAATTTTTTGAAAACTGTTATTTTAAATAACATAATGCTGCAAATCTGGAAGTCAGTTTCTCTCCCCTTTCTAGGATTTTTTGTTGTTGTTGCTGCTTTCTGTTGTAGTTATTGTTTGTTTAATGAACTTTACTGACCTAATTCTATCAAATCTGCATTCTTTGTTGAGGGTGGCCACTGAAGTCACAGCTTAATTAGCTTACTGGACAGCTAATGACTGTGCAAATATTGTCTTAAGTGCCTAGAACAAATAAGTCACCCAGTTTTTGCAAAGCAGCTATGTGTGAATACAGGAGCATTCTCTGAACACTTAGCAAGAGAGTTGACAGCTCCACCTCAGCCCTCAATTTTCTCTTTCATGGAGCCTCATGGTCAGCCAGAAGTGAGAGCTTAGGGCCTTCTCAGGCCTTTCCTGTCACTGTCCCATGCACATGGCTTCTTAGATATTCAGGAATATGTCAGAGCTTTTCAGAGCCCCTATGGACATCTCATTCCTCAGATTTTCCCTTTAGGCTCTTTGGTTAATCAATTGTTTGCCCAAGCTTTATCCAGTACCTCAGACAGCCATGATGATAAGCAGCTGCCAGTAACTATCTCTGACAAATGCCCCCAGGGAGGCACTGGCTGCGCTCTGACTCAGGTAAATAAATACAGCCTTGCTATTGAAGTCTTCCAGGGAACCACCAGACAGGTCAAATGACAATTCTCTGGGAGTGGGATTTTAAAGGAGCTCTAACCCTACCTATTCTGCCCCTTCCAGTGGCTGCCAGGTTGCTGGTTTTCACTGTGATGTGGGGCTGTTAGTTTTCAAGGCTAAAGTGAAGCTGGAGAATGGGGATGGGAGTAGGTCAACTTACAATGCCACAAAGCTCATTGTTCTTCATAAGGTTCACCTGTTTTTCTTGAATAACTGCTTCCCAGATTCACACAAGACTTTGGTTAATTCCTAGAATTCTGAAAGAGTTAATCCTGACCATTATTGCAAGTTTTCTCATTGCTTTTACAGAGGAATTTTCAAAGACGCTTACTTTGCCATTTTTCTCACTTGGCTTTATTTTGCATTGTCCTAATGACTGATGATATTGAAGAGCTTTTCATATGCTTTTTTGTCATTCTCATAGACTGGGGAAACATCTGCCTAAATCTTTTTACATTAAAAAATTACATTACATTCTTGTTAATGAGTTTTGAAAATTCTTTCTATATTTTGTATACAAACATATCTCTCTACCAGAGATATGTTTGGCCAATATTTTCTCCCAGTTTGTAGCATGTATTTTCAGTTTTGTAACGGTATATTTTATAAAGCAATTTATTTTTATTTGGCTGAAGTCTAATTTATCATTTTTTTTTCCTTTTATGGTTAATGCCTGTGTCCTGTCTAAGAAATCCTTCCCTAACCTAAGGTCACAAGGTTTTCTTCTAGAAGTCTTATAATGTTAGTTTTATGATTAGGTTTATGATCCACTTTGAGTTAATTTTTGTATCTGGTGTGAGGTTCATTTTTGTAAAGGTATATTCACTTGTTCATGAACCATTTATTGAAAAGACTATCCTGCTCCTCATTAAATGTCTTTCACACCTTTATCAAAAATCAATTTACCATATGTAGTGATTCTATTTCTGGATCCTCTATTCTGTCTCATTTTTGTGTATGTCTATGCTTACACCATTATCACACTGTTTAATTAAAATAGTAAGTCTTGAAATTATATGGTATAAGTCTTCTAATTTTGTTTTTTTTTTTTTGATAGGTGCATATTTATAAAAAACTTCCCACAGTATTCCAAAGTAGATGTGCCATTTTATCCTCCAAACAGCAATGTATTAGAGTTCCAGTGGTTTCCAAAGCCCCTGTCAACATTTGGATTGTCCGTCTTTTTTGATTTTAGCCATCCTAATGGGTATGAGATAATATCTCATTGAAATGTTAATTTGCCTTTCCTTGATAATTAATGACTTAGAGCACCTTTTCATTTGCTTTCTGTCCTTACATATGTCTTCTTTAGTGACGTGTTTTGTAAAGTTTCTTTAATTGAGGTTTTGGTCTTTTAATTATTGATTTGTAAAATGATTATATATAATATATATTATAATATATATATATTTTATAATATAGATAATATATATTATAATATATATTATATACATAATATATATATTATGTATATAATATATATATAAACATTTTCCCACACTCTAAGACTTTTTCTTCTTTTTTTTTTTTTTGTCTGAGACAGAGTCTTGCTCTGTTGCTCAGGCTAGAGTGCAGTGGTGTAATCTTGGCTCACTGCAATCCCCGCCTCCCAGGTTCAAGTGATTCTCCTGCCTCAGCCTCTCCAGTAGCTGGGATTACAGGCCTGTGCCACTATGCCTAGCTAATTCTTGTATTTTTAGTAGAGATGGGGTTTCAGTATGTTGACCAGGCTGGTCTTGACCTCCTCACCTCATGATTCTCCAGCCTCGGCCTCCCAAAGGGCTAGGATTACAGGCGTGAACCACCATGCCCAGCCTCTTCCATTTTCTTAACTGTGTTTTCTGATGAGCATTAAGCTTTTAATTTTGATGAAGTCCATTTGATTTTTTTCTTTAATCATTAGTGCTTTTTGTTTTGCCTTTCCCAAGGTTGTGAGTGACTTTCTTAACGTTTTAAAATAGAAACAGCACACTTTTAGCTTTTATGTTTGGATTTATGATTCATTTTGAATTATATTTTTGGCCATTATAGTGGTTAGTTGTTGTTTTTTTCAGATGTTTATCCAGTTGTTTCTGAGCCAGCTCCTTTCTCGCTTTGAACTGCCTTGGTGCTTTCTTGAAGCATTTTTTTTCTTAAATTTTTATTTTATTTAATCTTCACAACAATGCCACTGGGTTAATATTAGCACCATTATATTTATTTATTTATTTATTTTATTATACTTTAAGAATATACATCCTTGAAGCATTTTAAGCAGAGAAGTACTATGATGCATTTGCTGATGTGAGGAATATGGACTGGAGGTAGTAGGGAGATCAGTTAGGAGGCGACTGCAGCAGTCCAGGAGTGTTGTGATCGTGGTTGCAGTCAAGGCAGCAGTAGTGGAGATGGGGAGAAGAGGAAGTCACATTGTTAGTCCAGATTGTTGGACACTGATTTTTGTTGATCCTGCATGCTTCCCACTTTCACCAGTCTCTACAGTTTCAGCACACAGAAAGGGACAACACAATGTGATAGGCCAATTCCATGAATGATGAGTCAAGGGTTAGCAGTTTCAGTCCAGGCTCTGCCACTAAATCTTAACTAATCTTATGAAAAGAGCATTTTCTCATAAAAAACTAGGTCATTAATGATGTTGTCTTTCATACTAAAATGATATAATTCTATGCTGTTTTCTGAATGCTCCAGGAAAGGTGGCCAATGAATTCCTGATGTCAATAAACTCTTTTTTATCTTTACCTTATCTGAGCTCTCTGTAACACTAGGGACTTCACCAACCATTCCTTTCCTCTTGAAATTCTCATTTTCCTGGGCTTCCATGCCTCTACTCTCCTGATTCCCCAATTTTCTCTCTGGTCAGTTTTTCCCAGTCTCCATTGCTGCTTCCACTCCCATTTGCACAACTTCTAAATGTTGGCCTTACCAGGAGTCTTACCGTGGGCACATTCTAATTCCACATCTCTTCTGGGTCATCTCTTTCATATTCATGACTTCAGGTATCTAGATACTATTTCTTCAGGTATCTAGATGCTATTTTACATATTGCTTTTTTCTTTTTTTGAGACAGAGTCTTGCTCTGTTGCCCAGAGTAGTGACGCAATCTCGGCTCACTGCAACCTCCGCCACCCAGGTTCAAGTGATTCTCATGCCTCAGCCTCCCAAGCAGGGGGGACCACAGGCTCAGGCCACCACACCCAGCTAATTTTTGTATTTTTAGTAGAGACAAGGTTTCACATGTTGGACAGGCTGGTCTCAAACTCCTGACCTCATGTGATCCACCCACCTTGGCCTCCCAAAGTGCTGGGATTACAGGGTGATACTATTTCACACATTTCTATCACCAGATGATATCTTTCTCTCTTGAATTCTGAACTTACGTAGTTAACGTTTACCTGGTCATCTGTACCCAGCTATGTCCTAAGTCCAAAATTTAACTCATTAACATATCCTCCAAAACAATCTCCCCTCCTTGATTCCTGTTTTGATGACTTCTATTTCTACCTACCCAACCTCCCAAGTCAGATGCCTGAGAGTCATTCTAAACTCCTTTCTCTCCTTGACTGTCCACAACCAATCCCAAACACTTCCCTTCCCTTTCCTAAATATTTTTCATGTTCTTATCCACGTTGGAAGGCTTATGAAAAAGGGTCACTATTAGTAATAATGCAAAGATAACCAGCGTAAACCAGTACGATTCTGGGCAAACAGCAATGTATGATTAGCCTAAAGTTGAGAAACAGAAATAATTCATTCCAGAGTGGTTTGAGAAAGCACATTGCTCTCGAAGAACTGAGAGAATTACAGTCTGCTTGGTCTAGGATGTGTGATGGGGACTTATACAGTGAGAGATGAAGCTGGAAAAGTCATTGCAATACCAGATTCTGCAGGTGTAAAATGTTTCTCACCTTGAAATTATCCATGAGTGGTAGACAGTACTGGTTGCTTGCTTAGAATTCATTTTCTTTCCTTCCTAGCAAAAGCCATCTCCCATGTAACCACATGCTTCAGGAGAAGCTGACCCTACACCTAGCTCCACTGGTGAGTCTAATTGGTCCAAGGGTCGTCTTGGTCCCTTTGCCAGAGATTGGCTTATGGGGTGAATGATCCAACTCCAGCCAATGAAACATTAGGGGAATCTGCTGAAGGATTTCCAAAAAGAGTTTCCTCATTCCAAACAGAAAACCATAAGAAAGGAATGTCATGCCTATAATTGCTGCAGCTATTTTAATTCCAAGTATGAGGTTGAAACAATCATGGATGGCCAAGTGAAGAGATGGAAAAAGCAGGATTCAGGATAACTTTGTGAGTTGCTAAGTTACCAGCCCCTGCCCTACTTCTGGACTTCTGAAATATGATATGATACTTGCTTTCTTACTTAAGTTGGGTTTTTCTGTTACTTATAGCCAATGACACTCCGATATGCCATGAAATTTAAGAATGTGAAGTAATGGCCTTGACTTTCGCAGAACTGGAAGGAGTGTGACTGCCATGTCACTTACTGTCACTATCACTTGTTTGACAATTACGGCTGCTATTTATCTTACCTTGTGTTGTTGCTTATCCTTCCATATGATTATGTTGAATATCCATCTAATCTGGAACTTTAAAAAATCAAAGTCAGTGATAGATCTTTTACTTCTTTGTAGGCCCATAATCCATTACATAACCCACACATTTTTGTCAATTATTGACTTCCCCCTTATTCTACCCACATAGATTTTTTTGGAAGATGACCAAAATGCTATCTCTATTTGGAGATAATAATTAGTCTCATCTTCATTGGCTTCTTCTCGAATGCGGAGGGAATTATCGGATGAGTACATTGGAACATGGTCGCCATGTGGCCTGCTGCCCCCGTGTACCACTTGGAGACCAGCCTAGCATGGAAATGACCAGATGTTGGAAGCTGAGCTACTGGTGAGTGAAATAAATAAGTTAGCTGTCCCACTTCCCATCTGCATGGACAGCTTCTGCATTGCGAAACTGCAGGTGCTTGTCATTTCACATGGCAGCAGTTAATCTCTTAACCCCTTCCTAAACTTGGCATTGGAAAGCCCTAGATGGCCAATTAGGCTGTGTGGGTGTATGTACACTAGTGCCCATCTGCCACAGGAATGGAAGCAGTGGCTCAACTCACATCAGTACCCAGATACACAGATGCTCCGGGATCTGAGGAAGTGACCTATAGAAAATGAAAAATGACCAGGTAAAGGCAATACGAAGGGAAGTAGAGGGGCTTATTAGGCAGCTCTGGACAAGCAGAGAAAAGTGATGGTTCAACACGTAGGGTGCGCCAAAAATGGGCTTGTTTCACTGGTTATTTGAACACAGAAGCAGGGCTGTCTCCCTCTCTCTCTCTCTTTCTCTCCATTCATTAATTATTTTTCTGAGTAGGCTAATAATATATGCTTTTTGTGAAACATTTGAGAAATGGAAGAAAGTATAAGAAAAAAATAAAAATCACTTATACATGTATCTTCTAATATTTCATTATATCTATACAGGCCCTTTTCTTTCTAGTTTTGTGATCATTTATTCAGTCAACATTTCCACAAATATTTAATGCATTTTGTATGTGTCAGGCACCATACCAGGCACTAAGAATATAGTCGTGATCAATAATTGGCATAATTCCTTATCTCATAGAACTTTGGGTCTAGCAGAAGTGACATATAAACACACAACTGCATTAAGAATTATTTAATCTCAAATTTCACAAGCTCTGCAAAGAACAAGTACTAAGTCTTCGGGAAGAATTGGGAAGTCTGGATGTAGGGAGTGAACCTAAAAGAAAAACTTTGAAGCTGAGACTAGACTAGTCAGAAACTGCTGGCCAGGGGTGAATGTGTTGGTCCTAGAGGGGTAGAGTAGGGGCACGCTAGGAATAGAAAGGAAAATTGCTGGTGGAGGGAACAGCTTGCCTGAGGTCCTGATGAGGAGACAGTGACTAGATGGGGGTGAAATGGCTTTGTGGAAATTAGAAAGAAAAATAGGAGCCAGATCCTACAAGACAAGTGTTGACAAACAATAGCCCAGAGGCCAAATCCAGCACCCCACCTGTTTTTGTAAATAAAATTTTATTGGAACAGAGCCACACCCACTCATTTATATGTCTGTGGTTGTTTTCACACCATGCTGGCAGTGATGAATAGTTGTTACAGAGACTGCAGGGTCCACATAGCTTAAAATATTTACTATCTGGCCCTTTCCAGAAAACTTTGCTGACCTCTGCTATGGGGTTTTGTGGCTGAGCGTATGGTGGAATTCTTTTATCACAAGTACAATGGAAAGGCTTTGAGACGAAAGCAAGGAAGACATCATCAGATTTTTCTTTAAAAGAACTCTAGCTATGGAAGCATGTAGAGATTAGAACTGGGGACTCTGGGTGGATATTGGGCATCTAAGAGTATCCAGGAGACAGTGGTTGATGGTTTGGACTCCATTTGTGCCAAGTGGGCACAGGAAAAAAGAGACAGATTTGAGATCTCTTTAGCATTTGTATCAGACAGGACTTGGTGGCTGATTGGGGAGGGGAAGTAAGGATAGAGAGGTGTTCAGGAACACCCAGGTTTCTGCCTGGTGCACCTGCATGGATGAGGGTGTCATCAACCAGATGGGGAGCCATGGAGGAGAAGCAAGATTGAGAGGGAAAGTCAGGAGGTTTTAGTGCCTGTCTAGTTTAATCACAATGGGTAATACAATAAATCCCCTATTAATGAACATGTAGATTTTTTCTATTATTTTTCTTTTTTAAATAATGCTGCAATGCAGCAAAAGGAACAGTCAGCAGAGTAAATAGACAACCCACAGAGTGGGAGAAATCTTCACAATCTATACATCTGGCAAAGAACTAATATCCAGAATCTACAGCGAACTCAAACAAATCAGTAAGAAAAAATAAACAATCCCATCAAAAAGTGGGCTAAGCACATGAGTAGACAATTCTCGAAAGAAGACATACAAATGGCCAACAAACATATGAAAAAAATGCTCAAAATCACTAATGATCAGGGAAATGCAAATCAAAACCACAATGCAATACAACCTTACTCCTGCAAGAATGACCATAATAAAAAAATAAAAAAAATTAGATGTTGGACTGGAGGCAGTGAACAGGGAACACTTCTACACTCCTGGTGGGAATGTTAACTAGTACAGCCAGTATGGAAAACACTGCGGAGATTCCTTAAAGAACTGAAAGTAGAACTACCATTTGATCCAGCAATCCCACTACTGGGTATCTACCCAGAGGAAAAGAAGTCATTATTTG
Source organism: Homo sapiens (assembly GCF_000001405.40). Classification (NCBI taxonomy): domain Eukaryota; kingdom Metazoa; phylum Chordata; class Mammalia; order Primates; family Hominidae; genus Homo; species Homo sapiens. The sequence continues at coordinate 159,579,400 of NC_000005.10, forward strand.
AAAAAGACACTTGCACAGGCATGTTTATAGTGGCACAATTCACAATAGCAAAATCGTGGAAGCAACCCAAATGCCCATCAGTCGACGAATGAATAAAGAAACTGTATATATATATATATATATATATATATATATATATATATACACACACACATATATATACACACACACATATATAAACATATATGTATATACACACATATATAAACATATATATACGCATACATATACATACACACACACACACACACACACACACACACACACAATGGAATACTATGCAGCCATAAAAAGGAATGAATTGACAGCATTTGCAGTGACCTGGATGACATTGGAGACTATTATTCTAAGTTAAGTAACTCAGGAATGGCAAAGCAAACATCATATGTTCTCACTGTTACGTGAGAGCTAAGCTACAAGGATGCAAAGGCATAAGAATGATACAATGGACTTTGGGGACTTGGGGGAAAGGGTGGGAGGGGAGCAAGGGATAAGAGACTACAAATATAGTGTGGTGTGTACCGCTCGGGTGATGGGTGCACCAAAATCTCACAAATCACCACTAAAGAACTTACTCATGTAACCAAACACCACCTGTACCCAAATAACTTATGGAAAAAATAAAATAAAATAAAAATAATGCTGTGATGAATTCATTTGTGCATATATCTCATTGTTTCCTTAGACTACAATCCTAAAAGCAGAATGGCTGGATAAAAGACTACACACATGTTTAATCTCTTTGATCCATATTGCTAAATTGTCCTCCAGAATGTTATTTCAATTTATACTTGCACCAGTGCGTGCTGCTGCAGCCATTTTTGGTTCAATAGGCACCAAATTGCTCTAGGGTTGGGTGTCAGAATCTGTCCTATGTCTTAAAATAAAACAAAAAAAATCTCTATTGCTTCCAGCTCAAGGTATTAATGCTTGAAAGATATTCCATGTTTGAAGGGATTTTTGTGGTGCTGGCCTACAAGTTGACCTTTTTGACGTGAATAAGAAACATTCTTCAAAACTGTGGTTGACATCCAAGGTAGGAATTCTGGCACAAGAATCTTTCGAGTTCCATTTCTCCTTGGTGTGATAAAAGGTAACTTACAACCCGAGTCACATTAAGCCCCTAATACATGTGAGCTGGTGTTCCAGGCCACATCTTCTGTCTGTCTCCAGAGAGGATTTTGTTTTTTGTGGCACACCCATCACCTGCCACACTCCACAGCCACACCGCACACTCCACAGTTTCAGCTGCCACCTAGTAGCAGCCAGACTCATGAAGCCTTTTGGCACAAGGCCTAGGTTTGCAGCATCAGGGAAGCCTTCTGGGGTGACCATGTCGGGAAAGGGAGGTCTGATGTTGAAGCCAGGCACCCTTGGATATGAATCCCAGTTATATCTATTAGTTGTTTTCTATCTTGTTAGGTCATGTAACTGCTCTGCCTTCACTTTCTTGTCTGTAAAATGGGAGATTTTTATAGCTAGCTCAGAAATTGTTGGGAAGAGTAGTGACAAGGCCCAGCAGATGCTGAAAAATAAAGCTGGGGAGTGGGAGAGGGTCTGTGGAATTTGGGGGGCGTCTGCCCTTGCACTTCAGCCCCGTAAACTCTGAGACCCTAAAGTCTCAGAGTTAATCACAGCTCAATACACCAAATTAATCATAGTCCTTTATTTAAGAAGGAAGAAATAATGAGTGAGTTTAATTTTCCAATCCCACTTTAGGCGGTCAGCTCTCAACCCTGAGTTCTAGTTTGATTGCACTGTGGTCAGCTCTCAAGTAGAGGAAGATAATCATGGGTAAGGCGTGCTGCAGGGCCTGTTTTCTGCAGATGTCTTTCTCACTAGCCGAATGTTCCACCTGAAATTCCAGCATGTATCTTGTTGTCTCCAAGATGCCCTTGTTAAAATACAGATATCTTTAAGGGAAGCTGCTAGACGTTAGCACAGACTCTGGAGTCAGATAGGCTGGGGATAAATTCCCGCTCCCCGACTTGTTAGCTATGTGACTTTGGAAACATTACTTCACATCTCCGTGTCTCAGTTCCTTCATCTGTTCAATGGAAATAACAATAGTGTTAAGGGGAGAGTAGATGAGATAATGTCTGGGACAAGATAAGTGCTCAATTAAAGTTAGCTATTGTTAGTAGCTATTACTAAACCCTGAGAAGAAGGGGTAGGTGGCGATATGACTCCACCAAGAATATGCTTAAGTTTCTCCTTCATCTGGGTCAGTTTCCATAGGCTTTGCAAAATAGATGCTATTTCACAAATGAGGACAACTAAATCTCAGAGAAATTAACTGGTTCTGAGTCACACAGCTTCATCAGGATGCCATGAAGAAACAGGATACAATGCACACTCTCCTTTAGCTGTGCCACCAATAACCCTCCTGCATAACTTCTGGCTTCCTAAGAGAGGACTAATGGTTGTAGCCCCTGAAATCCACCTACACACTCTCCCTGAGATAGTCTGTAGTGGACAGCTCCCAAATGCTTTCCATTTTGAGGAAAGACAGCTTGAAGAGCAACTTGCAAATGCAAGGTCAGATACCAAGCCCAGAGGCCGTACGGATGTCACACCTCAGTTCTTATGGTGATGACTTGGCATTTAGAGATGAAAAAATCATCTCCAAGGCAACGTAGGTGACTTATTTACAGATGATTAATCCCATTGTATACTACTGCCAAATCCACTTCTGGCTTCACGCCTGGTGACATGGGGAAAATACCACGGCTTCTTCGTCTTGGGTACATTTCCATCTGCTGGGCATTCTCTGGGTTCCAGGGGGAGGTGAGTCAACAGTCTGTCAATGCTATGGATTTAGTGTCTTGATGTGGGTTCTAATGAGAGAGTTTTTATAATGTTTCACGCCCTCCCACCCCTGCCAGCCACAATGGTAATATCAAACCCAGAGACCAGGAACAGAGGAACTTGCTTTCTTCCAGCTTTTGATCTTCCACCTAATATGATCAGAGAATTCTTATTTCATTTAATATATCTTTCATAAGTGCCTACTCTGCACCAGATACTGTCCCAGAATAGAAGAAAGTACACTTCCGGAAAATTTGCTATGATCATGAAGAAACTGAACTCAGACAATAATAATTATAATAATATCTCCTATTTATTAAGCATTTGCTGTGTGCCAGTTGCTGTACCAGGAACATCACAGTTTATCCTCCCCAAAGCCCTTGGCTGTAGGTCCTATGGTATCCCTGTTTTTCTCTTAATAAAGATAAAACACAGAGAGGTTAAGAAGCTTTCCCAGGATGGCACAGCTGGGCAAGTGGTGGAGTTGATTTTACGCAAACACAGTCAGTTCTCATTATTTGTGGCAGTTATGTTCTATAAAGTGGCTGTGAGCACTGAATTAACAAGTACTAAACAGTTGCTCCTACAGGAAACACAGGGTTAGATTCCTTTGAGCCTCTGATCAATATATAACCTTGTTTTAATTATGTTTTGTTTAAAGATATCTTATTCAATATACACTTTTGATTCATTAACACTGAACTTATAGCAACAGCACTGTGACTCATCCCCAAATGATGCTTCTCTTACGCATATATTTTGTCTGTAAGGCACACAGCAGCCTTCTACTTAGGATCACTTTAGCACTATGCTTTGGGACCATTTTAAACAACAAAATCACCATCATGAAGCATAAAAATGAGAAAAAATGGGGCACTAAATAGACCACAAAAGAGACACTTGTTCTCAGGCTGAGAGCTGAAATGAAAAAAGCAGAGTGTCACTTTGTTGTCCCACCTCAGCTAGGAATGCTTGTGTTGAGTGACTCAAATTTTTTGCTGCTCTAAGAATACCTGCAAGTGACCACAAATGTGCCATGAGTGTTGATCTTAAAGTTACAAATAAATTTTAGCATGTAGAGAAATTCCATTCATAAGGAGAATTGGGTATAGTCTTATTCCAGAGTATGTTTTTACTCTTATTCACACTTTACCCCCCTGTGGTCAGCAGCCTCTAAGATAGCCTTCAGGGATCCCCACCTCCTGGTCTTCATGCCCTTGGTAACACCCTTGGTAATGCCAATCCCCTTGAGTATGTGCCAGACCTAGTGACTCATTTCTAATGAATAGAATGTGGTATAAGGTCATAGGATATCACTTTCAAGGTTCAGTTACAAAAAAACTATAGCTTCCATCTTGGACACTCTTTCTCTTTTATTAATTTTCTGGGAAGCTTGCTGTCATGTTTTGAACTGCCCTATGGAGAAAGCAACATGGCTAAGAATATGAGAGAGCCAACAGGACAATGAGGACCTCAATACAGCAAGAAACCAAATCCTGCCAACAACCATGTGAGTAAATATATCCTCCCCCAGTCAAGACTTCGAGTGAGATTGCTGCCCTGACCAATACATTAGTTGTAGCCTTGTAAGAAACCTTAGAACCAGAGGCAGTAAGCTAAGCCATGCATAGATTCTTGGCCCAAAGAAACTATAAAATAATAAGTTTTTGTTTTAAGTCACTAAGTTATGTTTTAAGTCACTATGTTTTAGGGTAATTTGTTACAAAGCAAAAGATAACTAGCACAACTGCCTTCTCACATGCTACATTTATTAGATTGCATGGAATTATTAGCTACATTCTTTACAATGCTCTACTACATCTAATCCTCACCATGACCTGGTAAATTACTGATATTATTCTCATTTTGTAGATAAAGCAACTGTCCATCAGAAAGATTGAGTAACTTGACCAAGGTAACACATCTAAAGGTGAATCAGGTTTTTGACCACAGATTTGGTCAACCCCCAAACTCTCAAGCTAGACTTGATTTGCACAATACCATTGAGCTGGGATCAGAATGCATTCCTCTTGATTTCAAGGTCCATTTTTTTTCCTGTTTCTCATTTAAAAAAATAAACCTTCAAATGAAAGAAAGATTATATGAGATGGAAAGATTCAGGTGGACATAATGATATTCAGTGTCTACCACTACTTCTTTCTAATCCTCATCTGCAAAAGAAGGCCTTTGAGCAAAGGATTGGGCAAATGCTATTTCTTACAAAGTTACCGCACCTGGAATCTAATTGTATTAATCTTCTCAGGTTTCCATAACAGAATACCAGAGGTTGGATGGCTTAAACAACAGAAATTTGTTTTCTCACAGTTCTGGAGGCTGAAAGTCTGAGACCAAGGTGCCAGCATGTTCAGTTTCTGCTCTGGCCCCTCTTCCTGAGTTGTAGATGTCCACCTTCTTGCTTTGTTCTAACACGGCTCTCACAGAGAGAGAGGGTTCTCTAGTGTATCCTGTTCTTGTAAGGACACTAATTCCATCAGATTAGGACACCTTATAACCTCATTTAACCTTACTTCCCTAAAAGCCATATCTCCAAATACCATCACATTAGAGGTTAGGGCTTCAAGATAGGAATTTTGCGGGGGTGCTGGTAGGGGACATAATTCAGTTTATAATATAAATTGACATTCATTTATTGGCCACTAGATCCAAAACTGGATAGAGATTAAGGATGCCACTCCCAGTGTATAAGCCTGAAACTTGATGTGGAAAGGGACCAAGAGATATCCAGTAACCAAATCAACTTCTTACCTCTCTACTCCTTGATTTCTGACAGACACACTGAGACTGATAACCCTGCAGTGGAGGCCTGAACTTAGGCTATGTGTAGCATTAGTAAATGGCTCAAACAACTCCAAACTCCTCATTTTACAAATGAGGACCTTGAAGCTCAGAAAGATAAAATGACTTGCCCAGGGTTGCAGAGCTGGCTAGTGGCAGGGCCAGGCTTGGGTTTAAGTATAATGGCTTTCACCCTCATGCCCCTTCCCCTTGGCCAGGCTAGAAGATGGGTGTCCTGAGAAACCCTCAGAAGGAGAACACTGGACAAATCCTTGAAGTCTCCCGGGCACGTGGGGATTGTGATGGAGGGGTGTATTGTGTGTGTGAGTGTGTGTATGTGGAGTGTTGCTGGGCAGCACAAGACAGCATAGCTGGCACCTTTGTTTTCCTCATGATTCAGTTTCTTCTCTTGGGCCCCTCTTCCTGTGTAAAATAAAAGCCCCTCCTGGCAGTTTACTAAGGGTAGGGATTGACAGACTTTTTTTTTTTTTAGGCTCTTTAGGCCAGACGATCTCTCTTGCAACTCAACCCAGCCATTGCCGCTTAAAAGTAGCCATAGACCATGTATAATCAAATAGGTGTGGCTGTGTGCTAACAAAACTTTATTTACAAACAGAGAGCAGGCTGGATTTGTTCTAAGGATATATTTTGTAGAGCTGCTAGAGCTAGGGTGCTTTCTTTGTCCCTGACAAACATCCTCACATGAACTTACTCATCCCTTTTCTTATTTTGCCAAGTTCTCAGATTCTGAAGACCAGGACTCCTCATGAATCTGTCAGCCCCCCTCACCCCAGCTCTGGGCCTCTGTGTCACCACCACTGCCACCTCATCATTATTTTATTTCATGCCAGTCACTAGACTAAACACCTTACAGGCTTTATCACATTTAATTCCTTCAGCAACACCAACAGGTAAGTATCACTCCACATCTAACACGACTTGCCTGAGGCTTAAAGAACTAAGTAACTTGTCCAAGGTTGTTGTAAATACTAAGTGCAGATTTTTACCTTTTTTTTTAAAAAAAAATTTGTGAATCCCAAGCTCTTAATAAAATCTCTACTAACTCCTGAGTAGATGGTTTTAAACTAGCACAATGAGAAAAATCACCAAAGTTAAAAGAATATAGAGTAACAAGCTGAACCCTTTAATCTCAATTGTAGGCCTAGAGATCTAGAGCAGTGCTCACTAGGCCAGGGAACAAATGAAGGTGAGCATCAGATTCTGCTGGGGAGATTGTTAAAATGCACATTCCTGGGCCCCGCTCTCAGTTATTCTAATTTCTTAAACACAGGAGGAGACCCAGGAATCTGCATTTAAGCGAGCATCCCAGATTCTAGGACCAGTGAGAGGCACACAACTTCTGAGGTCCTACTAAAAAAATGCTGTCATCAGACTTGATGCAGCTAAGATGCTTTGGGGCATCTACTTCTGCATCTCCGGTCCTTTTGGATGGCTCAGCAGCATGACAGCTCTCGCTCTGATTCAGCACTAATGTCCTAACATTATGCTCCTTAGAAAGCATAACTGCTGTACTTTAAGTACAGCCCCAGGAGAATGAGAGCTCTGGTTTTCTTTCCTTTTCTCTTCTCCTCTTTTATTTCTCAATTCTTGGCATGTCTATGAATATCAAATGAGTGAATTTTATCAGAAACTTTTAATTTCTTAATGTGGCCCTTTCAAGCCCCCCCCAGGACTTCGGGGAAAAGAGAAAGGGCTCATTTCAATTTGAACCTTCAGTAATCGCACTAATACAAATAAGCAAGGGATGACTACTTGGCACATACATGGTTGGTATTTATGAGAATGTGGAGGTTAATGCAGATTTTGCATGCACGATTTTTTTCTTCTGCTTGGCGATTTAGGCACTCACATCTCTACCCCACCAGCAGCGTCTTAGAGGCAGTGAGAACTCTATTTTAGAAGGTGAGTCTGTCCTTTCAAGTTGACAACTTGCTTGCCTTTCGGTCCAACCCCAGTCACCTGCCCCAGACCCATTCTAGAAGTGTCCCATTCTCCTCATGAATGAGAAATGAATGTGCTGTTGCAGGCTCGCAGGCACAATGCATCATTCTGAGTGTGTGCTGGGCTCCTCGGCTTATATTCCAAACATGCTGTGAATGCTCAATTGCAACCACTGGGTTTCTTCAACCTGACTTGCAATCAAATGGATATCGTTTGTGCGGGGGTGGTAGAAAGTGAGTAATGGTGTGTAGTTTCATGGAGATGCTTGTTCTAATAAAATATTTCAAGGTCCAGTGTTCCAAATCTCATTACAATTTTGCTATGAAAAGAAATGGGGTATGTATGTGTGTGTATTTGTGAGAAACTGGTAACAGGTAAGGTTTCTTTCTTTCTTTCTTTCTTTCTTTTTTTTTTTTTGAGACAGAATCTTGCTCTGTCACCAGGCTGGAGTGCAGTGGCACAATCTCAGCTCACTTCAACCTCCGCCTCCCAAATTCAAGCGATTCTCCTGCCTCAGCCTTCCAAGTAGCTGGGACTACAGGTGCACGCCACCACACCCAGCTATTTTTTGTGTTTTTAGTAGAGACGAGGTTTCACCATATTGGCCAGGATGGTCTCAATCTCCTGACCTTGTGATCGGCCCACCTCAGCCTCCCAAAATGCTGGGATTACAGGTTTGAGCCACCACACCTGGCCTATTTCTTAATCTGTTAGGAAAACAGAAAACAGCCCGGGAAAAGAAAGAAAACAGAAGTCAAGACGTCCCATCTGTGATACAGAATAACCCATGACTTAAGAATATTTCATGTAATGACTTCAAACTACAGTAAGACTTCAGTACTTAAGAGCATAGATGTTGGAGTGAGATGGTTGGGTCTAAATCTTGGCTCCACCATTCATTGGCTCTGTGTCTTTGGGAACCTTCCATAACCTCTGTAAGTCTCAGCCTCCTTGTCTGTAAACTGAAAGTAATAATAGTCCTTCCATCATTAGGCTGTTGCAAAGATAAAATGAAATAGTGTATGTAAAAGTACTTGCATGCCTGGCACATAGTAGGAGCTCAATAACTGTTAGTTTTCCATTCATCAGGTTTTCATTCAAAAAACATTTATGAAGTGCCTGTTACATGTCAAGCACCATTTTTACGTACTTATGAAAAAGCAGTGCACAAACAGACAGGAATCCCTACCTTTATATCTAACGGGGTCAAGCAAGTAAAACGCAACTGATATGAAGTGGTGTTGAGTACTTTGGAAAAAATGAAGCTGGGCAACAGCGCTAGGTAATGGCAGAGTGAGCAGGGGTCATTTTCCTGCTGCCCCTGAGCTGCATGAGGATTGCAGTCTGGGACATAAGGAGTGGTGTGGGAATGTTGAGTGTCTTGTAATGATAGAAGAAAACTGGGAAAAGAGGCATAAAGAAATTAGCACTGACCTAATGATGTCAAGGCAGAGAATATTAGTTAATGGAAGCTTGGGAAGAAGTGGCTTTATAGATGATGATTATTATCTTTACTATAAAAGGCTCCCCAGCTTGGGATCAATGGATGAGATAAAGGGGGCATCTGGAACTCCTGAATTTTTATGTAAAATTATATACATATGGGTAGGTATGTGCAAGGAGAAATTTCATACATTTTATCCCATTCTCAAAGGGACCGAAGACCAAAACAGAGTTAGGACTGCTTATCTCCTTGGTTCATAAGAAGGTGGCCACACTGAACAGTGTCAGTTGACACCTTTTGTCCTTGCAAGAGTATGAATGATGCTCCCTTTCATCCTCCAAGCTGTGGAGATAATTTTAGGGTCTCCTGAGCTGTAAGGCTCCTACCTTACTTCTTTGTTTGATGCATCCCTACATCTCTTAGACGGTATTCAGCCCTGGGTTGAGAAAAAGAGTCTAGAACACCTTTCAAATGGAATATTGGGAGCACAGGTTGTACAGCTCACTATATGCCTAGGCTGATGTCCTTGGGTGTTCCCTGACCACAGAGGAGAGGACAGGAGTGGCTCCCCTTTAGGAATCGGGGTAAGTTTCCAGAGGATTCCTTCCAACATGCTCTTTCCCATAAGTTCGCTTTCACGCGCTCCCTCATTTCCCAAACTGAAACTGTAACAGTGTGCCAACTTGGCTGTAGGCAGGACAAAGCAAAAAACAAAGCACCCGGACAACCAATAAGATAGATGATGAGAGCTGGGGGCCCCTAACACTGGGAACTTGGGTGGCAAAAATCCCAGATCTTTTTCCACTGGACTAAGCTTGAGGTATGTGTCTGAGTGTCCAAGAAGTTTATTGAAAATGGTGACTGGAAGATCCTTCCCTTCTAGGCACTTAAAATGTCTGAATTTTGCTTCCTTATCAGCAAAACGAACAGAGGTAAATGGAAAGTAAATGTTAAGCTGCATAAAGAGCCAACAGAATTAAATATAGATGAGTGACCTAATTCTAGCATCCCCACTCCTGACTTTCTACTTCATTTCTTTTTGGTCTCCTTATGTGGCTACCACTTTCCCTGAACAAGAAAGACTTTGGTTAATGACTTTGGACTCTTTTGGGTCTTCTGACCTTGGAGCAGCCAGAAAATAGAGCTGTGTTCATAAAAGAGAGAGAAAAAGAAGAAAAAAAGCAAGAAACTGGGAATTGGAGTGTCCATTGAGTGTCCATTGGAGTGACCCTCTTGGTCATTTTTGGAAGGCTCATTGTTTAAGTTTGGAAGTCTAAGGCCATCGGTGGATCATGTTACATTTGCTGCATGGCTTTGGTATTATAAGTGTAAACCCACTAGTGGTGGGCTTTCCAAATGATTCAAATTTATTATAAAATTATTGGACATAACAAAAGATTATCCAATATGAAACTATCTAATCTGACTAAACCAAACATTTTCTTAAGATATACCACAACATAGGCACATACAGATTCCTTTGGGAGAGAAGAGGCCACAGCACCCCAATCCGTCTACATGGTATTGTGATGGCTCATGTGGGTGTGGCTTGAAGTTCTGGATGCTCTCTCACTCAGAAGCCACCTAGAACAGTGCTGAGGATGGGATCTTGGATGAGGTCCAGAGTTCCCAGTCCGAGACTGCACCTTCAAGTGCCAGGACAGTGGAAGCAAGTGTCATGAAGCTGTGGAAGCTCAGGGCTCTTATACTTGGTAAACCCTGCTGGATATGACCAGTGTGCATGCTGGCTCTTCTACCCCCACCCATCAGGCTGTAGACTTTACGTTTACACAAATCAGGCAATCCTAATATGTTGATCCTGATACTATGCAGTGGCCCTCGATGGGATGTCGGCAGCTCTATTAGATTGATACAATAAAGTATTATGGGACTCAGAGTCATAATTGAACATATACACCATACTGTGCAGAGGTCATGGGTCAAATTGAGTCAAAAAATGTTTTTTTTTCTACTTTTGTGTCGTTTTTGCCTTCACAGTGGGTTTGTTTGCTTGTTTTTGACACTCACATTTTAAAACCATGAGACTGCATATGACAATGCAATTTCTGGTTTTGTGTATATGTGTGTGTTTTTTTAAACAGAAGATATAGGTTTCCTAGGCCCTCATTATCACACACCAAACAGGAGCAGACATTTGCTTTCCATTTGGCTCCTGTTTCTACCTGGCACAGTCCTCTGTCCCTGCAGGCATGTCACTCTGCTGCCTTGATTTGGAAGCCTAGATTCTCCTACAGTCTCAGGTCCAGACTGGTGATGTCCAAGACTCCATTTAAGGAAGGACCTTCCCAATGACCTTCTCTACCCTTTCCGGATGGTAGTATCCGTGGCTGCTACCTGCAGGACTTGGCACATCACAGAGAGACTGTGATGAGAGCCCACGACTCCCTTAAGATGAAGGCACTAGTGTTAGAGCACCCCATGAGTAAAGGGGAAGTGTCTTAGTCTATTTGTGCTGTTATAACAAAATACTGTAGACTGGGTAATTTATAAACAACAGAAATTTATTGCTTACAGTTCTGGAGGCTGGGAAGTCCAAGATCAAGAAACCAGCACATTCAGTGCTTGGGGAGGGCCTGTTCCTCATTGGTGGCACCTTTTGTGTGTCCTCACATGATGGAAGGGCAAAGCAGTTCTCTAGGGCTCTTCAATAAGGGCACTAATCCCATTCACAAGGACAGAACCCTCATTACCTAATTACCTCCCAAAGGCCCTGCCTTCTAATATTATCAGCTTGGTGATTAGTTTTCACTCTATGAATTTTAGGTGGACACAACATTCAGAACATGGAAGGAGGGGAAGCCTTGGCTTTTCTTTTCCTTTTTGTTTTTGGAATGGAGTCTTCCTCTGTCACCCAGGCTGGAGTGCAATGGTGAGATCTTGGCTCACTGCACCCGCCACCTCCCAGGTTCAAGCAATTCTCCAGCCTTAGCCTCCCGAGTAGCTGAAATTACAGGCACCCACCATCACACCCATCTAATTTTTGTATTTTTAGTAGAGACAGGATTTCGCCATGTTGGCCAGGCTGGTCGTGAACTCCTGACCTCAGGTGACCCACCCGCCTCGGCCTCCCAAAGTGCTGGGATTACAGGTGTGAACCACTGTGCCTGGCTGCCTCAGCTTTTCTATCTCAAAAGCTTATTGGTAATTTTCTCCTCTAACTTCCTCACTCATAGATGTGAAAACGCAAACCCAGAAAAGTTCCATGGTTGTTCCAAAGTCCCACACCGAGCCAGCAGTAGATCCAGGATGAAGGTAGAGGTCTTCTGATCCTTGGTCCAGATGATTTCCCTGCTCCTTTTCCCTTGTCAGTGTGTTATTCTGGGATGAAGCCATCACTCTGTCTGCCCTCACAACAGAAGCTTCTTCATTTGTGTTCACTTTCTTTCTCCCTGCTGGTCAGTGGTCTTGAATTTCACTAAGTACTGCAGGTGTGAATTGCCTTGGGTTACATCTTTTGGATGGAGTCTATGGCAGTCAATATTTTCTCAGGATGCTATCTCTCAGCAAGACTTAAGCCAATAAATGGCAAGCGGGCAATCAACAAGGACTTATTAATCCCCTGATCTTTGTTCAGCACCACAGGCTTTCTGAAGAACTATTATATTTAATTCCTTCTGTAGCAAGTAACAGACACCCTTGTCAAAGTTGCTTAAGCAAAGGAAGAATTTATTGGCCCCAGAATAAAATATCAAGTCATGGGAAGGGGAGGGCCATAGCTGGGCCTTGAGAAAAGTAAAGTAGAACTTCAGCAAGATCAATATTCTCTGTTTATATCTCACATCTGCTTTTTACTGTATGTTGGGCTTATTCTCCATATGATAGAAAAATGTCCACCAATGTTTCCTGATTGTATTCTCTCTACTTTGGCCATGGGAAAGAAAAGACTTCCTCATTCTGGGTCCTCCAAGCCTATGGAAATTCTCTGATTGGTCTGACCTAATTCAGGTGCCTATCCCTGGACCAATCAACTATGGTGTGGATGGAAGTGAAGGAGATACTCAGGTCAATCAGCTGTGACCTGAGGCGGCCCATGTTGTACTAAGAGGACAGCTTCCACCATAACTATATGGAAGTGGAATGAGTTGAAGGTGCAGAAGCCTGTCTCAGAAAAAAAAAAAAAAAGGATGAGAGTCTTAAGAAGACTAAACATTGCATCCAGTACATCTGCATATAGGATTTTATAATTGAATAGGGAGTTAAGAATTACATATAGAAACAGCAGTGATAAAAGACTGTTGTGTTACTGATTGTGAGATGAAGCAGAGGCTCCTTATAGGGACCTGCTGGATTTCCCCACCCCCTTCAAAGTATGAAAATAAAGAAAGATTTGAATCCCTTCAAGGGAGATTCTAGGCACCTAGCTTGCCCTGCCACCAGCAATTAAGGAAGTGAGTGAATAACCCACTAAGCAAGAAGGTAATAATAATGTAAACAATAGTCACTCAAGTAAGTTAGAGTCACATGATGTTTGGTTTCCTATAGAAACAAAAGCTAACATCTTAACATATATTCTTGAGTTGTTTTGAGTTGTTTTTCAGAAATCTGGACCCTCCCACCAAATGTAAAATGTTGACTGCTGTGTGTAGACCTCAGAAAATTGGGAACTGAGGACTTAACTCCAACTGCCATTCTTTGTTCTGTCTTTTTTTTCCCTAAGGAGCCTGGAGAGAGTCACACCCATAGGCCAAATCTTAACATTCCTTTCTGCTGACCCCGAGTTTTTAGACGAGCCTTCCTTAACCAATTGCAAATCGAAGAATCTACCTATGACCTGTAAGCTCTCACATCAAGATGAAACCACCACTGCAAAATTATAAGTGAGACAGTGAAAGAGATCTGACTTAACCAACTCCATCTCCCTTCTAACCTGCAAGCTGTCCTTTTTCATTCCTGGGCATAGGCTGAACTAACTTTGGGATGAATTTAGCTTATAGTTTATAGTTTAGAACAAAGACAGTAACAGCCCTTTCCCAAAACAAACCCCCTTCTTGCTTGGGGACTAGACTGCCTTTGTAGGACTAACAAATTAGCCAAAAGATTAGAAATTATGGTTTAGCAGTCATGCAGCTGAAGGCTACAAGATTCTGACCCTTCCCAAATTGCTCCTGGGGATAACATCACTATTATAAAGCCTAAGATCAGGGTTTGAGATATTTTGCAGATTCTTCACTCAATGGATCAGCTGGTACCACCCAGATTGATAAACTGGTTCATCTCATCTTGTGGCCCCCACCCAGGGACTGACTCAGTGCAGCTTCAACTCCCTATGATTTCATCTCCAGCCCAATCAGTTAGCACTCTTGACTCACTGGCTGCCCCCCATCCACCAAATTATTCTTAAAAACTCTCATCCCCAAATGTTCAGGAGACTGATTTGAGTAATCATAAAACTCCAGTGTCCTGCACAGCCAGCTCTGCATGAATTACTCTTTCTCTATTGCCGTTCCTCTTTCTTGATAAATTGGCTCTGTTGAGGCAGTGGGTAAGGTGAACCCATTGGGTGGTTACAAAGATACTCCCCCTTTTTGGGCCAAACAAATGTATAACCACTGTGTATCAAGCTATAATTTTCCCTGTAACTTCTACTTTCTTGAAATATACCCCTACCTTTAAAAACCATTCCTTGTAAGTCACTGGGGAGTTTGTGTCCTAATCATCAACTGCCTGATTCTTCCTGCTTGATGCCCTGCAATAAATGCCTCACTTTCTCTTGCAGCAAATCCTGGTATCATTATTTGGCTTTTTTTGTGCACTAGGCGAGTAGACCCAAGTTCCATTCTGTACCAATTTTTAGAAATAAGTGTGCAAAATGGGCTGGTATCAAGAGTGACACCATCTAGTGCTGGCTTTTTCAAATTGAAATAGTGGGATAGAAGAAACTTGAAATAAACATGATTCTTTCTCCAGGAGTTTCAATTTTACACAAAATCAGGGTGAGTTCATTAAAAGCAACACAAAACACAGAAATATAGAGGATGGTACAAAATTTGTATGATGCTTAAAATAAATGTACAGTTTTAAAACTAAAAATTCAATCTTTTTGGCCAGACATGGTGGCTCATGCCTGTAATCCCAGCACTTTGGGAGGCTGAGGTGAGTGGATCACCTGAGGTCAGGAGTTTGAGACTAGCCTGGCCTACATGGCGAAACCCTGTCTCTACTAAAAATACAAAAATTAGCCAGGCATGGTGTCATGCTCCTGTAGTCCCAGCTACTCAGGAGGGTGAGGCAGGAGGATTTCTTGAACCCAGGAGGTGGAGGTTGCAGTGAGCTGAGATCTCACCACATCACTCCAGCCTGAGCGGCAGAGTGAGGCTGTTTCAACAACAACAAAAAAAGAAAAATTCAAGCTTTTTGACCTGGGACTCCAGTCTTCTTGTCAATACACTCTATTGCCCTAATAAAACTGGTGAAGAAGTTTTAACAGTTTGGAGGGTAACTTGAAGTTCTTGACTATTGCTTATCAAGAAGCCGTGTGGTCTTGGAATACTTAGCTCCTCTGGGCTAAAAGAATTCGAGGTTGGTGGGGAGGGATGATACAGACTGTGGAAGGGGATTCCTGAACTCCCTCTGGCAATAACATTCTGTGTAGGTTTTGTTTTGTTTACTTTGGAAAGCAGGATTTAAGCAATAGAGCCACAGAGTAAATGAGGTTTTATTAGTTTATAGTGCTTTTACCTCAGTTTGGGGATCTAAAGACTGTCCTTGTGATTAGCATATTACCTTCAGTACTTTCTAGGAAATGCTGCTTAAGTAATGCAAATGAGTAGAGCTATTTTGCTAATTAGAGGTACTAGACTGAAGGACACCAGGCCTCAAATAGGACAATAGAATAAAGAGAGAATGGAAGTAGTTGGAATGAGGTCAATGAAGGTGGGAGGCCTTTGGGTAGCTGTTGGGTAGCTGCCTGAGGGGCAGTTGAGCCTAAAAAGTAGATTTGGAAATAAGAAGGTGATTTTCTCCCTGGGAAAGCTGGCAGTACTGACTTTGCACTAGGCTTTTCACACCTATTCCAGTAGAAGCCACACTCTCCTTACGTAGGACACATCTTCCCACTTGTGTTCTAAACACCTCTCTTCCTCCCTTGTCTTGGATCAATTGATTTCCAGTAAGTATCACTTATCTTGTATATTCCTGGCCTCTGTGTCCTGGTTGGTATCTTCCATCAATATTGTATTAGCTGTTTTCATGCTGCTGATAAACACATACCTGAGACTGGGCAATTTACAAAAGAAAGAGGTTTATTGGACTTACAGTCCCACATGGCTAGGGAGGCCTCACAATCATGGTAGAAGGCAAGGAGGAGCAAGTCACATCTTACATGGATGGCAGCAAGCAAAGAGAGAGCTTGTGCAGGGAAACTCCCGTTTTTAAAACCATCAGATCTCATGAGACCCACTCACTATCATGAGAACAGCATGGGAAAGACCCACCCCCATGATTCAGTCATCTCCCACTGGGCCCCTCCCACAACACATGGGAATTATGGGAGCTACACGATGAGATTTGGGTGGGGACGCAGAACCAAACCACATCAAATATTAAAGATGCTAAGTCCCTTCCCACATTAAACACCAGACAACACACCACTGACTTGATGTCAGCCCTTCAATAGTGGAATTCTATCTATCTCCTGCCATTTACAGCCAAGCTTCTTGAAGTATCCATACTCTGTTTTCACTTCCTTACCTCCTATTCAGGGATCAACTCAGCAATTCTTTGCCTACTTCAATTATTCTGTGGAAACTCCTCTCTCTGAGGTTACTGAAGACATATTTGTCCCCAGGTCCAGTGGATATGTCTTTATCCCCCCTTTTTTTTTTTGAGACAGAGTCTCGCTCTGTCGCCCAGGCTGGAGTGCAGTGGCACAATCTTGGCTCACTGCAAGCTCCACCTCCTGGGTTCATGCCATTCTCCTGCCTCAGCCTCCCAAGTAGGTGGAACTACAGGCACCTGCCATCACGCCTGGCTAATTTTTTGTATTTTTAGTAGAGACGGGGTTTCACTGTGTTAGCCAGGATGGTCTTGATCTCCTGATCTCGTGAATCCACCTGCCTTGGTCTCCCAAAGTGCTGGGATTACAGGTGCGAGCCACTGCGCCCAGCCTGTCTTCACCCTTGATCTCACTTGGCCTCTGAGTAGCATTTAACTCCTTGAGCTGATACGTTCTAGAAATTCTCTTCTGGTCTCCATGGCACCCCATTCTTCTGGTATTTTGTTCTCTTAAGTCTGTCTCTTTGTGCACTCTTTTTCTTTTACTCATCTCTGTTCTTGCTCCGTGTCAGGAAGGAAAAACTTTTTCTTATACTCCCTTAGATTCAGTGGCTGGGGCCAGTGAATCCAACTAAAAAGGGAGGGGTTAACAGAAGGAAAGATACAGTTTTTATTTAATATTTACATGTCCAGGAGTACACAGAAAAGATGTGAAACTCAAAAATCAGTTAGATTCAGGGGCTTATATGCCAATTTAACAAAAGAAAGGAGGTTTGGCTTCAAGGGATGATAAATTATAGAAAAATGACTAAGAAATATATGGGGAAACTAATGGAAAAGAAGGGTTGTTTTAGTAAAGTCTAGTTATACACACTTGTTCTGGTGTTGACTCTGCATCTCCAGTGATAAGTATGCCCTTGTCCTGGCATGAGGGGGCATCTTCCCCAAGGGAAAATGTATGCCCTGTTTTTAGGCTGATAAGGGAAAGGCAGAAAACTTTCCTGCATCTGTTGATTCTCAGTTCCCTTCAGCTTAAAATAATCTTTGTGCAAAAGTGGCCTGTTTTGGGGTGGCACATTCTGATTCCTTTCACCTGCATCATCAGTGTTTCTCAGTATTGAACCATTCCAGTCAGCACACATCTCAACTGCTATTTCTCTCAGCTTTAAAGAAATCCTCTCTTGGGCTGGGCACGATGACTCACGCCTGTAATCCCAGCCCTTTGGGAGGCTGAGGTGGGTGGATCACAAGGTCAGGAGATTGAGACCATCCTGGCTAACACGGTGAAACCCCGTCTCTACTAAAAAAAATTTTTTTTTAATTAGCCGGGCATAGTGATGGGCACCTGTAGTCCCAGCTACTCAGGAGGATGAGGTGGGAGAATGGCGTGAACCAGGAGGTAGAGCTTGCAGTGAGCCGAGATCACGCCACTGCGTTCCAGCCTGGGTGACAGAGCAACACTCCGTCTCAAAAAAAAAAAAAAAAAAAAAGAAATCGTCTCTTGACCCTTCTCCCCACTTTTGCTTCTCACCATTTCTCTCTTCCCTTTACAGAAAACTCCTGGCAAGAATTATCTACAATGCCCAGTTCCTCTTCTCATTTCTCTCTTGAGCTCTCTCTAGTCATGCCTTTGCTCCTGATACTCCACCAAAACAGCACATATCAGGCTACAACTTGGATATGCTAAAGGCTTCTCAAACTTAATTTATCCAAAACTGAACTCTCCTGGCCTACACTTGTTCCATCCACCATCTTTCCCAATTCAGGAATAACAATCCCATTCTTCATTTGTTTAGGCCATCACCTTGAAATCCTTATTCTTTCTTTCATACCCCACATTTAGACTCCTCACATTCTGTTGGCTTTGCTATGAACTGAATGTTATGTCTCCCCAATCCCACCTAAAATAGGTCTATTGAAGCCCTAATCCTCCGTGTGAAGGGGGAGCCTATGGGAGGTAATCAGGTTTAGATGAGGTCGCAAGGGTGGAGCCCCCGTAATAGGATTGATGCCCTTATAAGGGGAGAAAGAGATCAGAGCATGTGCTCTCTCTCTCTCTCTCTGCCTTAAGAAGATATAGCAAGAAAGCATCCACCTGCAAACTAGGAAGTGGGTCCTCACAAGGAGCGAGATTCATCAGCTTCTTAATGTTACACTTCTCAGCCTCTAGAACTGTGAAAAATAACTTTTGGTTGTTTAAGCCACCCAGCATACGGTATTTTTGTTATTGTAGCCTCAGCCAACTAAGACAGGCTTCATCTTCAACTATTTATAGACTCGTGTTTCTCCTCATCACTTCCATGACTGCCACTCCAGTGCAAGCCCCTGACATCTCTCACCTATATTAATATTATAGCCTCTCTACCTCTGCTCTTGAATTGTTCAGTATCATCTCATCACAGCCAAATGTTGCTGTTAAAATGTAAGTTGGACCAAGTCAGTCCTCTACTTAGTACCTTCTAATGGCTCCCATCCCACTCCAAGTAAGGGCCAACTTTCTTACAGTAATCAGAGTCCTATGGGATCTGCACTGCTGCCCTTCCCTCCCCCCATCTCTTAAACTCTGGTTCATTCCTCTCCAGCCACATTGGACTCCTTGCTTCCAGGCATGCTCCTGCTTCAGGGCCCTTGCACTTACTGTTTCCCTTTGCCAGAATGTTTTTCTTCAAAATATCCACAAATCATACTTCCCTCTCTCCTTCAAATCTTTGCTCAACTGTCATCTTCTTGATGGGAACTTCCTTGACCTTGAAATCTAGAATTTCAACTCTCCTTCTCCAAACTTATTATCCACATTCTTGTCTTTTTATCTTCTTGGAACTTATTTGTATCTGATGTACTATCTATATTTTACTTATTTGTCTTGATTATTCTCTGTTCTTCCCACTAGAATATAAACTCCAAGAGGGCAGGGATATTTTTGTCTTTTGTTTACAAGTGGATTTCCAGATCTGTTGCATAATAAGCCCTCATTAAATATTTGTGGAATGAGTGTAATTATTTTAATATCATGTTTACAGTTTTTGCTGATGTTTTTCTTTTAATTGACTCACCTGAAGTATTAGCTAATTTTGCATTGCCATAAAGGAATATCTAAGACTGAATAATTTATAAAGAAAACAGGTTTATTTGGTGCACAGGTCTGCAGGCTGTACAAGCATAGCACCAGCATCTGCTGATCTCCTGGTAAGGTCTCAAGAAGCTTTTACTCCTGGTGAAAGGTGAAATGGGAGCAGGCATGTCAAATGGCAAGAGAAGGAGCAAGAGAGGAGGAGGTACCAGGCTCTTTAAAGAACCAGCCCTGTGCATGAACTAATAGAGTAATAACTCACTTATTACTGCAAGGAGGGCACCAAGCCATTCATGAGGAATCTGCCCCCATGACCTAAACACTTCCCACAAAGCCCACCTTCAACAATGGAGGTCACATTTCAAAATGAGATTTGGAGGGAACAGTTATCCGTATTACATTATTCTGCCCCTGGATCCAAAATCTCATGTTCTTCCCACTTTGCAAAATATAATAATCTTTTCCCAAAAGTCCTCCAAAGTCTTAACTCATTCCAACATCAACTCAATCAAAAGTCTGAAGTCCAAAGTTTCTAGACTCTAGGCAAGTTTCTTTCACCTATGAGTCTGTAAGATCAAAAACCAAGTTATTTACTTTCAAGATACAATGGTGGTACAGGCATTGAGTAAAACATTCCCATTCGAAAAGGGAGAAATTGGTTAAAATAAGAGGGCAATAAGCTCCACAGAAGTCTAAAACCCAGAAGGGCAGACATTACACCTTAAAGCTCCAAAATAATATTTGACTTTATGTCCCACATCTAGGGCACGCTGGTGTGAGGGGTGGGCTCCCCAGGCCTTGGGCAGCTCTGCCCCCATTGCTTTACTGGGTGCAGTCCATGTGGCTGCTTTCACAGGTTGGAGTTGAGTGCCTGCGGCTTTTGCAAGCTGAGGGTGCACATTGCCAGTGGTTCTACCATTCTCTGTTCTGGAGAGCAGCAGCCCTGTTCCCACAGCTCTGCTGGGCAGTACTTCAGTGATCCTCTGTGTGGAGGCTCCAATCCTCTTTTCCCCTTGGCACTGCCCTAGTGGAGTATCTCTATAGGGGCTCTGCCTCTGCAGCAGACTTCTGCTTGGGTACCCAGGCTTTCCCATACATCCTTTGAAATCTAGGTGGAAGCCACCAAGCCTCCTTCACTTTTGCATTCTGTATACCTACAGGCTTAACACCATGTGGAAGCCTCCAAGGATTATGACTTGCGCCCTCTGGACCAGTGGCCTGAGCCATGCCTAGAGCCCTTTGAGCTCTGGCCAGAGCCAGAGTGGCCAGGATGTTGGGATCACTGTCCTTAGGCTGCACAGGGATCAGGGTCTTGGGCCTAGCCCCCCAAACCATTATTTCCTCCAAGGCCTCTGGTTCTGTAATGGGAAGGGCTGCTTCAAAGATTGCTGAAATGGCTTCAAGGCCTTTTCCCCATTGTCTTGAATATTAGCACCTGACTCCCTTTTTGTTCATGTGAATCTCTAGTCAGTGGTTGCTCCACAGCCCACTTGCATTCCTCTCCTAAAAATGCTTTCTCCTTCTCTACCACATGGCCAGGTAGTAAATTTTCTAAGTGGTTATCCTCTGCTTCCCTTTTAATTATAAGTTCTAACTTTAAGTCATTTCTTTGCTCCTACATCTGATCCTAGGTAGTTAGAAGAAGCCTGCCACCTCTTGAATGCTTTGCTGTTTAAAAATTTATTCTGTCAGATACCCAAGGTCATCAGTCTTAAGTTCAACCTTCCATAAATTCCTAGGGCATGAACACAATGTTTCCAAGTTCTTTGGTAAAGGATAGCAATGGTGACATTTGCTCAAGTTCCCTATAAGTTTCTCATTTCCATCTGAGACCTCATCAGCCTAGCCTTTATTGTCCACATTTCCATCAGCATTTTGGTCACAACCACTTAACTAGTCGCTAAGAAACTGCAAACTTTCCCTCATCTTCCTGTCTTCTTCTGAGCCCTCCAAACTCTTCTGACCTCTGCCCATTACCCAGTTCTAAAGTTGCCTCCACATTTTCAGGTACTTTTATAGTAATGCTCTACTCTTTGATACCAATTTTCTGTGTTAGTCTATTTTGCATTGCTATAAAAGAATATCTGAGACTGAATGATTTACAAAGATAATAGGTTTATTTGGCTCACAGTTCTGCAGGCTGTACAAGCATAACATTAACATCTGCTTGGCTTTTGATATGACCTCGGGAAGCTTTGATGGCAGAAAGTGAAAGTGGAATGGGTGTGTCACATGTCATGAGATGAAGCAAGAAAGAGAGGAGGAGATGCTAGTTTCTTTAAACAGCTATCACTCTCATGAACTAATAGAATGAGGACACACTCATTACTTCAAAGAGGGCATGAAGCCATTCATGAGGGATCCACCATCATGACCCAAACCCTTCCTATTAGGCCCACCTCCAATAATGGGGATCACATTTCAACATGAAATTTGGATGGAAAAAATATCCAAAGTATATCACTTTATATACTCAATTTCCTTATAAGGAAGTTTTATGTCACTGTTATTAATGGAAAAAACAGTACAATTTGCCATATATGAAAAATATGGCTCAAACATTTAAAATAAATACATAGCCATTAAATAAAAGTATACTTCTATATAATCTAAACTCAATTTAGCACCAATGGTATTGAAATGACATTTTGGGAAACATTTCCATAGATGCGCATATTTCTTGGGTTTCTGCCCTACATCATCTTTTCATATGCTTTCCATGGGTGAACTCATCAACAGCCAATGATCTCAATTTCTGCCTTGTTCCAACAACAATTCTCTGATGACAACTGGGTGTCTTGCAATTTAATTCAATTCTGACACTAACTACCCAGAGTTAGCGCAGACCCCACAAGTTAAGAACAACATCCTTCACAAGATTGCCCCCACTTCAGACACCAAACGTCAGTCTCAGTCAGCCACTGACTGACCAGCTACAAATTCAGGGGTTTCTATGACTCTCTCAGGTTCAGTAATTTGCTAGAACAGCTCATAAACTCTCTGAAAGTGCTATTCACATGATTACAGTTTTATTATAAAGGATACAACCCAGGAACAGCTAAACAGAAGAGGCACATAAGACAAGGTCTTGGGAGGGGAAGGACACTGAGCTTCTCTGCCCTCTCCTCTAGGAATCCAGGCATATTTATCTCTCAGCACATCAGTTGTTCACCAACCAGGAAGCTCCTTTGAGCCTTGGTTTCCAGAGTTTTTACTGGGGCTTCATTATGGTTGATGGATCAGATCACCGATGACTGATCAAATCACGATTGATTAAATCACTGGCCATGTTGTTGAGCTCAGTCTCCAGCCTCACTTCTCTCACTGGACATTATTGGGCTGGCAGCCTAAGGTTCTAACACTCTAATCATGGGATTGGTCTTCCTGGTGACCAGCCCCCATCCTAAAGCTATTTAGGAACCCAGCATGAGTCATCCCATTAGCATAACAAAGACATTGTTATTACTCAAGGTTTCAAAATCTTTGCACCAAGAACTGGGATAAAGACCAGATATATTCTTTATTATATCACATATATATATGGATGAATCACAAATTTATATTTCAGCTCCTACCTCTCATCTGAAATTGAGACTTTCAGATACAACTGCTACCTGGGTGTCTTTTTCAGGAGGTACCACTTGTATCTCCAAGCCATCAGTATTCATAAATAAATCCCCATACCCACCCCATCACCACCCCATCACCCTAACCAACGCATACACTCTCTTCCTCCTATATTTCTTCTTAGTAAATGTCATCATAACACCATTCTCCCAGCTACCTAAATCTGAACCTGGGTTTTACCTTTGTCTTTTCTTACTCACATATAGTTTCCTCCGTTTTGAAAGTTCGTCTTGCTTCCCCTTCTCTTTCTGCTTACTGTTTTGATCTTAGCTTAAAAGTCATGGTGTCCAGGAAGACTTTGCTGGTCTCCCAGGACGGATCAGGTGCTCCTGCACTTCCATAATCGTGGATGTGATCATTTCCTGTTTGTCTCTCTTGCCTAGTACCTTGGTGAGGGCAGTAATTGAGTCTATCTTATTCACTTTCATACCCTTGTACCTGGCACATAGTTGACGCTCAATAAATAATTACCCAGCAAATGGATAACATGATACAAAGTTGGAACATTTCAAAATAAGACTTCTTATAGATAACTACTTTCTATACCAGTAATTTATCAACTTTCCAGTAGAGGATGCCTTGGCATAATCTTATTTTGAGAATTAAATAATTTGTTTGTTCATAATCGCTGCCTTATAAGTGTATTTATTCATACATTCGTTCTTTGGATATTTATTGAATATCTACTAATGTGAGAAGCAGTGCCCTGGTCCTTGGGGCTGGAAATGGGTGAAAACCTAGTCACAGTCTACTGAAGAATTATGTATTTCTATAAGCACAATTGCAATAAAATATCATGGGTCCTATAAAAAATGGATGAGGAACATATTGTAGGAAATATTCAGTGTGATTATATTGAATTATTGTTCTCAACTCTTTATTCCTTTCTATAAAGGATTATACACTCACAACCTCTGCCATATACTTTCTAGTGCCTGTCACAATAGTAAACAGAGTATACATACCTGCCCCTACTTACTTACTTGGACTTGGCTATGTGACTTTTTTTGGCCAATGAATATAGGCAGAAGTAAAATGAGAATACACCAATTCTGAGCAGACACTTTAAGAGACAGCAAGTTTCTGTCAAGCGTCTCAAACTTTTTACCTTTGAGTAAGGCGTACGTTCCCAGTAATCATTACTCTTTCAGCCTGAGTCCTGGAATAAAGACATACGGAGCAGGCATAAACCCAAACCACAGATTGGAGTCTAGCTTAGCCCAGCTGAGCAAAGCCAATTCACAGGCTGCCTATATCCCTATCAACATTAAATTGAATTTTTTTTTTGTTAGCTATTGAGGTTTGGGAGGAGGGTTGTTGCTACATAGAATTATTACAGCAGAAATCTGCTGATACACTGAGTATCCATCTGTCTACCAGTGCAGTATGAGACATGAGACATAAGGAAAAGGCTACATGGTTGTGCTCTTTCCCAGGACACAATGCTCCCAGTTCTCTGATGGTTGTAGACATTTAGTTAAAAAAAAAAAATAAAGCCAATACAATGAGCTCAGTGGTTTTTTCCGTATGATGTGAAACTTAAAAATTCAGATGTGGCAAGAAATAAACATGGGGTTCCCTAAAAAATCTGACGTAGCTGAGCCCAGAAGCTCATGCCTGTAATCCTAACATTTTGGGTGGCCAATATGGGAGGATCATATGAGGCCAGGAGTTCAAGACCAGCCTAGGCAACATAGTGAGACCCTGTCTCTACAAAAAAAAAAAAAAAAAAAAATTCACTAGCTGGAACTAGTGGCTTGCACCTGTAGTCCCAGCTACTTGGGAGGCTGAGGTGGGAGGAACACTTGAGACCAAGCGTTCAAAGCTGCAGTGAGCTATGATGGTGCCACTGCACTCCAGCCTGAGTGACAGAGTAATACTTTGTCTCAAAAAAAAAATTGTATATATATATATATATATATATATATATATATATATATATATATATATATCCTGGCCTATTTATAGCTGAAAAAGCTACCTTAGATTTACAGGCATTTCTCCAATAGCTTATTTTCAGAATGCAAGCTAGATGTAGTGGCATTGACCAATTAGGGCATTCAATTTTAACTGTGCAGAACATTAGAGTTCTGATAGAATCACTGTATAATTGTCATCACTTAAATAAGAAAAGTTGGTTTTCCAAAACACAGAAGCACACTGCTACTTGTAGGAGTGGTTGGTTTCTCAGTGTGAGTTTACTTTTGTCGACCATTTGTAGTTGTGAACTGTTCTATAATTTATTTTCATTTTGCACTAATAATGAGCAGCAAAAGTAATAAAACTGTATAAAAGAAACTCTCTAACTCCTAAACTCTTTTTCTCCATTTCAACAATTTTTTATTTGTTTTCAATGAGAAGTGGTCGAGCACAGTGATTAGGAAAAAACACTCTGAATTAGACTTATTTGAATTAGACTTTGAACCTAGGCACCATCAAGAATAGTGTAAAAATCATCTAAGCACTCGGCCTCAGTTTTTCATTTGTAAAATGAGGATCATAATAGTGCTTATCTTTAGGGCTGTGAGGAGTCAATGAAATGATCTTGTGAGACCTCAGCACAGTGTCTAACAGATAATAAGCAGTCAATAAATGACAGAAATTATTACAGGACAAATTTTGTTAGTGCAACTTTTCTTAGGAAAGCAGCTGTTTATTATAGAAAGACAGGCTGTGTCATGGCATTTGCCTTGACCTTCACTATTGAAAAAAAAAGCCTCAGGACCCAAATCATGATTAATTTATATGCTATGTTTATGAACAGCTAAGCTTTTTCTACTTTGGTTCTCTGAGAGGAATAAGGGTCAAAGACACAGAAAATTTGAACTCACCACAAAACGAATACTTCCCAAACCTTAATTTGGCTAAGATACAATAGACTGGACTCTCTGGTAATGAACTGTGGGCAAGTTTCCAGGCAAACATGTTGTGCACTTGCATTCTTCCACGCATACTATGCTGGAGTGACAGCAACTGTGCTGTGGAGTGGCCATGGTCAAATGTTCCCCCAGTGAATTTGCCAGGAAGATAAGAACATTCCAGCAGTCTGTGTGTTGCCCAAATAGCAGGACACCTCATTTTCAGATCTGCTCATTTCCTGATTGCAGAGAATACCAGTGTAGACAGCCTTGGGTTTACGGAAAATGTGGTAGCCAAGCAAAGTTAACTCTCTTTGGAAACTGTGAATTGATATTGGTAATAATGGTTTTGATATACAAGAAAGAATTTGTTATAAGACGTATTTGGCTGTTTACCTTGAAACATCCTGCAAAGCGTATGTATGTTTGTGTGCACATGCATGGGTGCATGGGCAGGTAACTTGCTTAAAATGAACAAGCAATTGTAACTTCAAATTATACGAATCAGCCATCTGAAATATGTCTCAAATGCCTCCCCTGGAGAAATACAAGACTTTTTCCCACTTCCAGGCATTCTGCTTCCTAGTCCTTTTACTTTCACTCAGACATTTCAGAAAGCAATGGACTCAGATGTGAAGCTAGGATAAGTTACAAATTTATTTTTTGTAATACAGAGCTTGAAACTTGCTCCCATTCAAAAAATACATACACAGTCTTAAGTTCACTTAGAAAGAAGCCATTAGTTTAATGTATAATGCTATAGCAAAGATCAATATGACTCACATGAAGAATTAAGGATGGGCCA
This sequence comes from Homo sapiens, assembly GCF_000001405.40. NCBI lineage: Eukaryota > Metazoa > Chordata > Mammalia > Primates > Hominidae > Homo > Homo sapiens. The sequence continues at coordinate 159,606,504 of NC_000005.10, forward strand.
CATAGTAAAAATCCATTTTATTTTTTAGAAAGAAAATGTAAGATATTTTGCTTCTCTGAGGAAAAAAAAAGGATAGGAAATAATATGCCATTATTCAATACATAAAGTAAATTTTTAAAATATACCCAAAAAGCATACATTGTACAAGGGAAGTGAGAGAGAGAGTAAAGAGAAGAAAAAAGAAGAAAGAGAAAATGAAAGAAAGAGGCATGGGGGAAAGAGTGAAAATAAAAATATGGGTCAGATACAGACTAACGCATAAACATATACCAGACAATTTTCAGAGAGGAGAATTACTATTTATCCTGTTACATTTTCTAACTCTAGGCCCAAATCAGGACTTTTAGTTTGGGGCACATGCTCTTTGGTCTGATGAAATTTATCTATACTTCTTTATATTATTTTTAGTAGTTATATAGAGATTATTATAATAGTTGTTCTTTAATTTATCATGTCCACCTTAAATTATTATCATGCCAATCCATGAACAATGTTAGAACCTTGCTACAATATAATTTCATTTACCAACCCCCTCCACCTTTTGTGCTATTTGTCATATATTTTACTTCTAATATATCATAAACCAGAGAATATATTGTTGTCTATACTTTAAATAGCCAAAGTCTTATAAAGAAAATTTTAAAAATCTCCTTTTATATTTATGTACACATTTTTTCCTTTCAAGTGTTTTTCATTTCTACCTACAGATATAGACATATTTGCATCATTCTCCTTTCAGCCTGAAGAATTTTTCTTAATACATATTTTTACAGTGCAGGTCTGCCAATTATAAATTCTCTCAGTTTTTACTTTTCTGAAAATATCTTAATCTGGCCTTCATTTTTGAAGGGCATTTTCACTAGATTTTAGGTTGATAGAGTATTTTTTTTATTTCAGTACATGAAAAATGATGTTTCATCATTTCCAAATGAGAAGTCAGTTGCAATTCTTATTGTTGTTCCTATAAATGTAATGATTAAGGTTTTCCATTTACATGCAGAATGAAACTAGACCCTCAACCCCGGCATATACAAAAATTAACTCATGGTGGGTTAAAAATTTAAATATAACAACTCACACTATACAAATCATAGAAGAAAACCTAGGAGGTACTCTTCCGGACATAGCCTAGGCAAAGAATTCATGAGTAAGTCCTCAAAAGCAATTGCAACAAAAACAAAAATTGACAAGTGGGACCTAATTAAACTAAAGAACTTCTGCACAGAAAAAGGCACTGTCAACAAAGTAAACAGACAACCTACAGAATGGGAGAAAATATTTGCAAACTATGCGTCTGACAAAGGACTAATATCCAGAATGTATAAGGATCTTAGATCAACAAGAAAAAAAAAAGAATAATAACCCCGTTAAAACATGGGCAAAGAACATGAACTGACACTTCTCAAAAGAAGACATGCAAGTGTCCAACAAGCATGTGAAAAAATTCTCAACATCACTAATCATCAGAGAAATGCAAATCAAAGCCATAATGAGATATCATCTCACACTAGTCAGAATGGCTATTATTAAAAAGTCAAAAAATGCCAAGTGCAGTGGGTCACACCTATAATCCCAGCACTTTGGGAGGCCAAGGCAGGTATATTGCTTAAGCCCAGGAGTTTAAGACCAAACTGGGCAACATGGCAAAACCCCATCTCTACAGAAAATACAGAAAAAAAAAATGTAGTCCCACCTACCTGGGAGGCTGAGGGGAAGGATCTCTCGAGCCCAGAAGGTTGAGGCTGAAGTGAGCCATGAACGTCCCACTGCACTCAAGTCTGGGTGACAGTGAGACCATGTCTCAAAAAAAAAAAAAAAAAGTCAAAAAATAACAGATGTGGTGAGGCTGCAGAGAAAAGGGTACACTTATACACTGTTGGTAAGAATGTAAGTTAGTTCAGCCAGCCCCTGTGGAAAGCAGTTTGAAGATTTCTCAAAGAATTAAAAATAGAACTACCATTTGACCTAACAATCCCATTACTAGGTATACATCAAAGTAACAAATACATTGTTCTGCCAAAAAGACACCTGCACTATTATATTTATTGCAGCACTATTCACAAACAACCTATGTGCTCATCAATGGTAGACTGGATAAATAACATGTGGTACGTATACAACATGGAATACTATGCAGCCATAAAACAGAATGAAATCATGTTCTATGTCACAACATAGATGCAGCTGGAGGCCATTATCCTAAAGCAAATTAATGCAGCAACAGAAACCTGAATGTCACACATTCTCACTTATAAGTGAAAGCTAAACCCTGTGTACACATGGACGTATAGATGGGAACACTAGACACTGGGGACTCCAAAAGGAGTTGTGGTGGGGAAAGTTGAAAAACTTCCTATTGGGTACTGTGTTCACCATCTGGGTGATAGGATCAGTAGAAGCCTAAACCTCAGAATCACACCATGTACCCTTGCAACAAACATGCACATGTACCTCCTGAATCTAAAAATAAAAATTTAAATAATAAAAAAGCCTTAGAATGTGCTTGTTGTGTGTGTGTGTGTTTTTTTTTTTTTTTGGTATTTATTCTGATTTATATTTGCTGTGCCTTTAAAATGTATGGATTGAAGTGTTTCATCCATTTTGGAAAATTTGGAGCCATCACTTCTTCCACCATTTTTTCTTCACTATTCTCTCTCTCCTCTATTTCTGGGACTTCAATTACACTTATGTTAGCTGAGTTTGTTTATATTGTTCCACAGGTCTTTAATATTTTTTCATTATTTTTACATTTATTTTTCTTCTTATGCTTTAGTTGAGATAATTTCTGTTGACTCACTTCCAGTTCACTAATTCTTTGTTCTGCTCTGTCCAGTCTAATGTTAAGCCCATCCAATACTTTACTTTTTAATGGTATATTTTAGTTACAGAATTGCTATTTGTTTCTTTTGAATAGTTTTTGTTTATTTGCCAAAATTCTCCATCGCTTCTTTCCTCCAAATTGCAAAACATTATAATAATTGTAAATAAATATTTTTCTCTGAAAATTTCATCATATGAATCATCTGTGGGTCTGAGTCTATTGAAAAGTTTTTATTTCTCTTAACTATGAGTCATATTTTCCTGCTTCTTGCATGTTATAATTTTTAATTTTATTTCAGACACAGTGTATATGTAAAAGACCAATAGAGACTGAAGTAGATTATAATTTTCCGCAGAAACGGCTCACCCTTTTGCTGACAAGCAGCGATTGTTAGGGGCTGAGCTCATCAATTTAACTAGTTGAATAGTATTGGGGCTTGGAGTAACAGTAGAGTTAGTTTCAGTTCACTTCTGGTTCAAATGACTCGGGAGAGATTAGGCCCTTTGCTCCAGCAGGATTTTGGATTTTGGGATCTAAGCACCACAAGACTATGAGATCTCTCTCTGAGTTCTGGACCTCATTCCAGCTTTCTGATTATTCTACTTTTTGAATAAAATTTCCATGGGAGTGAATTGGGGTATGGTGAAGGCTAACTCTGAGTTTAGGGCTCTTCCAGATTCTGATCCACCATGCAGCCCAGGCACCTCTCCTAAAAACTTGGATGATTTCTCCTTTTTCACACAAAGTCCCTCCACCTGCAGCAGGCTTGCTTCTCCCCCAGACTCAACAACTCCCCTATGAATTGAAATGGTCTTCCATCTGCTCACTCAAGAAGGGTCTTCTCCCTCTATGAATTTTAGTTTGTTTAGATCTTGTTTTCATCTGCAATCTTCAATGGCTTTAAAGAGAAATAAGATTTTTTTTTTAGTTTACCTGATATTTTTGTTGCTATTAGAATGATGGCTTTTTATTAGCCTCTATATCCTAACTGATAGCAGAACTCTTGAGTCTGATTCTGATGAATTAATTCAGCAACCTATTTTGTTTAAAAATAAAGTGATTAATGATTTATCAAATTATAATACACTTGCAGGTGATTTTTCTCATCTGCAGTGCCCAAAGCCAACCAACTCAAGAAACCTTCAAATTCTACTTCCCTGCCTCCTTGAAATGTTGAGCTAGAGATGATAACCTAATTTATATAATAGAATGAAAATGAAGAGAAATTAATTTTTATTAAGTGTCATGATACAGTATATCTCTAAGAACTCTGCTTATCCCTTTTCATACATCATTCTATTTTTTAAAATGCAAAAATATTTATTGTTTTTTTGGAGTAGAGAAAACCAGTAGAGATGGGGGGTGCAAGGCATTCCTTGGGTCAAGGTCCCAGCCAGGAAACATAAATAAAGATGAGGGATAGGTCCTTCTGAGGGAGGAGGGGTGCTGAACAGTTCAGGTGTTGGTCTTGGGAGTGAATTTACTTGTTCCTTATTTAGTGAGTACCGGGAACCAGGAAATGAGGCATCTGGACCTCACGTGTAAGCTGCACACACTGATGATTGGTTCTGGTTCCCTGTTTAAAAATAGGACCCTTAGGCACCACTAGGGTGGGAATAACAAAATAGGACAATCTCACAAATGTGGAATGCTTAGTTACCCTAAATTTCCCACTACTTTACAGACATTTCAGTTACTTTCTCTGTTCCATTTCCTGGGAAAGATTTTGTTTGTCATGGAAATAATGACACCACATGGTAGTGCCCTCAGGTGAAGGTCTGGCTCCTATGCTTTTTATGCAGCTTGAACACAACTGATGAAATTGTGGGTAAGCCACATTATACTCTGTGGGAAATGGTATACTTTGAATGATGTTCCCCTGAAGTTACAGTGATGCCTGCTGAAAAGAAGATGAGCGGTTTCTTCCTGTTCTTGTCACTTAGCCCTTATTTCCACCTTGCGTAGTTTCACTTGACATATATATTCTCTCCCTTCCCTGCCCTTCCCCTTACCTCTCTTCCTCACCTTTTCCTCTCCCTTTCCCTCATTCCTCTCACTGTGTCTTATCCCTTTCCCCTTTCCCTTCCCTGCACTTTCTTTTGTTTTCTTATCTCTTCTTTTTTCTTTTTCTTTCCTTTTTTTTGAGACAAGGTCTCACTGTGTCACCCAGGCTGGAGTGCAGTGGTACCATCATCATCATCATGACAGATTTGCACACAGGTCCCATAAACTTAGCCTATAAACTCCAAATTCTTATATGCCTGTCTTTCCCAAATGCTCATGTGTCTTATTACTATAATCTTCCAAAATTCCTCTACTGAGAGGATTTTGGAGGAGAATAAGGGCAGTGGGTTAGAGGAGGAGATAAGGGCAGCCTAAATTTTAGGGCCCAACTCTCATCTAGCAAGATGAAGCAGAAGAGAGTGAGAAATTCTATAAAAGAGACTTTGCGGGACACTAGGGAGCTCAAATCCAGCTTGTTCCAAGTGCCACCTTCTTCTCAGCTGTCACAGCGTAATATATTCTAGGTTGGTGCAAAAGTAATTGATGTTTCGGACCGTGAATTTTAAATCATTATAACTAGGTTCAAAGACATCTTTATTAATCAGAATAGGAACCATTACAATCAACACATTTTTGCCAATGAGAAATAAGATTGTGTATTCCTGTAGCATAAAAATCTGTGCTTTGGGATTCAATGAACTCTTGGAAAGCATTTTCTGCATCCTGCTGGTTGTGGAAGCATTTTCCCTGCAAAAAGTTGTCAAGATGCTTGAAGAAGTGGTGGTCAGTTGGCAAGAGGTCAGGTGAATATGGCAGATGAGGCAAAACTTTGTAGCCCAATTTGTTAAACTTTTGAAGCATTGGTTGTGCTACGTGCAGTCAGGCATTGTCAGGCATTGTTGTGGAGAAGAATTGGGCCCTTTCTGTTTACCAATGCTGGCTGCAGGCATTGCAGTTTTTGATGCATCTCATCAGTTTTCTGAGCATACTTCTCAGATGTAACGGTTTCGCCAGGATTCAGAAAGTTGTGGTTGATCAGACTGGCAGGAGACCACCAAACAGTAGCCCCACATTTTTTGGGTGCTAGTTTGGCTTAGGGAAGTGCTTGGGGGCTTCTTCTCGGTCCAACCACTGAGCTGGTTGACACCAGTTGTCATATAAAATCCACTTTTAGGCTGGGTGTGGTGGCTCACACCTGTAATCCCAGCACTTTGGGAGGCTGGGGTGGGCGGATCATGTGAGGTCAGGAGTTCAAGACCGGACTGGCCAACATGGTGAAACCCCGTCTCTACTAAAAATACAAAAATTAGCTGGGCATGGTGGCACAATCCCAGCCACTCGGGAGGCTGAGGCAGGAGAATTGCTTGAACCTGGGAGGCAGAGGTTGCAGTGAGCTGAGATCATGCCACTGCACTCCAGCCTGGGTGACAGAGTAAGACTCCATCTCAAAAAAAAAAAAAAAAAGAGAAAGGAAAAAAAATCCACTTTTCATTGCATGTCACAATACAATCTAGAAATGGTCCGTTGTTGTTGCATAGAATAAGAGAAGATGACAATTCAAAAAGACGATCTTTTTATTTTCACTCACCTCATGAGGCACCCACTTATCGAGCTTTTTCACCTTTCCAATTTGCTTCCAGTGTCAAATGACCGTCGAATGGTCGATGCTGAGTTCTTTGGCAACTTCTTGTATAGTTGTAAGAGGATCAGCTTCGATAATTGCTCTCAATTGGTCGTCATCAACTTCCGATGGCCTGCCACTACACTCCTCATCTTCAAGGCTCTCTTCTCCTTTGCAAAACTTCTCGAACCACCACCGCATCTGTCAATCATTAGCAGCTCCTGGGGCAAATGCATTCTCGATGTTGCAAGTTGTCTCTGCTGCTTTACGACCCATTTTTGAACTCAAATAAGAAAATCACTCGAATTTGCTTTTTGTCTAACATCACTTCCATAGTCTAAGAGAAACATAAAGTAAACAGCAAGTAATAAGTCATTAGCAAAAAAAAAGTGAGAAATGTGTATTAAAATGATGTATAACATAAGCACGCTTAAGAATGTATTCCAATATCAAACGTCAAATCTCAACAATGCAAAAACCACAATTAACCAGTGGTATAAATGAGGGATTTTATAACTTTGGATGGTGAATCTGAGATGTGAGCATCTCATTTCTTAAAAAATCCCTCCTTTATACCACTGGTGAATGGATTCCAGAAGTAGCAGCAATGTCACTGGGGGATGGGAAATTTCAAAGGGTTGAGAGAGGAGGAAAAACTTGAGTTCCCTGGCTCTTTGAGGAAGGTAGGTTTTCTGCCTTGGGAGTGCGAGTGGGGCATGTGTATGTATGCATGCATGTACATGTGTATTATTTTAATGCATAAAATATTTAGAAAAGATCCCTCCCTTACACAGTTATTCTAGAGGCCAAATGTATCAGTTGAAATATTTTGGGCTGCAAATAATAAATAAACCTAACTAGCAGTGACTAAAACCATAGTTATATTTATTTATTTATTTTATTTTTACTGAATAAAGGCAGAAGTTTCTTTGAACTTTGCTAACTCCCGACTCTGGAGAGTTGGCAGCTAGTATGGTTTGAATGCATGTGTCCCCACAAAAGTCATGTTTTGGAGCCTAAGACTTAATGTGATAGAATTAAGAGGCAGGGTCTTTAGGAGGTGATTAAGCGATGAGGGCTCCGTCATCTTGAATGGGATTAGTATTCTTATAAAAGGGCTCAAGAGAGCCAGCTAGGCCCTTCTGGCCTTCCATCTTTCGCCACGTGAGGACAAAGCAACCTCACACCATCATGGAAGCAGAGAGCAGCCCTCACTAGATACCAGATCTGCTGGCACTTGATCTCGAACTTCCACAATAAATTTCTATTATTTATAAATTACCCAGTCTCAGGTGTTTTGTTAATGCAGCACACACAGACTAAAACAATAATTTAACAAGATCATCAGGACCCAGGGCTTTCCATTCTGCCATCCTCAGCATTTTAGTTTTTCATCCTCATCCTGGAGGCCTCACAATTGCAAAGTGGCTACCTCAGCTGCAAATCATCACATTTTCTCTTGATCACATACAAAGACAGGAAACAAAGGCAGGCAGAGTGTTGAGAAATTGTCTCCTGTGTCTCTCTCTCTTTTTTTTTTATCAGAGAGGAAAGCACTTCTCAGTTCTCAGTACACCTCCCTTTCCTTTTCATAGATGAGTACTCCATCATGTAACTACCTATGACCACAAGCAAAGTCTGGAAAAGTGAGTATATTGGAAAAAAAAAAAAAGCCAAGTTTATTGTGATTGAATTAGCAAGAGCAATCATGATTTATCTCTCAGGGCTGTGTACTTGGCAGCTGAGATAAAATCAGGATTCTGTTAGTGCTGTATTGTGTGCATGGTAATTTACTTTAAAATACTTCAGTACAAGTGGTGTGATGTGTATATGTGTAAGTTAACACTAATCAACACTCTAGCAATGAGTGGTTAATTAGTATATGAAGAGTCCTTACCTGAATCAATACTTTTGAGTTAATTAGCATATGGGATGTTAGAAATAATTTTTTGTTGGTGAAATTCATTGTGCATAAGATCAGTTAGGAGTAGGGTAGCAGGATCCACCACTTGTGCGTGAATAAAGCAGAAGAAATGTGCACGTTCAGCCATCGGTACCAGAGGTGGAAGTTCTGGAGCCCATTGGTCCTACATCCTCCCACTTCATGGAGGATCCCTCTAGCTGGCCCAGTGATGGGGCCTTGGATCATACATTTAGGAACCTGTTTCTCAGGGAACTACTCCTGCAAGGGGCATGTCAGGGAACCCAAAGGCAGAGAGAGGGGGAGTTTTTCCCAAAATACAAGTGGTTGTTTGCCTGCTTGCTAAAAAATGATGTGTATGGTTGACAGAATTTGGCCTGAGACTTGCTTTCATATTAAGACACCACCTTGAAGCAAAGTTGCAGGAAAATAATCATATCACCCCCTCCCCCTCCCGCCTCTAGAGGCTACCAACCTGTACTAAGAAGAATCTAGTATCTGCCAAACAGCCAAAGTAACATAGGTTTGGTCACTCCAGTTAGTCAAAGAGGAAAGGGGTGGGTTGTTGGGGAGACCATGAGACCAATAATATCACATAACAAGATGTTAAATTGAAACCATTTCAACTAAAACATGATGGGTACAAAATTCCAAAGTGAGATGATAAACCAAAATACAATTTTTCAAAAAAAAATTATTTTAGAACATAAATCGTCAATATTTGATTTTGAAAAAGAATTTGTAGCAAACTGTATTTGGGTATCTGCTTTTATTCTGTGAGCCTCATCTTCCATGAGTCGAAGGAAGGGTGTTCCGCCCCTCCCCTCAACTGTAAAGAGCTTTATTAGAAAGCCAGTCGGCCTGCTGATGTATGCCCCTTGTACATGGGCATGGCTATGGTAGACTAATGTTTGATATGCTCTGTGGAAATCTGAAGGATTTCTGCCATAGATGGCAAGGCAGAAGGAAATGGAGCTACTACTTTGTTGAGGAATAACTATCTCTCCTCTATAGGCAGGCGAAAGGTGCATGAATACTGGGCACCAGATGCTGAATCCATAGCAGGAATGTTAGCATGGGGTTGTTTAAAAAACATCCTGTGGGAAAGGGATTCTGCCAGAAGCCAAGTTACCCCAACAGAATAAGCCTATAAGATGTGGCCTTCCAGAAAACAAACAGGCTGAGGACAGAAGTGGGAAGAATTCACATAAAGGGGAACTTTTGCCTGCATCAAGGGAATAGCAGACAGGGTGATCCAGCAGGAGAGCCACTGAAGTCACTCCAAAGTGTTCTGAAAATGAAGACACAGCTTCACACCCTTGCCAGGCCTAGAGCCCAGAGCCATCTCCCAATAGCGCCAGACAAGTAAGTGCTTCCCTTATTCTTTCCACTCACTCATCTCATGTCTTCTCATGCTCCAATAGTGGAGAGGCCAGAGCCACTATTTGCAAGCCGAGGAAGGAGAAGTAGGGAAATAAATGAGACAATGACCCCACACTTGCTCAGCAGACAGGAGGCTGGCCCTACCTGAAAGAAAAGAGAAAATTTAAGTCTCATTACAGGCCAGTTTTGATTACTACAAGGGACTAGGCATCCTAACTTCCAAAAGAAGACCATGTTTGCTATTTAAGTGGTGGTAGGGCTTTTTGTGAGCCAAGAGTCATGGGCCTGCTGGAGCTTCCATTGGGGTCACCAAGCATATTTAAAGGACAGGGGGAGCCACCTCACATGGGCATGAAAGGAGTCCTGCCCCTGTCACTTCCCTCCTTTGCTTTGATCTTTCACCTTCTCCGCTCTTCTCTCCAGCATTCTGCTTCATTTTAATCTTGGCTTCTGTGTCAGTTCTCTATTGCTGCATAGCAAATTACCGCAAACTTCATGACTTCAGAAAAGCATGCATTCGCTATTGCATGGTTTCTGTAGATCAGGAGTCTAGGCATATCTTAGCCGCATGTCTCTGGCTCTAAGACCTTTCACAGGGCTTTAATCAAGGTGTCAGTCCGGACTCCAATCTCATCTCAAGGCTCCACTGGGGAAGGATGGGATTTAGGACTCATGTGGTTATTGGCAGAATTCAGTTCCCTGTGGCCTGTTGGATTAAAGCCTCAGTTTCTTGCTGGCTGACAGCTGGAAGCCACCCTCAGTTTCTAGTCTGTTGGCAAAAGGCTGTACTCAGTTTCTTGCCATGTGGACCTCCCAAATATGTCTACTTGCTTCATCAAAACCTGCAAGAGTCTTTTTCATAAGACAAGTGTTACAATCTTATGTAATGTAATTGCAGAAGTGACTCACATTGGAGTCATATTGCCATATTCCTTTTGGTTTGAGGCAGGTCCCAGATCTCACCCACATTCAAAGGGAAGCAATTACTACACACGGCATGAATATCAGAGGCTGGGACGATGGGGGGCCATCTTGCAGACAATTGCAAGTTGTCTGCCACAACTTCTATTCTTCAATCCATGTGTATCTCTAGCCTGGGGACAGGGATGGGGGAAATTGCCAAAACATCTTCAGAGTGAAATGTCTATTAAACAAATATACTGCCCTAGTGTTGAGATAAAACAACTCACAGAGGACAGGCCCAGTGAATTATTATGGGAGGAAGGGTCTGCTTCTTATTTCAGTGTACCCCAAACCTTCTGCAGTGTCAGTTTAGAGTGTGCCGCCTAGAAGGAGCTGGGTTTGGGCTCCAGGGAAGGGAAAGGCTGAGGAGATTAAAAAAAAAAAATCCATCCCATCACACTGACTTGTATGATGCACATGCTAAATACCAGGCCTATCTATGCCCTTTATATGTATTATTCAAATAGTCCTGACAACAGCCTCATGTGAAGGTATTCTTTTTACCTGCATTTTACAATTTTTTTTTAAATGAAGGTTTTATAGGTCTCAGTAGCTTGCCCAGGGAAAGTGATGGATCCAGAACTTGAAAGAGGTTTGTCTGCTCTAACCTGGATCTTATCACCATCTTAAAGAAAATGTGGGCACCTAGACAGTGGAGGCAACATGCAACAGCACTTTATTTGGAATCAGAAGAGCTGGGTTCAATTATCACTCAGTTGCCTCTAAACTGAATGACTCTGGGCTCCTTTCTCAGCCTGCTTGGGCCTCACTTTCATGTGTATGAAGAAAATAATAAATTATGTCTCTTCTTCAGGTGAAAAAAAGTACCTTCACCCTTATTTCCCACCATGCACAGAAAATGAACTTAAAGTGGAGCATAGGCTTAATTGTGAGAAACAAACCTGTGAAATTTAAGTTAGGCAAAGATTGCAAACCTATAAAAGAAAAAAGTGATAAACTGGACTTCATAGAAGTTAAGATTTTTTTCTTTTCAAAAGACACCGTTGAGAAAATGAAAAGAGAATGCCATTGTATGGAAAAAAATTGCAAAACATATATCTGATTAAAGACTTATATCCAGATTATATTGCGACCTCTTACAGCTTAGTTATATGGCAAAAAACCCAATAAATAGTGGGAAAAGATTTGAATGGATTCATTACCAAAAACAGATATTGAAATAGACAATAAATACATAAACAGATGCTTAACATAATTCATCATTAGGGAAATGCAAATTAAAACATCAATGAGGCCGGGCATGGTGGCTCACACCTGTAATCCCAGCACTTTGGAAGGCTGAAGGGGGTGGAACTCCTGAGCTCAGGAGTTTGAGAACAGCCTGGGCAACATGGTGAAGCCCCGTCTCTATAAAAATAAATATAAAACAATAAGCTGGGTGCAGTAGTGTGCACCTGGTCTCAGCTACTCGGGAAGCTAAGGCAGTAGAATTGCTTGAGCTTGGGAGGCAGAGGTTGTAGTGAGCTGAGATAACACCATTGCACTCGGCCTGGGTAACAGGAGTAAAACCCTGTCTCAAAATAATAATAATAATAATTAATAATAATGAGATACCACCATATACCTACTATGCCATATATTAATTATGTCTTTAAATCCTTACCAAGACCCTTTAAGTAGGGCTGTTTTTATTCCCATTTCACAGATAAGAATACTTGCTGCCTTAGGTAGGTACTCAAGGTCACAGAGCTAAGGTGCAAGACAGCAAGCTTCAACTCAGGCAGTCTGATTGTAATGCCTATGTGCTCCCTGTGACCTTACTAAGCCATTTAATGTCATCTCCATGAGGGCAAGGACTTGTCAATCTTGTGCACTGCTGGGGCTCCAACACCTAACACATAGCAGACACTCGATATTTGTTGAATGAAAGCCGGCCAGTGCACACTGGGACTCAGTTGGCACTTACTCCTACCTTCACAGAACCTTCAAGTATGAATGAATCATACCAACTTATAATTTAGGATGCCCTTTTATGATACCTTTTATTTGATCTTGGAACACTCCACAACTAGCTTCACGTAGGTCCTCTCCACATTCCTCTTCTCCCTTAGTTCTCCTTTTCTCATTCACTCCTCTTTCTTCTCTCTCTTCTTTTCTTTTCTCCAGTGGCTGGTGTGGCTTTACCTCACTTTGGAGAGGATACATGGTGATGCTGACCTCCAGGGCCAGCTGCTTGGCTTGCCAAGACAGTGTCCTCAGAGACTGTGCATGCAGACCCACAGCCTACCTGCCCTGCCCCCGGGTCCTTGCTCTGTCTTTAGCCAGCCTTTGTGGGCGTTCACTTCCCAGCACTACGAGGGAGGCTGACTGGCCTATTTCCTCCTGACTCAAGGAAGGTTTGCTTGCTGAAAGATTATCCAGTGAGTACCAAATGTTCCTTTTTATTTTTATTTACGTTTTTAGAGATGGGGGTCTCACAATATTGCCCAGCCTGGGCTGGAACTCCTGGGCTCAAGCGATCCTTCTGCCTAGGCCTCCCAAGTAGCTGGGACTACAGGCATGTGCCACTGCACCTGGCTAATGCTCCTTTCTAAGATAAAAACCAGAAAAGTCTAAGAATAGTCCCTGTGAAGGAGGGAGGCAGCAGGAATCCAGGACTGGAAGGTCCAGGCATCACACAGCTAACTGAGGCCTGCCTTCCTCAGGCTGGAAGATAGAAGAGGCAGGACAACAAAGTTTGCTTCCTCTCCTGCTAAGAAGGGAGGATGGGGGTTAAACTGGATTTGCTTTCAGCTCTTGAATCAACATCGAGCGCCCGTCTTGTCTGCCAGACCATATGGTATGCAGAGGCAGACTTGGACTGGGTTTTGGCAGATGGAGGGAGCTATGCTGAAAATGACAGAGTCTAGCAACTGGGGAGGCATGGGGGCTGGCAGGTGAGAACCTCAGGAGGAGGCTGGTTGGGAGCAGGAGGAAAACGCAAGAAGCAGGAGACAAAGCAAAAAGAAATCATTTTCCAGTAGAGAAAAAGGGAAGAAGCATTATTTGTCTTGGAGAGTAGCAAGGACCGCTGAATAAGGATGTGTGTACAGTGCAACACAATGTTTTCCCAGATCTTTTATTTTGCCACATTTGTGTGCTACCTATACTATATTCAGTTAAGATTTTTTCTGTATACTGACTTTTGAAGAATGTAAACAAATTTATTTTAAAAGAAAGGTTTTATCACTGCCACAGGTGAAAAGTTTGTCATAACTGTATGGTAATCCTAAGCATGAATAAAAAGAAAACTTTGTGACGATATTAAATTCTAACCACATACTACAACCTACTAAAGACTGGACTTTCATCTACTGTTTCTTTAAACGAAAATAGAGTATGGAAGACATAACATCATCAAATTCAGCGTTTTTCTTTGATATTTACAGAAAGTTTGAAAAAGAATATGATTTGATTGATTTTGGAGACAGTTAGAAGATAGTGGATAGGAAACAGTACTAACATGCAGCTCTCACTTGGATGGAAGAACAGCATGTGGAGACTCACATTGTGAACTTTTGCAGTGAAACACACCAGGAAAACTGAAAGAGTTAACAGACTCTTTGAAAGAAGTGGCCTGCCACTGCAAACTTCCCAAGACAGCCTAAAAACTGAGTTCCCAAAGTGTGAGGGGGAAATGTCTGCCTCCGTACACACATTCCCACTGGGGAACCTGACAATCCAGATCATGGGAGAAGGATTTAACCTTACATAAAGCTGACATGGATTTAGGGAGTTGAACAAAATATAACAGTAGAAGAAGCAGTGAGAAGAGCCCTGTAGGTACTCCTGGTCCCCAGTTTGAGCCTAGGGAAGCTATTTCCAGCATTATCTCACAGGGCTCGTATGGAAGGCAGCCAGTGGAATTGAGGAGGAGCCACAGAATGAAGGAAGCTCCTAGTTGAACTCTAATAATTGTGACTGAGCATGAATTTTCCGAGCAGAATCTTGGGGCAAGGGTGGGGGTACAAATGGGAAATACTGATACGAGTGCAGAAGTACAGCTGACTATGTGGGCAGGCAGGGAGGGGCAAGGTGTGAGAGCCCTGCTTGCTTTCTCATCAGGGAGGCTCATAGCCTGGGGCAAGATCTCAGCCCTGCTCACCAGCTGTCTGGTGAGCACAGATATAAACTTTGTGCTGTTGGTGGGGCACAGTGGGAGTGAGATAGGCCTTTCTGGCTGTGTGAGAGCTGGGTGAGGCCTGTCACTTCCAGCTTTCCTCCACCTTCCTGGTGACCTGTATTACACAGCAGAGATAGCCATAATCCCCTCGGGAACACAATTTCACTGGCCTGAGAACTGGCCCCCATCCCCCACAGTGATCACAGCAAGCCCCACCCATGGAGAGTCTGAGCTCAGACATGCCTAACCCTGCCCCCACCTGATGGTCTTTCTCTATCCACCCTACTAGCTGAAGACAAAATATATAAACTCATGGAAGCTCTGTGGCCCCTCTCATTGCCTAAGAAACCCAAATACTTATCCAGGCATCTTAGGGTAAGCTTGTATCCCCTCTATACTACCACAGATGATGCTCTCTTGAAAGCCCTACCTTTTGGCTGGAGGTCAACCAACTCAAGCCATGACAGCAACTCAGGACAGAACAACCCTGCTCCAAAGAAGGAGAAAACGACAGCTCATTCCACTGCCTGCAACACCCTGGTGAACCAGAGGTCCTAAGTCTGTCCATGTGACCACTTCACTGCTAGCATAACAAGCATTCCAGAAAACTACTGCACTACACAAAACTACAACTGAGGACTCCCACAGAGTCCACTTCACTCTCCGGCCACCTCCACCAGAGAAGGTGCTGGAATCCATGGCTGAGAGACCCAAAGACAGATCACATCATAGGACTCTCTGCAAACATTCTTCAGCACCAACCCAAAACTTGGTAGCCTGGCAGGGTGGCTATACCCAGAAGGGCAATAACAATCACTGCAGTCTAGCTCTCAGGAAGACCCATCCCTAGGGGAAGACACATCAAGGGATCAGCCATGGGACAAAAGAATCTGAGCAGCAGCCTTGAGTTGCAGATCTTTCCACTGAAACAGTCTATCCAAATGAGAAGGAACCAGGAAAGTAATTCTGGTAATATGACAAAACAAGGTTCTACAACATCCCCCCAAAAATTACACTAGCTCTCCAGCAATGGATCCAAACCAAGAAGAAATCTCTGAACAGCCAGATAAAGAATTCAGAAGGTTGATTATTAAGTTTCTGGATTCAGAAGCTTAATAATCAACCTTCTGAATTCTTAAAAGCTTCTAATTATTAAGTTTTCTCCATATTATCAAGAAGATACCAGAGAAAGGTGAAAACCAACGTAAAGAAATTTTTAAAAAATATAGAATTTGGATGAAAAGCCTCCAGAGAAATAGATATCAAAAAAAAGAAAAGACAATCAAAACTTCTGGAAATGAAAGGCCTACTTAAAGAAATGCAAAATACACTGGAAAGTTTCAACAATAATATCAAACAAGTAGAAGAAAGAACTTCAGAGCTTGAAGGTTAATTCAAAAAGCTTTTGAATTAACCAAATCTGACAAAGACAAAGGAAAAAAAGTTTAAATGAACAAAGGCTCCAAGAAATTTGGGATAATGTTAAGTGACCAAACATAAGAATAATTGGTGCTCCTGAGAAAAAAGAGAAATCTAAAAGTTTGGCAAACTTATTTGAGAGAATAATCGAAGAAAACTTCCCCGTCTTGCTAGAGGTCTAGACATCCGAACACAAGAAACTCAAAGAACACCTGGGAAATTCATTGCAAAAAGATCATCACCTAGGCACATAGTCATCAGGTTATCTAAAGTCAAGAGGAAGGAAAGAATCTTAAGAGCTGTGAGGCAAAAGCATCAGGAAAACTATAAAGGAAAATCAATCATATTAACAGCAGATTTCTCAGCAGAAACTCTACAAGCCAGAAGGGATTAGGGTCCTATCTTTAGCCTCCTTAAACAAAACAATTATAAGCCAATAATTTTGTAGCCAGTGAAACTAAGCTTAATAAACGAAGGAGACAGAAAGTCTTTTTCAGACAAACAAATGCTGAGAGAATTCACCACTACAAAGCCAGCACTACAAGAAATGCTAAAAGGAGTTCTAACTCTTGAAACAAAGCCTCAAATACACCAAAATAGAACCTCCTTAAAGCATAAATCTCACACGGCCTATAAGACAATAGCAAAATGAAAAAACAAAAAGTATTCAGGCAACAATAGCATGATGTATAGAACAGCATCTCACATCTCAATACTAACATTGAATGTAAATGGCCTAAATGCTCCCTTTAAAAGATACAAAATGGCAAAATGAATAAAAAATCCACTAAGCATGTGCTGTCTTCAACAGACTCACCTAACTCATAAGGACTCACACAAACTTAAGATAAAGGGATGGAAAAAGATATTTCATGCAAATGGAAACCAAAAGTGAGCAGGAGTAGCTATTTTTATATTAGACAAGACAGACTTTAAAGCAACAACAGTTAAAAAAGACAAACAGGGACATTATATAATGATAAAAGGATTAGTCCAACAGGAAAATATCACAATCCTAAATAGATATGCATCTAACACTGGAGCTCCCAAATTTATAGAACAGTTACTTCTAGACCTAATAAATGAGATAGAGCAACACAGAAATAGTGGGGGACTTCAGTACGTCACTGACAGCACTCAATAGGTCATCAAGACAGAAAGTCAACAAAGAAACAGTGGACTTAAACTATACTCTAAAACAAATGGACTTAACAGATATTTACAGAACGTTCTATCCAACAACTGCAGAATATACATTCTTTTCATCAGCACATGGAAATTCTCCAGGATAGACCATAATATAGGCCAAAAAACAAGTCTTAATAAATTTAAGAAAATCAAAATTACATCAAGTATTCTCTCAGGCCACAGTGAAATAAAGGTGAAAATTAACTCCAAAAGAAACCTCAAAACTATAAAAATACATGGAAATTATAATCTGCTCCTGAATGACCTTTAGGTCAACAATGGAATTGAAATGGAAATTTAAAAATTCTTTGAACTTGAGGCAGGAGCATAGGGTCTGGGGCAGGGAACCCAAGGATTTCCTAGAACTAAAGCAAATGGAAAAACCCCAACTTTCTACAACCAGGTAAATAACTTTGTAACTCTATTTCAGCTATGACAGGAAACATTCTCTTCATTTGCATAGGGTATACACCAAGTACATAACTTTCTAACTTCACTTCAGCCTCTTCATTTACATAGAGCATACACCAAATAATCAATGGGAAACCTCCGGAGGTATTTAAACCCCAGAAAATTCTGTAATCCAGCTCTTGAGCCACTTGCTCAGGCCCACTCCCACCCTGTGGAGTGTACTTTTATTTTTAATAAATCTCTGCTTTTGTTGCTTCATTTTTTCCTTGCTTTGTTTGTGTATTTTGTCCTATTCTTGTCCAAAATGCCAAGAACCTGGACACCCTCCCCCAGTAACAACCTGAACAATAATACTGACACAACCTATCAAAACCTCTGGGATACAGCAAAAGTGGTACTAAGGGGAAAGTTCATAATATTAAATGCCTACATCAAAAAATCTGAAGGAGTACAAATAGACAATCTAAGGTCACACTTCAAGGAACTAGAGAAACAAGAAAAAACCAAACCCAAACCCAGCAGAAGAAGAGAAATAACAAACATCAGAACGGAACTAAATGAAATTGCAACAAACAAACAAAAAACAATACAAAAGATAAATGATACAAAAAACTTGTACTTTGAAAAGATAAATAAAATTGATAGATCATTAGTGAGATTAACCAAGGAGAGAGAAGATCCAAATAAGCTCAATTAGAAATGAAATGGGAGATATTACAACCAATACCGCAGAAATACAAAAGATCATTCAAGGATACTATAAACACCTTTATGCATGCAAACTAGAAAATTTAGAAGAGATTGATACATTCCTGGAAATATACAATCTTCCTAGATTAAACCAGGAAGAAATAGAAACTCTGAACAGACCAATAACAAGTAGCAAGATTGAAAGAGTAATTATTTTTAAATGTCAACAACAACAACAAAAGTCCAGGACCAGATGGATTCACAGCTAAATTGTATCAGGCATTTAAAGAAGAATTGGTACAAATCCTACTGAAACTATTCCAAAACTTGGAGAAAGAGGGAAACCTCCCTATATCATTCAATAAACCAGTATTACCCAAATACCAAAACCAGGAAAGGACATAACGAAAAAAGAAAACTACGGAACAATATCCCTGATGAACATAGATGAAAGAAATCCTCAACAATACTAGCTAACTGAATCCAACAGCATATCAAAGATATACGCCATGATCAAGTGGGTTTCATAGCAGAAATGCAGGGTTGTTTTAACATACACAAGTCAATAAATGTGATACACCACAGAAAAGAAGCAAAAACAAAAATCATATGGTCATCTCAAGAGATGCAGAAAAAGCATTTGACAAAATCGAGCATCCCCTTATGGTTAAAACCCTTAGCAAAATCAGCTTAGAAAGGACATATCTTAAGGTAATAAAAGCCACCTATGACAAAGCCACAGCCAACGTTCTGCTGAATGGAGAAAAGTTGAAAGCATTTCCCCTGGAGAATTGGAACAAGACAAGGATGCCCGCTTTCACCACTTCTATTCAACATAGTACTGGAAGTCCTAGCCAGAGCAATCTGACAAGAGAAAGAAATAAACGGCATCCAAATCAGTAAAGAGGAAGTCAAACTGTCACTATTTGCCAATAATATGACTGTGTATCTAGAAAACCCTAAAGACTCATCCAAAAAGCCCCTCAATCTGATGAACGAATTCAGTAAAGTTTCAGGATACAAAATCAATGTACACAAATTAGTAGCACTGCTATACACCAACAGTGACCAAGCTGATAATTAAATCAAGAACTCAACTCCTTTTACAACAGTTGTAAAAAATAAAAAAATAAAAATACTTAAGAATATACCTAACCAAGGAGGTGGTAGATCTCTACAAGGAAAACTACAAAACACTGCTGAAATAAATCCGTAACACAAACAAATGGAAACACATCCCATGCTCATGGATAGGTAGAATCAATATTGTGAAAATGACCATACTACCAAAAGCAATCTATAAATTCAATGCAATTCCCATGAAAATACCATCATCATTCTTCACAGAATTAAAAAAAAAAAATCTTAAAATTCATATGGACAAAAAAAGAGCCCACATAGCCAAAGCAAGACTAAGCAAAAACAACAAATATGGCAACATCACATTACCCAACTTCAAATTATACACAAGGCTATAATTACTAAAACAGCATGGTGCTGGCATAAAAACAGGCACATAAGCCAATGAAACAGAAAAGAGAACCCAGAAATAAAGCCAAATACTTAGCTGAGCACAGTGGCTCATGCCTGTAATCCCAGCACTTTGGGAGGCTGAGGCAGGCAGATCACTTGAGGTTCGAGACCAGTCTGGCCAACATGGTGAAAACCTGTCTCTACTAAAGATGCAAAAATTAGTGGGGAGTGATGGTGCATGCCTGTAGTCCCAGCTACTCAGGAAGCTGAGGCAGGAGAATCACTTAAACTGGGAGGTGGAGGCTGCAGTGAGCCACGGTCATGCCACTGCACTCCAACCTGGGCAACAGAGTGAGACTCCATCAAAAACAAACAAACAACAAAAAAACCCCACCAAATATTCATATCCAACTGATCTTGAACAAAGCCAACAAAAACATAAAGTGGAGAAAGGATGCCTTCTTCAACAAATGGTGCTGAAATAACTGGCAAGCTCCACATAGAAAAATAAAACTGAATCCTCATTTCTTACCTTATACAAAAATCAACTCAAGATGAACCAAAGACTTAAGTCAAAGACCTGAAACCATAAAAATTCTAGACCATAATATCAGAAAAACCCTTCAGACATTGGCTTAGGCAAAGACTTCATGACTAAGAAGCCAAAAGCAAATGCAAAAAAAAAAAAAAAAAAAAAAAGAATAAATGGGGCTTAAGTAAACTAAAAAGGTTCTGCACACCAAAAGAAATAATCACCAGTGTAAACAGACAACTTACAGAATGGGAGAAAATATTTGCAAACTATGTATCCAACAAAGGATGAATATTCAGAATCTACAAATAACTCAAACAAATCAACTGGAAAAAAAAACAAATAATCTCTTCAAAAAGTGGGCTAAGGACATGAATAGACAATTCTCAAAAGAAGATATACAACAGGCCAATAAACATATGAAAAAATGATCTATATCACTAATTATCAGGAAAATGCCAATCAAAACCACAATGTGATACCACCTTCCTCCTACAAGAATGGCCATAATTAAAAAATAAAAAAAAAGACATTGGCGTGGATATTGTGAAAAGGGAACAATTTTACCCTGTTGGTGGGAATGTAAACTAGTACAACCACTATGGAAAACAGTATAGAGAGTCCTTAAATAACTAAAAGTAGAACTACCATTTGATCCAGCAATCCCACTCCTGGGTATCTACCCAGAGGAAAAGAAGTCATTATATGAAAAAGACCCTTGCACATGCATGTTTATAGCAGCACAATCGCAATTGCAAAAATATGGAACCAGCCTAAATGCTCGTCAATAAGTGAATAAAGAAATGTGAATAAAGAAAATGTGGCATATGTGTATACCATAGAATACTACTGAGCCATGAAAAGGAACAAAATAATGGCATTTGCAGCAACCTGAGTGGTGTTGGAGACCATTATTCTAAGTGAAGTAACTCAGGAATGAAAGACCAAACATCATATGTTCTCACTTATAAGTGGGAGCTAAGCTATGAGAACACAAAGGCATAAGAATTACATAATGGAGTCTGGGGACTTGAGGAGGATGGTTGGGAGGCAGATAAGGGATATAAGACCACACACTGGTGCAGTGTACACTGCTCGGGTGATGGGTGCACCAAAATCTCAGAAATCATCACTAAAGAATTTATCCAAGTAACCAAACACCACCTGTTCCCCCAAAACTATTGAAATAATAAAAATAAAAATAAGAAGGATGATGTTTCTCACTGTGCAAGCCAATGTCATTTAATGCAGCAATATATCAATGATGCAAGTTTTACTAGAACATTTTGGAAAACCTGTGGGATGGGGCAGAACAAACATAGCCCTACGCATTAGAAGATGAGGCTTCCAGTTCTCTGCCACCATCATTGGGTCATCTTTGATATGTTTTCTTATAATGAGTCTCAATTTTCTCATCTGTTGGAAGGTATGGAGTTAAACTTCCCAAGAAATAGTATTTGGTTTCATCTTTCGGAGTTAAGAACAATTCTGAAGTTTGATCCAAGTTCAGTGGGAAAGAATGCCATGATAGATAGTAATGTCTGCCATAGGTACAGAGCTGGAAATGGTGAGATGCATGTTAGTTATCTGCCACTCTTAGATTAGAAAATCTCTAAGTTACCCCCACAATTCTGACAGCCTGTGATTATATAATTTAAATACTCATCCAAGAGCATGTTTGGCTTGCTTATTTGCTCATGACTGATGGCAAATTATGAAACAAGACAATTTTGGTAAGTAATAGGCCAACAAGTCAGTTCTGCTCAATAAACACTCATCTAGCACTGTATTATGCCAGGCTCTGAGCTGAGAATGCAAAGATGAATAATAAGACTTAGTCCCTATCTTAGAGGCGCTTGCAGTCCTAAGCAGTGTGTGCAGGGGGGTTGATGACAGAAACCTAAACAGATGTCACACAAGTTTCAATATGATGTAATAAGTACTGTGCTAGAGGTACATGTGGAGTCCTGGGGGACCTCAGGGCACAGTCAAAGGATTCCTAGAATCATATCCTGGCCTGAGGGATGATGAAGTTATTCTGGAAGTTCTCAGAGATTCATGGGATTTCACTATTTTAGGTTGAATTGTGTCCTTCAACAACTTATATTGAAATCCTAAGTCCCAAGACCTGTGAATGCAACCTCAATTGGAAATAGGGTCTTTGCAGATTATTAGGGGTTGAATTGTGTCTGCCTCACTATCTGTCCCCCGCAAAAATATAGAGTCTTAACCTCTGATACCTTAGAATGTGACTCTATTTGAAGATAAGCTTTTTACAGTGGTAAGTAGAGTAATAAAGTTAAAATGAGGTCATCGGGGTAGGCTCTAATCTGCTATGACTGGTGTCCTTAGGAAAAGAAGAAATTTGAACACAGAGAGAGACATGCACATGAAAAAGGTGATGTAAAGAGATGAAGGAGGTGACAGCCATCTATAAACCAAGGAGAGAGCCTGAAACCTTTCTTTTACGGCCCTTTGAAGGAACCAACCCTGCTGACAGCTTGATTTTGGATTTCTAGTCTCTAGAACTTAAAGACAATAAATTTTTGTTGTTTGAGCCACCCACTTAGTGGTACTTTGTTATGGCAGCCCTAGCAAACTAATAAACAGATGTAACTAAGTCAAAATGAGGTCATATTGGATTAGGGTAGGCCTTAATCCAATGTGTCTTTATAAAAGAAGGAAATTTGGACACACAGAGACACACACAGGGAAGAATGCCATGTAATACTGGAGGCAGAGATTGGAGTGATACTTCTACAGGCCAAGGAATGCCCAGCACTGCCAGCAGCCACCAAAAGCTAAGAGACAGGCACAAAGCAGACTCTCCCTTAAACCCATTAGAAGGAACCAATCTTGCCAATCCCTTGATTTCAGACTTGTAGCCTCCAGATAACTGTGAGAGAATAACATACATTTTAAGGCACCCACTTTATGGCTATTTATTATGGCAGCCCTAGGAAATGAGTGCACTGACCCTGTCCGTATCTTGCCTGCTCCTTCCACCCCATCCCACCCCAAATAGCCTCTTGTTCCTCCTTCTTTGGGAAATCTGCTCACAAAATAGGTTATACAGGCTACCAAAATGAACACCATGTTTGTCAGACGAAAAGGTGAGAAGATTGTAACTTTGAGATATTGGCCTGTGGTTTTCCCATGGTATTTTCCATAACCACAACCTTCCTCCCCTCCGTGCCACATTTGGACAGGTGGGTGCCAGCTCTCATTGCTTTGGAAGAATGCACAAATCAGGTCTTGGTTTTGAGGCTAACAAGTAAAGCTGAAGAGGTCTTATGATGGGAAAACAGGACAAAGCAGTGACCTGTGTAGGCAAATAGCCAGAGGTTGATGAGGACAGGGCCCTCTCAGTGCATGTCTCCTGAGTGCCAGGCTATGGCACCAAGATCAGCCCTCCTCAGCTCACTCTAGCTTGTACAGGGCCACTAAAGCTCTGACACAATCCAGGGAGATGGAGGTGAGAGAGAGACATAGGCTTGACTGATATTGCTTCTACTATTGGCAGAATGGGATGTGTATGGGAGGACAGTGTGAGAAGAGGGACAGAGAATACAAATGAAGTTCAGTATAGAGAGCCAAAAGTGGCATTTTTTTTTAACTCTCCAAGGTTGAGCATGGAGATATGTACCTGCTGCAAGAATGTGATTTTTTTCTTTCCCTCGAGGGGAAATAAGCTCAAACATGACTTGCATATTTGAGCTTTTATTTTTTGGTAAGTTTATTGAAGTATAACATATATGCAAATCAAAAGTATATAGCACAATTAATATTCACAAAGTAAACTTTCCTGTGCAACCAGCACCCACAGCAACAGAACATTACTAGCACTGCAGAAATCGTAGTGCCCCCCTCTTAATCACTAATCCCCCCCAAACGGTAATCATCTCCTGACTTCCAACAGATTAGTTTTTATTGCTTTTAAGCCTTATATAAATGGAGTTAATCAAAATATACTCGTTCATGTCTGGCTTCTTTTGCTCATCATGTTCATGAGATTTATTTATGGCTTCGCACATAGCTATAGTTCATTTCATTCTAAGGCGGCAGGTGTTTCATTATATGAATATACTAGGATTTATCTGCTCTATTCTAAGCAGGCATTTGGGCTATTTGCAGTGTGCATAGAATGCTGTCATGAATGCTCTTGTACATGTCTTTTAGTGCACATGGATGGGCATTTCTGTTGAGGATAATCCTAGAAGTGGAATTGCTAGGTCTTACAGTACATGTGTGGTTCAGTTTTAGCAGACACTGCCAAACAGTTTTCCAAACTGGTTGCACTATTTACACTCCCACCAACAGTGCATGAGGGTGCCAGTCTCTCTATGTTCTTCCCAACATTTGGTATTGATTATCTTTCATTTTGGCCATTCTAATTTTTGTTAGGATTTTAGTCAGCATGTTTGGAGGGTGAACACAAGTAATGAGGAGCTAATTTCAAGACTCTGCAAGGCTTTTTCTAAGTAATTTCCAATTTTAGGTAGCCCAATCCCTTCCTCCTCTCTGTCTTTCTTAGCCCATTTGTGTTGCTATAAAGCAGTACCTGGGACTGGATAATTTATGAAGAAATGAGGTTTACTTGGCTTATGGTTCTGCAGGCTGTACAAGAAGCATGGTGCAGGCATCTGCTTCTGGTAAGGACTTCAGACTGCTTCCACTAATGGTAGAAGGTGAAGGAAAGCAGGCATCACAGAGAGGAGAAGAGAGAAAGGGGAGGAGGTGCCTGGCTCATTTAACAACCAATTCTCGTGGTAACTAAGAGTGATAACTTATTCAGTCCCACGAGAATGGCACCAAGCCACTCATGAGGGATTTGACCTCGTGATCCAAACACCTCCCACCAGGCCCAATATCCAACATTGGGGATCATATTTCAACATAAGATTTGGAGGCCATAGTTATCCAAACTATATAACCCTCTTACAGAGAATTTTAGAAAATAGGGACAACTCTGTTCTTTACCATTGTAGAATATTGCAACTGAAGAGGTCCCCTTCAAGATCATCTATCTCACCTCCCCATCATACACATGAGAAAACTAACCAAGCAGGGGAAAGTGAGCTCTGAAGAATCTTCTTGCCAGCTACTTCTCAGGTGGCAGGACTAGGACTAAGGTACCCATGATGAGTCTACTGCTTTATCTGCCTCCTTGTGCTATTTC
Organism: Homo sapiens; assembly: GCF_000001405.40. Taxonomy (NCBI): domain Eukaryota; kingdom Metazoa; phylum Chordata; class Mammalia; order Primates; family Hominidae; genus Homo; species Homo sapiens. The sequence continues at coordinate 159,632,232 of NC_000005.10, forward strand.
TCCATTATAACTTCTTCCAAATTTCACTGCCAAACCCAACAATAGAGGATATTCTTTGGACAGTGTGACAAGTACATCTTAGCCGATGTCTGGACTGTCACTCACCCGTGCAGCCCATCTCTTTGGGTGGGAAGGACAATGATGGTGAGGTTTCTAGACAGAGTGAATGAGCTGCACTTCCCAGCCTTGTAGCCTGCCTGCAGCTTGCGGTAAGATTTGCATCTCAAAGCTTCCAGAAGCCTCCCTAAATTTCATTTCTTACCAGCCTTGGCATCTGCTCTGTAACTCTGTTGTCCTAGTTCCCAGACAGAGCCATGACATTACACTGGGGTAGAATGTGGTGATTTATGCTTTTTCTTTCTTTCTCTCTCTTGCCCTCTCCTTCTGTTTATGCATCTTTTTATGTCAGTAAACTGGTCTAGTCACTTTTTCCTATGTGGGCATAATAACAACACTTACTGAGTGCTTACTATGTGCGAGGCATTGTATCATTCAATGCTCACAATAGCCCTTTGAGGCTGGTATCACTTTATCCACATTTTCTAGGCAGAGCATGGGAGCCTTTGAGAAGTCATCTTGTCCAGACCCACTGTGAAGTGGCTGAGCCAGGACTCGAACCCAAGAAGTCAGGGCCACACTCTCAACCATGACTCCGCAGCCTCTGTTACTGGGAACTATTATCATGGGATTGAGTAGGGAGAAAATGCTGGCTCAGGGCATGCCTTTCTTTAAGAAAGCCATATAAAGGAAAATCTGAAGCTATAAAGCAGACGTGTTTTCTTGCAGAAGGAAAGCAGTTCAAACCCAGAGCTCCACCGGGAGCACTTAAGTGTGTTTTCACAGAATTTACTACTTGACTTGGGGGCTTGGCAGAGTCAGAGAAACTCAACCAGAGTGTTAGGGAACTTCTAGCCTACAGTAATCATTGGGAAACCAGGATAAAACATCTCTTCTTTGGAAGAGAGCCAGAGAGCTGTAGATTTGGGAGCTACTTCACAGGCAGGAATAGCTACAGGTGTACAAGGTAGTAGGGAAAGGAAATTGAGTTGCACAGGGCAAATTCAAGAGGGCTTCCTTTCAAAAATGGAAGTATACCTGCCATTCTTTTCCTGGGAGTAGAGAGGAGCCTATAAACAGCGTTAAGGTGGGAGATTCAAAAGGAAGAAGTCAGATGTACATCTGGCTGTGATGGTGGACTGGAGAAATAGATCAACTTACATTAGGGAGAAGGATGTTTAGAAAACAGGGTCAAGAACCTATAAAAATTTATGTGGAGTCTTAACTGAGGGTAGAGGTCAGTGTTGAAAATTTTGATTTTAAACATCTGAATCCTGCTTCCCACAGTATCTCTCGTGTCACTGTCCCCACGTTTCTGCCTAAAACCTTCCAATGGTTTCCCATTGCCCTTAGAATAAAACTCAAACTCTATACCATGACTGATCTGGCTCCTGTCTGCTTTCCCAGCCTTTCTTCTGTCACCCTCCCCTTTATTCCTCCAGCTGCAATGGTCTTGTTTCTTTTCCTTCAACATATTAGGCTTCCTCCTGACTCGAGTCCTTTGCATTACTCGTTCCTTTCCCTGGAATGCTCTTTTCTGGTTCTTTGCAGGACTGATTCCTAGTCTTTCCAGTCTCAGCTCCTAGGGCAACACCTTAGAGAGCCTCACATTTATCTGATGATCCTGCTTCCTTCGTAGGATTTATCATCATCTCTAATCACCTTGTTTACGTATCTCTTAACTTTTCTTTTCCTTTTTTTTTTTTAAATACAGAGTCTCACTGTTGCCCAGGCTGGAGTGCAGTGGTCTGATCTTGGCTTACTGCAACCTCTGCCTCCTGGGGTCAAGCTATTCTCCTCCTTCAGCTTCCTGACTGCTGGGATTACAGGCACATGCCACCACGCCCAGCTAATTTTTGTATTTTTAGTAGAGATGTGGTTTTACCATGTTGGCCAGGCTGGTCTCAAACTCCCGACCTCAGGTGATCCACCCGCCTCAGCCTCCCAAAGTGCTGGGATTACAGGCGTAAGCCACCATGCTCGGCCTTCTCTTTGTTTATTACTTGTCTTCACTCACTAGATTTCAAGTTCCAACAACAACAAAAAAAGTGTGTGCATGTATGTGTGTGTGCACGTGTGTGCGTGTGTGTGTGTGTGTGTGTATGTGTGTGTATTTAGCTCAAAATCATCAGCACCTAGAACATTGCTAAGGATTTCTGGACATTTGACATAACTTTGTTGAATGAATGAATGAACTACTGGTAGAACCAGACATCTCACTAACCATGAAAGGAATATTCAGGCTTCTAGTTTCTACTAATAAACACCAATTATAAAATGAAATAGTGTCAGTCATTCTTTGAAAATCAGTGTAAGTCTTCTCTAATGATCAGGAGTACCACACATCACAGATCTAAAACTATCAAATAAAAGATCTTAAATGCAGACCATAAAATTGATTTCTGAATGACAGTGTAAGGAGCTTTGTGGGCCTACTACCTAGTGAAACCAGTGAAAATTATTTAAAGCAAACATTTACAGCCTTCGAAAATGGCCCTAAGGGCATATAACAAATGAAGAAACACCTATTCAAGACAATCTGTGAAAATTCAGTAAGAGCCAGGCGTGGTGGCTCACGCCTGTAATCCCAGCTCTTTGGGAGGCCGAGGTGGGTGGATCATGAGGTAAGGATATGGAGACCATCCTGGCTAACACGATGAAACCCCATCTCTAATAAAAATACAAAAAAATTAGCCAGTCGTGGTGGCACGTACCTGTAGTCCCAGCTACTCAGGAGGCTGAGGCAGGAGAATTGCTTGAAGCTGGGAGGTGGAGGTTGCAGTGAGCTGAGATCACGCCTTTGCACTTCAGCCTAGGCAACAGAGTGAGACCCCATCAAAAAAAAAAAAAAAAAAGGCAAGAAAGAAAAGAAAAGAAAAAAGAAAATTCAGAAAATCCAATAAGAAAAGTGAACCAAGTATTGATATTTGAACAAAGACTACTTCCTTTATCCTCTCTCCCAACTCAGTGAGGTGGAAATTCTACTCCAGACTGGTGCAGTCAACACACAAGGCACCTTCTATCCCCAGCTCCCTGTCCGGGGCTTTCTTCCTAGGAGAAACAAGACATCGGCATTTCTCATCCTGCCCCCAGCTACCTGTCACTAAGGCTAAGTCCTAAGTTAGTGTGGTCAAGGAGTTGGGAAGCTCCCTTGTCCTACCCATTTCCCACTCATGAAATGAAGGTCTAGCTTGGACACAGTGTGCTGAGAATACTGGAGCACTGATTGCTCTCGCCTTGGGTTGTAAGTTGGAGATTCCATGCCAGAAGAAGCAAGTAAGAAGACCTTAAGTTACTGAACCCCCTCCAACGAATGCTCAGCTCCTAAAATTTCTCTACTCCCAGCTCCAGAGCTCTGGTTCAGAAATTCTGCCTGGGGCAGAAACAAGCCACACTACAGATAGCTGCTTCTCTCTTCCCAAAGGAATCAACTTTGCTTGCCACAGAGTGTGAAGAAATTGAGATCTACGGGTGCTCTCAAAATCAGTGGAGGTAGGTGTGAAAAATTATTTGAAAAAATAGTGGCTGAAAATGCCTCCATTTTACTGAAAAACACTAACCTATACATCCGGGAAGCTCAATGAACTCCAAGTAAGATATACACAAAGAGATCCACAAACAGATAAATCATAGTAAAAATGCAGAAAGTCAAAGACAAGGAAATAATCTAAAAAGTAGCAAGAGAAAAACAACTTTCTTACAAGGGAATCACAATAAAATTAAAAGTTGACTTCTTAGCAGAAACAATGGAGACCACAAGACAATGGGATAACATATTCAAAGTGCTCAAAGAAAAGAACTGTCAACCAAAGATTCTATGTTTAACAAAACCAGCTTTCAATAATGAAGGCAGAAGAAAGACACTCACAGATAAACAAATACAGAGAGAAATGTGTTGCTAGCAGACCCACCTTATGCAAAAGGAAGTTCTCTCCACTAAGGGAAGTTATTCAGGCTGAAAGCAAGTGACTCCAGATGTTAATTCAAATACCACCCCCTGCAACACACACACATGAAAACTGATAAACGTTATGTACTTATAAAAAAAGTATAAATGCATATTTTCTCTTTTCTTCTCTTAACTGATTCAAAATAAAATGTACAAATAATATGTATATAAGATATTATTGGGTCTATAACATATAGATATGTGATATATTTGTAATATGTTTGCCAATACAGTACAAAGGAGATGAGTGGTAGTAGATCTGTATTGGGCAAAAGAAATGACTACAGATGGTAAAGCAATAATTATAACAATGTAGTGTTGGGTTTCTAACATTAAGATGCAATATGAATGAAAATAATATCACAAAAAGGGAAATCAAGCTATATATGTAAAAAAACATTGCTATGTATCACTATAACTAAGCTAGCATAACTCTGAATCTAATTGCTATAAGTTAAAATGTATATGGCATACCCTAGGGTATTCACTTTGGAGAAAACTCAAAAACTAGTAAAACAGTTATTAAAGAAATTTAAATGCTTCATTAAAATTATTCACTTAATGCAAAGAAAGTAATGAAGGAAGACTAGGGAGACAAAAAACACAAGACACATAGAAAATAAAAAGTAAAATGCCAGACATAAATCCAATTATATCAATAAGACTGTAAATTTATTAAAGAATCTAATCAAAAGGCAAAGATTGTCAGACTGAATAAAAAACAAGATCCAAGTATGGGCTATCTACAGGAGGCACATTATGGATTCAAAGATACAAAGAAATCAAAAGAAAAAGAATGGAAAAAATATACAATGCAAACAGCAACCACAAGAAAGCTGAAGTAGCTATATGAATATCAGACAAAATAGATGCTAAAATGAGAAATGTTACTAAAGACAAACAGAAATATTTTATAATGATAAATGAGTCAATCCTTCAGGGAAATATATCAATCATAAACATATATGCCCCTGATAATACAACACAAAATACATGAAGCAAAAACTGACAAAAAAAGGCAGAAATAAATAATTCAACAATAATAGTTGGAAACTTTAATACTTCATTTTAACAATGGATAGAACAACTAAGCAGAAAATCAACAGGAAATAGAAGCTTCCTAACAATATTACAAACCAACTAGACTTAATAGACATCTACAGAATAGTCTACTCAAAAACAACAGAATGTACATTATTCTCAAGTGTATAAGGAATGTACTCCAAGATAGATCACATGCCATGTGAAATGAGAAATTAATAATGGAAAAAATTTAGGAAACTCACGGTAAGTGGAAATTAAAAAATATACTCCTACATAACCAGTGGATTAAAAAAGAATCAAAAGGAAAATCAGAAAATACTTCAAGATGAATGAGATTAAGACAAAACATACTAAAACTTATGGGATGCAGCTAAAGCAATGTTCAGAGGAAAACTTATAGTTGTAAATGCCTATGTTGAGAGAGAAAAAAAATCTTAAATCTATAACCTATCTTTTTACTTTAAGACACTAAGAAAAAGAAGTACAAACTAAACCTACAGAAAATAGCAGAAAGATAATAATAAAAATCACAGTTGAAATTAATAAAGTAGAGAACAGAAAAACAATGGAGAAAAAGTGATGATGCCAATCTAGTTGTCTTAAAATGTCAACCAAATTGACATACTTTTAGCTAGGTTGACCAAGAAAACAAGAAGACTCAGATACTAGAATCAGAAATGAAAGGATATCAATACTCACCTTGGAAAACTAAAAAAGATTATAAAGAAATATTATAAATCATTGTATGCCAATAAATTAGATAACTTAGATTAAATAGAGAAATTTCTAGAAAGACTGAAATAACTGAAACTTACTCAAGAATTAGACAATCTGACTAGACCTATAATAATAAGTCAAAAGATCAAATTAATAATAAAAATAATAAAAACCTACCTACAAAGTTAAGCCCAGGTCCAGGTGGCTTTCCTACTGAATTCTACTAAACATTTAAAGGAGAATTAGTACTATCTCTTTAAAAGTTTCCAAAACTTTAAATATTTTCTAGAAATTTAAGTATTTATTTAATGATTTTAAAGAAAAAGATCAGTATTACCCTAATATCAAAGCCATACAAAGACATCACAACAAGAGAAAACAAGAGATGAATATCTCTCATGAATAGGGGTGTAAAATTCTCAACTAAATACTAGCAACCTGAATCTAATAACATAAAATCCAGGAAATCTAATTTTCAGTCAAAACAAGGAAAATTTCTATTTTCAATGCAGTTCTGCCTCCATTTCTGATTCACAAACACACTTCCCAGGAAAGTAAGCCTCTTCTATAAGTATACATCTCATGCTAGTGTGCATGCAGCTTGAGAAGTCAGCTGCATGGAGAGGAGCTGGCAGAAATAAAAATTTTTCTGAAAAATTCAGAGAAAACAACAACTGTAATGTACATATCATTTTGCACAATGGCCCTTGGCCTCAGAAAATTATAGGGAAAGAACATAGATGATGTGAAGAAAAATAATATGAAGAAAATTAATTTTTGTTGGTTTTTCAGACTTTCTTGGAAGAAACAGTATTTCTTTCCTCATATCCATTCATGTTAAGAATTCCTAGGATGTCTCAAGCACACCCTCAATAATTTACAATTGTCAAGCCACAATTTGTAGACACTCACAACTTTAAATTAAAAGGAATTCCTAGAGAAAAGTTATAATAATTAGCTCTCATATTTGTGTTGTTTCAGTTAGGATGTTTTTGTCCATAAATAATAGAATATCAGATGAACAGTGGCTGAGACAATAAAGTCATTTATTATCTCACCTAGCAAGAAGCCTGCATGTAGGCAGTTCCTGGGCTGTTTCATCAGCTCAACAATGGCACTAAAGATTTAACATATTTCTACTTATTTCGTCATCCTTAACTGTTGGAGTTTTGTCCTCATGCTCATTGCCTTGTTATCATAAAACGGAAGCTACAGCCCTAGACATCACATCTGTGTTCAAGGCAGGAAGAAAGAAGAGATAACACAAATAAACTCTTCATTCATTGGTATCTTTTATGTAAAAAAACACAACAAATTTTTTTCCCCAAAGACTCTTGGCAGACTTTTGCATATATAGTTGACCCTTGAACAACATGGGGGTGAGAGGCACTAATCTCCATGCAGTTGAAAATTTGTGTATAACCTTCAACTCCCCAAAAACTTAACTGCAAATAACCTACTATTGACCAGAAGTGTTACCAATAACATAAATAGTTATTTAACACATATTTTCTATGTTATATGTATTAAATACTATATTCTTATGATAAAGCAAGAGAAAAATAAGACGTCATTAAGAAAATCATAAGAGAAAATATATTTACTATTCATTAAGTGGAAGTGGATCATCATATAGGTCTTCATCCTCATCATTGCCACACCGAGTAGGCCAAGCAGGAGGAAGAAGAAGAGAGTTGGCTTGCTTTCTCCTGGGGCAGAGTCAGGAGAATATCCATGTATAAGTGGACAAACAGTTCAAACTTGTGCTGTTCAAGGGTCAACTGTATACGACTAGACTGAACTGGGTCTCACAGCCATCCCTAAATATGAGTAAAGCTGGAGAAAAACCTGATTAGTAAAAGTGAAAGGCTGCTAAGATTGGCTTAAAACAACCATGATCTAGTTCTTGAAACGGAAAAAGTACTTCCTTGAACAAAATCAGGATTCTATTAGGGAGGAAGTTGAGAATGGCTGTTGGTTGGGCTCCTCACAGTGTATGCCACAAATGCCATGTAATGTTCTTTTCCCTGAGCTATTTTCCCTTCTATCCAATCCCATTCTTAGAGTCTCCCAAGGAGTTAGATAGGTTCTGTGTGTCACAGATAAGTAAAGTTAGACTCTAGTAAGTGAGCGGCTCAGAGTGCTCTCCAAAGCTTTCTAAAATATTTCTCAGAATGAAAGCTTAATTCTGTGGTTAAATTCTTTTGAGGAAATACTATCTTTAAAACATAGAGCACTTAAGCATCTCTTATAAGACAAGAGGTGTGCTAGATGCCTTAGATGTATTATCCAACTTAATCCTTTCAGCAAGCAGATGACATAGGTCCTGTTATGATCATCTTGTTTATGTAGATAAGCAACCCAAGCTTTTGATAGGTTAAATAACTTTTTCAATGACATACTAATGGTAGCAGTGGCTCATCTGGAGTGGCTGCTGCCATGATGCCATCTGCAGTGGGACAGGTGCAGCAAGGAGCTGGGAACAGGCAGAAACCCCACCCTATTCCAAGTTGGCAGGGTAGGAGCCTCGTGCTCCCTGAGTGCAGCTGCAGCTGCCCAGCTATGGTTCCAGACCCAGGCATTCTCATGTTCTTGGGGGCCAGGAGCAGGCAGGAGCCCCACCCTTCCAGATGCAGCTGCAGCCGCCCAAGTTGTGGCTGCAGACCCAGGCATTTCTGCACTCTCGCTCACCCAGGAAGGCACAGCTCACCCCGTGATCCCCACAGGCTTGGAAGTGCCTGCTCCCACTGCCTGGCCTCTCCCAGCTCCTGGCAACTGCTCCAATCTCGGAACAAAGCTGAGGCTGAGTTTGGACACTGTTGCAACCCACTGGGTGTGTGTACACTCAGGGCAGCACTGACTCTAGACTTTGGGTGCCAATGTGCGTGGGAGGGAGGCTGGCAGGGGGGCGGGCTGAGGGCAGCTTGGCGCTGGCCTGCAGGTGCCCCTCAGCACAAACTACCTGGGTGCCATGAACAGCCACAGGAGCCAGACAGGCTCCAGGGCAGAAAGGGGTGGGTCCGCAGTGAAGCCCCACCTTCAAACCCAGGAAGGCCTAAAGACTGGAGGCCAGGCTGCCAGTCCAGTGGAACAGAGTGGGAATTTATGGTGCTTTTTCCATGCCCGCCCATGGTTGTCCGTGGACCAATCAGCACATACTTCCTTCCCTCTGAAGCCCATAAAAAACCCAGACTCAGGGAGATGACAAGATGACCAGCTGCAGAAAACAGCTACCTACTCCACGGTCTCCTCTCTGCTGAAAGCTGAACACTCAATAGGATGACCTGCCTGCAGAAAGGACCTACCCACTCCAGGGTCTTCTTTCTGCTGAGAGCTGAATACTCATCAGGACACCCTGCCTGTGGAGAGCAGCTACCCACTGCAGATCTCCTCTGAGCTCTTCTGTTGCTCAATAAAGCTCCTCTTCACCTTGTTCATCCTCCACTTTTCTTTGTACCTCATTCTTCCTGGGTGTAGGACAAGAACTCGGAACCCGAAGAATGGCAGGGCTAAAAGAGCTGTATCACAAACAGGGCTGAAACATGCCCCTTGCTTGCTATGTTGCAGGTAGCAAGAAGGAGAAAAGAAAGAAGGAAGGAAGAGCCCTTGCTCTTCGGGGAGTCTAGGCCTAGGAGCTCCCTAAGCCAGGGCTGTGACACTCTCTTTGGGGCTCTGTGGTTCCTGGAATCTCCAAGTTTCTGGGTGTCACCACGTTCCCCAGTGCCAGCTGTGGGAGCTGCTTGCTGTATGCCTGGTCCAGCCACAGCCTCTCAGGGAGCTGGCACCCTCACCAGCACCTGGAGCTGCCTGCCCCGCCTCAGTCAGCATGCCTGGCTGTGTGCAGTGGCCAGACCCCATGCTTGCTGGCTCATACACCCCTCGCCATTCCACTCACCCTTGGCAGGCATAGGATCCAGGACTGTAGTGTAAGCCAAGCACAGCTTACCAGGCTGAGTGGGCAGAATGAGCCCAGTGGGCCCGAGCAAAACTCAGGCAAAGGTGTCACTGGCCACAGAGGTTTCCAGCTGGAAAAGCATCACCCTGAGAATCTCGTGACAATGCCACTGGTCAGTGGTAGAATCATAACGCAGATCAAAGGAATCTCTTTCCAAAGCCTACATTCTTTACCAAAGAGTGCTGCAAAAAGATTGCCTTGTCTCAGGACTTCTCAGATCCAATTCCCATGCATTTTATTTTAGACAATGCATTTACAGTAAATACAGTAAAATGTATTGGATGCATTAGAATCTCCAAGAGAAGGATCTAAATGATTGATCAGAGAACTCTATTCACCGAATGTCTAGGAGGACTTTGAAGGACTAGTGTCCTGAGTAACACACTTCGGAAAACACTGGTGCAGTGAACAAAATGTTGAACCGTGAATTAGAAAACATGAGTTCCCATTGTAATTTCCCAACCCAGCAAACCTTTTTCTTGTAGCTAATTCCTATTTGTCTTTCAAAACGTCAACACTGCATTTCAGCACCTTTTCTCTAGGTAGATTTTCTGGATCTCTAGGTCTGATTTTAGTGTCTTTTCTATGATTTCATATTGCTCCATGTAGTTGTTCCCACCAGGGGGCAAATGTCCCCTTATATTTGTCAATGTATGGGGACATTTGGCAATGTATGGGGATATAGTTGGTTGTTATAACTGATGTGGAAGACAGTGCGCTATTGGCATTTAATGAGCAGAGGCCAAGGATATTCTGAACATTCTACAATACACAGGACAATGCCCTCACTCCCACCCTAAGCCCACAGCAAAGAATTACTCAGCCCAAAATGCCCAGAGTGCAGAGGTTGAAAGACTCTTCTCTATAGGACTTTTCACACTGCCTGAATCTTGTATTTTCTGTGTGTGTTGGTCCCTCTTTTAATTGTCGACTTCTCGACTAGAGACCAGGGCTTCTTAAAATTTACTGGGCACAAACAGGTCTCAATATTTCCTGTTGAAGGAGAGAAGTTAGTAATAGATTTTAGTAGGTGCATTTGGAGGTGTCTACCTACCTCATAGCCTCCCATTCTCGAGTTCTACCACACATTACATTGGTGGGTCCTAGCAGCCATGTCTATACTACACAACTCTATTTCTTTGTTCTAGTCGTTGAAACAGAGGTGGACACTGATCCTCACCTCAGTCCATTATATTTTCTCCACAGTGAATTTAGAATTAATACTCAGAGGCACTAGTCTCCAGTGGCTGAGGGCTATAGAACAGCATCTTTGGCATAGTGAGTGATAAAATCTGGTAAATTCCAATTGTCTGCACCTGCAAATAGGTGTAGACATGTGAGAATTATTAGATTGATGCAAAAGTAATTGTGGTTTTACCATCACTGTCAATGGCAAAAACCGTAATTACTTTTGCACAAAACTAATAGCATGCTACAAATAGTAACCTTGGTTTTCACAGTGGCTTTCCACTGAAAAGCCATTGCTGGTTCCACGGAGCCCATGTGTTCCCCCTTGCATGTTCTGAGGTTTCATTTCTTTACTCCTATACTAAATTCCCTCTGTTTTATTTTGGTCTGAGTGAGTTTCTGTTTACATAGAATCAAAGAGTCTTGATTAAGATACAAGTTGGAAAACATATCCCAATGTTCTTAACTTTAATATAAGATTCTTCCTTCTCCCAAAACATGAAAGTTTGAAAGAGAAAAGAAATAGTGTCAGAGAGTCTATGAAATGGACCTAGAAGTCACCTCTGTCATACCACTTTCAGTGTTCTACAAAGGGTAGCTGGAAAGGCCATTCCTATTTTTAGATGAACACCCAGAAAGGGTGTCTAATGCCTGGGGGGGCTTGCTTTAGACTCTAAACTATATAATGTTGCACAGGCATAAATTCTCCTCTGTAAATGAAAGGCATTACAATCTACTTCAGTTTCAATACGTCAAAAGAGGCCCGTGGAGACAATTATTTGCTGAAGGGGCACATGACCTTGTTGGACCTGACATTTATTTTGTCTTCCTTTGAAAATAGTTAAAATTGCATAATTGATATTTTGCACTTCTAATCTTTTGCTTCTTGATGACTACCACAAAGAAATAATAATAACAGATTAAATCTGGCTGTTGTCTTGAAATAGACTTTGTATTTTTCCCCCCTAAAGGAAAACAAATAGAAAACTAGCTGTACAATGTTTCAGGGATACAGCCACACAAGTGTAAAGTGTTCCTGATCACCTCTAGCTGTGATGGCCTGGAAAAGCACAGAAACAGCAGCTACAGTTGCTGGTCCAAGCCCAGCCATCTTCAAGTTCAAGTTCTTTGCCTGGCTCGAAGTTTGGCATGAGGACAGATTTCTGTCAATGGTGTGTTTTCTAGTACAAGGCTGGCCATTTCCCTGAAGTGGATCTATCCTCTGCTTGTTCCTTGACCTCCTCCCAAAAACCTGGGAGAGTTTTCTAGATAAATAGCTATTATATTCCCCCACCAAATTTGTCCTTGATTTACCCAGCATGGATGCCAAGGAACATTTACACGATGAATTAAGACCCTCTGAGATCATCACTGCTCTTCTTCATGGCGGACTGTATTTGCGGGAGTTTGACTACACTTTCATCAACACCAGCCATTTGTTCTTTCCTTTACCTATTAGAATTTCACTCATACTTTTTTTCCCTTTCTGGGCCTACTCATTATTGTTTCCAGATCACGAAATAATTTTTCGCAATCTGTTTTTCTTTGGTGACCCCCAGTTCCAAACACCTTTCTTTTTGGTGCTAGTTGAATTATTATTTTTTTATCTTGTTTTTTAAGAGCCTTGATTTTAGGCTATAGACTTTCACTGATGCAGCCTCTGACACAAGAGGCTGTTTTCTGCTTCCTAAAGCTCCGGTGTCAGGCTCAGATGTGGAATAAAGAGTTTAAAGCATCTTATTAACTTGGTAGTCAAACAATAATCTCAGATTCAGAAAATTTTCTATCTGTATGAAAGGATTTCATATATTGATTTTAAAAAATAGACAAAAAATAAGCTGATTCCTTGGATGTAAGGCCAATAATCAGAGTCAGGATTTCTCTGACTCTCTGGAAACAAATCCCATGCTAGCTCACTCACATTTTTTCCCCAGAAGCCTGTATTAGAATGTGGAAAGCAGCAGGGGTGGGGGGTAGAAGAGTCTGTAATTTTAATGGGACTGCAGAGACCACTTTGAAATATTGAACACCTCCATGAGAACAAATATTACAGCTTCCATCCGATGTCATAATCACTGTTATCTTTAAGGATCCAAGTGTGTAGATGAGTTTTCTTGACATAGAATATGACTAGGTCCTTCAGGATACTGCAGGATGTCATTTGCAGGTCACAAATGACTCCCTGCTCTGCGATTCTTCCATGAGCCGGGGCTTTGATTTCAGTGTTCCTTTTCTAAAGCCATGGCCATTGCAGCCGGGCAGTGACTCAAGCAGATGGCTGATGGTGACAAGCCTACTCCGATTGGTAATAAAAATACCAGAAGCTACACTACATTGTGTACAAATACGTGAGGCTATTGCTGATTCCTTTGTATCTCTAGATTCTATTTAGAGAACGAGTTGATCTTTTGCATGCAGAACCCTCTCAGAATGAACCATTGCACCAGGTGTATTTGAAGCATCTACTGCCTTTTGTGAAAGTCAGGATTTTTTTTTTTTTAATTAGGCTTCAAAACCACACTCTTACCCTCTAAGGTTTCTGGCAGACTACCCATGATTTGGGGTTGGGGAAGAGAAACCATCAGAGGCACTCCCAAACTGAAAGACTAATTTAAATTGTGTTGTTTCTCTCTTCTCTTAAGAGATGTTGCTAATGAACCCCCAAAATGGGAAAGTGTAGAATTAGAGGCAGAGGTGGGAGTGAGGGTAGAATGTAAACACTGAGTAATCCATTCCCTAGGTAATGAGTCCAGGAATAGTTGAGAGTCGATTTTGAACTAGGCAGTCCCTGTGGTTGCTTTGCTTAGTTTATTAGATTGCTTCTCAAACCTTTGAACATCAGGATCACCTGGAGAGCTTTTATAAAATTACAGCTTCTGGGATCCCACCCTCAGAGGGTCTGATTTAGCACATTTAGGCTGGTGCCAGGAAATCTGTATTTTTGAACAAGAACCTTGGTGAGTCTAACCTGCTACTACTGCATCACAATGTGATATTAGTAAGTCTGAAAGTCTCAGGTCCAATTGCAAATCCAAGTTAGCTAAATGCTCATGTTGTGGCCTCTATCTGCCAATCATGAGCATTCTGGTAAATGGGGTGAGAAGCAGGGAATGGAAAGAAAGGATAACAGATGAGAGATGGGAAGGTCCATTGTCCAGTCCTTGCTCCAACATTTATTAGCCATATGACCTTGGGCAAATGTCTCTGAGAGGCTCAGTGCCTCATCTGTAGAATGGGGACCATAATTCCTGCCTTGCTTACCTCATTGGGTTATGAGGACCAAATGAGAAATAACTTTGTAAAACATTACATGTTAGAAGTAACAATATTTTTATAGAGAAGCTGTATTTTTATTCCCTTGGATCTAATGATGGCACAGTCACACTCAGAATCCCCAGACCCAAATACCTTCATTCAATAAATCAAAGGACATCTGCTCTAGTGCAAGGGCTGGTTCCCTGAACACAGTCATTGTGGCTGGGAAGGCAGTGGTTTTCAGAATCACCAGCTGCATATGGGAAATGGGAAAACGCTGGGGCTCCTTCCTGATTGAGAATCTCTGCAGGTGGGTGGGAATTTGCCATTGTAATAATGCCAGAGATCATTCTTAACATATTAAAAGTGAAGGAGTCACTGGGCATGGTAGTCACAAAGGCTGGGAGTTTCAGAGTTGAAGGTGACTTTGAAGGCCTCTTTCCTACTTCTTTTGGCCCTTAAAAAAAAAGTGTCTTGGTGCCCCATTCTCTCCTTCCCCACTCCTCCCTCCACCCACCCTTCTCCTCTATCCTATTTACTCTTTTTGCCTCCCCTCTGCCTGGTTCAACTACATACTCCTGAAGCCTTTGCCCTCTGCTTGCCTTCCTCTATCAGAACTCGTTTCCTTCCTGCCAGGGCTCAAGCTGACTTTCCCCAACCAATTTCACATGAAGGGGCCAGTTACAGCTTCCAGCACTCTCAAGTCTCAGTTTCTGTTTTTAAGCAGATCTTTTATCACTTTATCAAGGCGTTCCTAGAGAAATTCCAAAAGAAGAATATCCATCATCTGTCCCAGGTAAGTGAGGAATATACTGTGGGACAAGGGCCCCGTTCCCCAGCCTGTGTAGCCATCACAAGTCAGGCCAGCAGGTCCTCATACCTGACAGCCTGATTCCCAAATGGCCAATTCCTGGACTCCTTCATCCTCTACCATCTCTTACCCTCCTCTACTTTCCAAAGCAAGAAAACAGGGTGTTTCCTTTTTGCATAGGAAAAGCCTCCTTCCCCTGGCCTGTCTTCATCCTATTACCCAGCTCCAGATCTCGGATCGCGACCTAGATTTACTAATGCCTCCAATTCATTTTCCAGGGAGCTGGCAGCTTCCCTCCTGGTCAGGGCCTGGCCCGGGCCTGGCCCATGGAGCCCTATTCTTCTGTTTGCTGATTTCTGCTGCGACATTCGGCTCATAATATCAGAATTATCAAGGCTGATGCTTCCCCAAATAATTATTAATAAGAACCCATTCCATGAGTTTTTTGTTCTAGGAAGGGAGTTGTCTTCAACATATATATATTTGTTTGTTTGTTTGTTTTGAGACGGAGTCTCACTCTGTTGCCGGACTGGAGTGCAGTGGCACAATCTCGGCTCACTACAACCTCTGCCTCCCAGGTTGAAGCGATTCTCCTGCCTCAGTCTCCCGAGTACCTGGGACTACAGGTGCGCACCACCAAGCCTAGCTAATTTTTATGTTAGTGGAGACGGGGTTTCACTTCAGCCAACATTTTAAAAGATTGTTTTTGCTTGGTTTGAGGAATGGTTTTTTTGAATTTCTTTCTTTTAAATTGAGAGGAAGAATAAAATAGACCCGAGGGTAAAAAGATAAAGATGGGAGGTAGGGTTGGGGAAAGACTAGTATTTTAGCAGTCCGCAGTGCGGGATGGGAGATGGTCAGCCTTCCAGCTGGGGAGAAACCAAAGTCAGGAAGCCAAGGGTGAGAATCCCGAGAACTAAGCAACACTGAGACTGGCCAGAATAGTCACTCTTTTACTGTACGCTATGTCTTACAGAAATACCTTCAGAAAGAATAGGTTGAAAAAGCCCTGCTGGGCTGGGCGCGGTGGCTCACGCCTGTAATCCCAGCACTTTGGGAGGCCGAGGCGGGCGGATCACGAGGTCAGGAGATCGAGACCATCCTAGCTAACACGGTGAAACCTCGTCTCTACTAAAAATACAAAAAATTAGCCGGGCGCGGTGGCGGGCGCCTGTAGTCCCAGCTACTCGGGAGGCTGAGGCAGGAGAATGGCGTGAACCTGGGAGGCGGAGCTTGCAGTGAGCCGAGATTGCGCCACTGCAATCCGGCCTGGGCTAAAGAGCGGGACTCCGTCTCAAAAAAAAAAAAAAAAGAAAAAGCCCTGCTGCACCTCATCAACATCTAGAACAGGGGTCAACAAACTATAGTCCACCCCCTATTTTTGTAAAGTTTTATTGGAACAGAGCCACACCCATTAATATTCTCTACAGCAATTTTTACCTTACAACAGCAAGAGTAGCTGTAACAGAGACCATATGGCCTGCAAAGTCAAAAATATTTACTATTTGGCCCTTTACAGACAAAAAGTTTGCCAACCTCTGGTGTAGAATGCTGTATCCTATAATGCACCACTTTACAAACTTGTTTCCTTAGCAACAGAATGCATTTCTGTGAAAAATATTTTAAATGTGGAAACCCACGAAAAAGATAAGTGCAGAGAAGAGACAGCAGTCACAGTCCCAAGACCTCAGCCTTCCCTTTGCTCCCCTCTCCTAATGGTGTTTCTAAAACCCAGGGTTCCGTGAAATCGAGTTTGAAAATAGCTTCAGAGCACATGCTTTTTGAGGGCAAGACACTGCTTTAATTTCTTATGTGTCTATTTAGTAACTGGCAGCTAAAATACACTCAAGTTTGACAGATGAGGGATGAAGTGCTTCTAGTCAAGACCCAAATCCCCATGGCTGCTGTTGAACATCTTTCTGTCTTCTGTCATCCAAACTCCCCTCAAGAGTGACTCACACCCACTGTCTTCTCTTCCTATACCTTCATGTCACTGGCTTTTGACTTTAGCCCCATTGCTGTGCTTGAACTGTTGTCACCAAGGTCCCCAGTGATATCTTTAGCTACTACAGGACATGGGCATTCTCCAGTTCTTCTCCTCAGGTGACCTTTTGAGCATCTGACAACTCCTGGATCTCACTACCCCTTTGGGTTCTTTTTTCTAACACCTTAGTTTAAATGTATTTTATTTTACTTTTAGTTGACAAATAATAATTGTATATATTTATGGGGTGCATGTGATGTTTTGATACATGTAGACATTGTGGAATGATCAAATCAGGCTACTTAACATACTCATTACTGAAACTTTCCTTTTTTGTGATGATAACATTTAAAATCCATTCTTTTAGCTATTTTGAAATATATAATACATTATATTAACTGTAGTCACCATACTATGTAATAGAATACCAGAACCTATTCTCCTGTCTAATGGAAACTTTGTACCCTTTGGCAAACATCTCCCTTGTCCCCGTTCACATCCTCCTGCCACCTTCTATTCATAGAGTAAGGGGTTAATATCTAAAATATACAAGAAACTCAAACTACTTAATAATAGGAAAACAAGTAACCCTATAATAAAATAGGCAAAGGATCTGAATAGACATTTCTTGAAAGAAGACATACAAATGGCCAGCAGATCTATGAAAAAATTCTCAACATCTTGAAGCATCAGAAAAATGCAAATTAAAACCACAATGAGATATCACCTTACCACTTTTGATCAGCAATTGTAAAAAAGATGAAAAATAAAAAGTGTTGGTGAGAATGTGGAGAAATGGGAATGCTTGTACACTATTGGTGATATTATAAGTTAATATAGTCATTTTGGAAAACAGTATGAAGATTCCTCAAAAAGCTGAAAATAGAACTACAATATGGGGCGGGCACAGTGGCTCACACCTGTGATCCCAGCCCTTTGAGAGGTCAAGACAGGTCGGTCAACTGAGGTCAGGAGTTTGAGACCAGCCTGGCCAACATGGGGATACCCCATCTCTACTAAAAATACAAAACTTGGCCAGGCATAGTGGCTCACGCCTGTAATCCCAACACTTTGGGAGGCCGAGGCAGGTGGATCACGAGGTCAGGAGTTCAAGACCAGCCTGGCCAAGATGGTGAAACCCCATCTCTACTAAAAATACAAAACTTGGCCAGGAGTGGTGGCTCACGTCTGTAATCCCAACACTTTGGGAGGCCAAGGCAGGTGGATCACGATGTCAGGAGTTCAAGACCAGCCTGGCCAAGATGGTGAAACCTCGTCTCTACTAAAAATACAAAAATTAGCTGGGCGTGGTGGTGGGTGCCTGTAATCCCAGCTACTCGGGAGGCTGAGGCAGGAGAATTGCTTAAACCCCAGAGGCAGAGGTTGCAGTGAGCCAAGATCGCTCCACTGCACTCCAGCCTGGGCATACAGCGAGACTCTGTCTCAAAAAAAAAAAAAAAAAAAAAAGAACTGAACTATGATATGATCCAGCAACTCCACTTCTGGGTATGTATCCGAAGGAATTGAAATGAGTATGTCGAAGTGATGTCTGTACTGTCATGTTTACTGCAGCATTACTTATAATAGCCAAGATATCAAAATAGCTGAAGTGCCCATCAATTGATAAGTGGATTAAAAATGTGGTCTACATACATGACAGAGTACTATTTAGCCTTTAAAAAGAAAAAAATTCTGTCATTTTCAACAACCTGAATGGACCTAGAGGACATTAAGCTAATTGAAATAAGCCAGACACAGAGAGACAAATACCACATGACCGCACTTACTGTGGAATCTGAAAAGTCAAAACTCTTGGCTTCTTGTTACTCCACAATCTCCAGGTTATTTTTGACTGTCTTTGGCCTTTGCTTCCCTGTGTCTGAAGTGAGCTCCTCTTTCTCTGACCTCTTCTTAAACGAAGATATACTTTAAGCATTGACATCATCTCAAATCTAAATCTAAATGTTGAGTGCTCACAAGTTTCTATTTCAAGCCCAGGCTTACCTCCTAAGTTTCAGACTCATTTATCTAACTCTCTGCTAGATAACTCCACCTGGCACTCCAAACTCAACCTGTCGCAATTTGAACTCACCATATTCCTTACAGCTGATTCCTCTTTGGAATTCTCTCTGTCACTTGAGGATACCATCATCTGGCCAGTTGTTGTCAACTACAACCCTGTGACCTTGGCATCTTAAATCAAACAACCAAATTCTACCCATTTTGTGATCTGAGACTTCTTGGCTCCATCCCCTGTCTCCCTCCCTTATTATCTCTCTCAAGATGGCTATAGCAGCCTCCTACCTGGGCTCCTGAATCTTGTGCTGTAATCCATTCTGCATTCTGCAGCTACAGGAATTATGCCAGTCACCATCCCCAACATTCACATACCTGTAAGCCATCTATGGCTTCCCAGTGCACACAGGGTAAAGGCCAGATCCATGGTGATGGCTTACAAGGGCCTACAAAGGCTGGTCCTTGTTTGTCTTTTCCTGTCTCATTTTCTATATTCTCCTTCACTCACTGCCTCCCAGCTATACTGATCTCTCTATTTGTCAAACATGCCACGCTTCTTCCAACTAGAAAGGCTTTATCCATGTTGTTCCCTCTGCTTGGTGAATAACTCCTATTCATCCTGTAAATCTTAGCTCAAACATCACTTTCTCTGGGATGCTGCCTTCCCTGACCAAAAATAAAATATAGTCATCATGGGATCCTAGGCACCATGAACGTCTCCTTCTTAACTCATCGCAGCTATAATTTCACACTTGTTTTTATAATTATTGCTTAATATATATATTCACTTACTAGACCCTAAACTTCAAGAAGGCAGGAGCCAAGTCTGATTTTTCTCTTAGACATATCCCAGTAGCTCCCCCAGTTCTGCATATCCACAGCCCTTAGCACAGGGCTGGCTTCTGAAAGTACAAATAATTACTGTGTGAATTAAATTATTTACTGTTGTGGTTTGAAGGAATGCTCTAAAACTCATGCTGACACTTAACCCCCAATGTGGTAATATTGAGAGGTGGGAACTTTAAGAGGTAATTAAATGGTGAGGGCTCTGCCCTCATGAGTGGATTAATACATTCATGGATTAATTGATTAATGGGTTATTGTGGGAGTAGAACTGTTGGCTTTATGAAAACAGGAAGAGAGACCTGAACTAGCATGCTAGCACACTCAGCCCCCTCACCATGTGATGCCCTGCACCACCCTGACAATCTGCAGAGAGTCCCCACCAGCAAGAAGGCTCTCACCAAATGCAGCCTTGGATTTCTCAGCCTCCAGAACCGTAACAAAAAAAAGTTATTTTCTCTATAAATTACCTAGTTCCAGGGATTCTGTTATAAGCATCATTAAACAGACTGATATACTTACCTTTCATCCAGACTTGTTCCCCTGAAATCCACCCTGAACACATTCTACCTAAAATACCCATGAGACCTTGTCCCTGCCCTGCCCTTCAGTGGCTCCCCTTGGCCTGCAGGATGAAGTCAAGCTTCATGCTATACAAGCCCCATCACAATCATTACCACTCTCTAGGCTCATCTCTGCCCTCGTTGCTGGGCACATCATGCTCCAGAAGCCCGGTTCTGCTTCCTGATTTCAGCACACATCACGCTATTTCACACCTAGGACGGCTGCTCCTGGGATGTAATTCACTGGGATTCACCAATTGTTAATGTTTTAGCACAATCACTTCTTCTCTCTCTCCCCCTGTATGTGTGCATATGTGTGTATGTGTATTTGGGGGAGCATTTGAAGCCATCATGGCACTTCACCCCTGAACGTTTCTGAAGGTGTCATCTAAGAACAAGGTCATTCAATTTCATCACCACAACGTAACTGTCACATCTGGGAAATTAAGCATTAATATAATACTACTCTAAGGACCGTATCCCTAATTATCTAATTAATGTTATAGTTTTTTGTTTTGTTTTGTTTTCTCTGATATCTCATCTCATCCTCCCTGCCCCTCACCCATCTCCAGTCTACATCTGGTTTGCTGACTCTACTTCCTTTTTTCCGCAATGATTTCAGAAAGGGCAGAGATGACCAGTTGTACACCAAAACCTGTTTCTTCTTCTTCTTCCCCAGCACACAGCTTGACCTCATTTCTGAGCCTCCCTTGAAGCTGTGTATGTGACTGTATGGCTGAGTTCTAATGACAGAGGTGGGTATGATTCTCAGGCCACGGTTTTTATGAAGCAGCAAGTTCTTGTGCATGCTCTCTCTTTTGTCAGCTCAGTGCCAACGATGAAGACAAGCCTTTAGGGAGGAGTGGAACCACAAGATAGAAAGAGCCGTGGGTCATCATATCAATGGATGGAAGAGAGTCTCATATCAAGCAGGAACACCTGCCTTGGGTTTATAGGTAGGTAACAATAAGCTTCTATTATGTTTGAGCCATTTCACAATTGAAGATCTATTTGTTATAGCAGCCAATGTCACCAAATGTGGTTAATATTCTTCTATAGAAAAGGGACTAGATGGATTTTCTTATCTAGAACCTCTTACCTTAAGAGAAAATGAGAAGTAGAGGAGAAGCCTTGGGCATGATTTTCTAGGCAGAAGTCATCCCAGGAGCTAAAGGGAGGAGAAGGAGCATGGATAGATGTAAGAACTCAGTGTATGGAAACTCCATCCCCAGATCTCTGTCTGCTAACATGCGTGAGTGTGCTTGCAACTAGTTATACCTTTGTGCAATGAGGATTCCATTTAAATCTTAAGGAGCATTGGAGAAAACAGTTAACACAGAGACTGTTTATGAATGCAGAACGTCTAACAAAGTGAAAAGAGAAAATCTATAAAAGTTTGCTTTAACAATGTGAAAGTAAATGAATAAATAATTATAGCCATTATGTAAACTTCTCATTTTGTCTAATTACCATGCAACACAACAATAAGATTTATCATTAAATATGTCAGATTCACTTTGTTGTTCATTCATTTGATCGCAATTCCAAATTTTGTTCTTGAATGTACAGCCTGCATTGTTTGTTGTTCATAGCTGAAGAAATTAGAGGAAAACTTACTCAACACTCAGCTTTATAGCTGAGGAAAACTTGAGAACTTTTCATCAGCATCTAAATGTTATGGTTCTTCATAACTTGTTTTAATTTTCGACCATGTGGACTGAATTGGAAGTAGGCTGAAAAGTGAGAAATGTTGCTGAGCCAGACATCTCAGGCTTTTGATGGGTCCTCTGGTTCCATCCAGTCTGGGGTGCTGCATGCCGCATTCCTGCTCAGTTAGATGAGGCTGGAGTTTGTCAATTCCAGAGTCTGACTTCACTTCCAATCCCTGGACATCTCGGTATATCTAATTAATTGCATGTATATTATTTGTATATATTAATTGCTTAATAATATACCAATGATGCTAAAGTGCCCCAGCAGAGTTATTCTATGTGAGCAGAAATGGAAAATATTCAACACTTCAACACCATATAATGCTAATAACATAATATAATTATAACATAATAACAGCATCTGACACTTACATAATTATACATAATAACAGCATCTGACACTTACTGGGCATGTACGTGGTGTCAAACACTGTTTTACATCTCAGTGTATCTTTATAACAATTCCACGAGAGAGGTAGAGTGGTTCACTACTTTCCAACCTTAAAGTTTGAGGGCCTATGGAACTTGCCCAAGGTCTCAGTCCCCTGGTAACTGTTGGAAGTTCTCATTCATTATTTTTTCTTACAATATCCTGAGATAATGTCAATCCTGGTATAGGCAAAACTGTGAAGTGGGGGAATTTGTGTTCACTGCTCTTTCATTGCTCTTTGAAGAATTTGGGAATATGGACGTTGGTTTGGGGTTGAGTGGGAGGGCTCATTGGTTTGGGGTTGGGTGGGAGGGCTCACTGTAACAAGTTATATATATACATATTATTTACCATGTATATATTTTGCTGAGGCCAACCCAATTCTCAATGAGCCTATGATCTAGTTGAAGAAGGCTAAACAGTCAACAGGCAGTTGCAATCCAGTGGGATAAGTGCTGTGATGGGAGAAGTTAAGACTCTGTGGAAACCTCTAACCAAATTCGAGGGCAATCAGGAAAGGCTTCCTGGAGAAGGCATCTATGTTGAGGCCTACAGGACAGGAGGCAATAAACCAGAAGGAGTGAGAAGACAAGAAAAGAGGGTTCCAGGCAGCAGAACCAGTACAGCTGTGTAGATGAGAAGAGACTGGCGAACAGGTGTTGACAGTACACTGGCTTCATCAGATAAGCATCGAGTGCTCCTTTCCAGAAACTTTTTCCTTGCCTGCTACAGTGCCTGATTTTCTCAACATTGATCCATTAACAAACAATTCTATCAATACATCTATAGCATTTATTACTTATTTACTACACAAAGCATTGGGTAAAGAATTGAGAATTCAAAGAACTCTGAGACCCTGCCTCTGCCTTCTAAGAGTTTTACTGAGTGCGGGTGGGGTTGGAACATTCTCAGAGAAAAAAGAAAAATGTAAATAATAAAGCAGGTTTTTGAATAAGAGGAAGAAAAATGCCATGGTGAATCACTCAAGCTTTGGAGTCAAACCTTACTTCCACCATTGACTACCTAGGTGACCTTGCACAAATTACTTACCTTTTTGATCCTCAGTTCTCAATCTATACAATTGGAATAATAACACATCATTTTCAAGACTGTTGCAAGGACTAAACAGTTAATGCTTGCACGGCACTTAGAGCATGCTGCTCAGCACAGAGCAAGCTCACAATAAATGTTTTAGCCATTATGATATTACTATAATTAATTCACCACATAAATACTTGAGTGCCTGCTCTGTGATGCCTTTCCTGCTTTTTACTTCATGCCCTTTTGGCTCCATGCCGTACCAGCCATTGCCCTAGCACCTGTCTCTCCTCTTTCCACTGGATTCTTCTCTCCAGTCAGCATCATCTGGTCAAAGAAGCATAAACCATGAGCTCTGGAAAAACTGGTTTGTCTGTCTCACAAGCAGGCCTCAGAGTTCCCTGGGCACCTCTCTAAATCTCCCTGGACTGTTTGTCTTACCATACAGGGAGACTATTCTCTCCTGACCGACTGCAACCTTCTGTTCCCACTCACATAGCAGTGAGTTATATACAACACAGGGACATCTCTCACTGTGTTATGATCTACTTCTATCTATTACTAATTCTATTAACATTTAACATTTGCTGAGCCTGTATTAGGTACTGGAAGGAGTTGACAAGGGACTTGCATAGGATTATTAAGTTGGGATGAAACATCTAGCCTTAAACCATTATGGAGTGCATGCTCAAATAGAATCAGCAATCAAAAGCAGTTTTTTTAAAAAAGACTAAAATCTAGTCAATTTATGTATTTACCTACTTGTTTACTTATGGCCAATGTTGATATCTCCTGTATTTCCAAACCCAGTGCCAGGGAAAACTGGAACACCATTAAGATAAGCTGGAAAATGACATGGGAGAGCAGGCCTGATGATGCTGGTGGGACATGGTAGGTTTAGAGTTGTGGACAAGTTAATTTCAGGGCCATCCAAGGCACGGTGTGCAAGTGAAAATGTCCAATCAAGCAGTTGGCAATTTGGGAATAGAGTCAAAGAGAGGGGACAGGCAGCAGTAGATTTAGGCATCCTTCCCAGAGGAATGGCCACCCCTTAAATAAAAGTCTTCTGGGGCCGGGCGCGGGTGGATCACGAGGTCAGGAGATTGAGATCATCCTGGCTAACATGGTGAAACCCCGTCTCTACTAAAAATACAAAAAATTAGCCAGGCATTGTGGTGGGTGCCTGTAGTCCCAGCTACTCGGGAGGCTGAAGCGGGAGAATGGCGTGAACCCGGGAGGCAGAGCTTGCAGTGAGCCGAGATCGCGCCACTGCACTCCAGCCTGGGCAACAGAGCGAGACTCTATCTCAAAAAAATAAATAAATAAATAAAAATAAAAGATAAAAGTCTTCTGGGATCAGAAGTCCCGGTGAAGGGGCGAATATTTTATGAGGGTTTTGGTAACACTTCACCAGGGGTACTTAGACTTCTTTGCCAAAGGTTAGAGAAAGTGGACTAAGACCCAAGGGGTCTGGGCTGCAACCCCCGGCCGCTTATCTTTGAAGTCTCTTGTTTTAAAACATCGTGTGAATTTTTCATTCCATTCCACAATATACAAATAAGGTTTTAAATTACCTTTGAGTAAAACTGACATTGCAGTATGACAGGTGGCATTTAGCCTGCGGCTCCACATAGGATAAATTATTCTGAGCACACATGCATAGAAGGAGCTCACACTTCAGCTTGAGACACAAGGCATTCAGCGAGGAGCAGGAATGCCACCATCAGATGAGCTGGAAGGTTTGCAAGGGAAGCCCTAGAGGGAGTGGAACTCCAGACCAGGGGGTTTCGATGAGGGTAAGACCACCTGGAAAGGTCTGGTTGCCAGGAGGGTGTAAGGTGGAGGGGTCACCTGGGTGATCTCAGGTCTTGGGGCTCTATATGATGGGATAAGGACCTAGGAAGGGATAAAGAAGTGCTGGGAGGCCAAGCATTGGCAGTGCCTGTTGACTATGGGTAGAAGGCAGGGAAACTGCCTGGGACTGGGTGATCAGGGAGCCCTTTGCTTTGGGATTCTGTAAATGAAGGACTTTGGGAAGTTCTCCACGGGGCCACTAGCAGGCTGAGATTTCTCTCCTGAGTGGAAACAGATTGCCAGAGCTTCAATCCCACAGCATATTTCACTGACAGATTGGGTGCGATTTTTCCCGAGATGAGGGCGTTTCAAAAGCAGAGGAGGAAAGGGAGGCTGGGAGGGGAAGGTGGGTGGGGGAAGACAGCTGTCAGCTTCAGTGTGGCTTCAGGACAGCTCTTGCAGATGTGGGCAGAGCAACAACTGCCAATTTCCCAAGCCTCGGGCGATTCTCCAAATCTGGGGTCACAGGAGGGTGGGGGCAATCCTGATTGTACAAGAGGGTCCTGAGAGGCTTTGGGGACACAGAGCCTAGCTTCAGGGTGGGCTCACTTTGCATGTGAAATGAACATAACTCCTTGTACCAAATTAAACCAATTTGATCAAAATTTGTAATGCAGAGGAGCATAATTAAATTGAAGATTTTAATTAGGCACAGTTTTGATGAAACTTAACGGGAGCCGGCAGGAACAGTCTTGCTGTCTGCTAAACATAATCCTGCCTGGTGAAGAGCTCTATAGTTGATGATCTTTAATGACTGCCCAGCTCTCAGCTTCGTAGATGGTGTTGCAGTCAGTTTGGAGGAGGCCGGGGAGGTGCGAGCAGACTGGGGGAGGAAGAAGTGAGGTGGGACTTGCATGCGCAGGGAGGTGTCTTGTCTCTTTCAAAGGAATGCTGCTGCTAAACTTTCGGGGTACCCAATTACTCGCTTTTCATCTGCCAAGGTGGAGAAATTCATAGTGGAGAATTACATTGAGGGCTGTTTTACAGTAATGAGGCAGGAAGGAGAGGGCAGGGCTCGCTCCTGGATTGAGAGGGCCTCTGCGGGACTTCTTTGCTAATTGCTTTGTGCCTCTCAATTTCACTTCACAAAGCTTGAATTTTCCCTTGGCTCCCAACAACAACAAAACACAATAAAAGGCCTCTGGGAACAGAGAGTGGGGAGAGCCCTCAGCTTTCAGGACTAGATGCTCAGAAGGGCCTGGCCAGGATCTGTTTCCCCAGCACAGTATTCAGTATATAGGGGAGATAGTAAACACCACATCACTGAAGGGATGAAGAAATGAACACAACAGTAAATGGATAAGTCATTTACCCTAGGACTCTCCTGACAAAGAGAAAGAGTTAAAAATATGAGCCAGTTGGTCGGGCGTGGTAGCTCACTCCTGTGATCTCAACACTTTGGGAGGCTGAGGCGGGTGGATCATGAGGTCAGGAGTTTGAGACCAGCCTGGCCAACATGGTGAAACCCTGTCTCTACTAAAAGTACAAAAATTAGCTGGGTGTGGTGGTGGGTGCCTGTAACCCCAACTATTCGGGAGGCTGAAGCAGGAGAATCATTTGAACCCGGGAGGCAGAGTTTGCAGTGAGCCAAGATTGCACCATTGCACTCCAGCCTGGGAAACACAGCAAGACTCCATCTAAAAAAAAAAAGAAAAAGAAAAGAAAAAAAGACAAAAAAGAACCAGTAATGTTTGCTGCCTTTTAACAAAAAGTACCTGTACTTGAAGAAGGAATCTTCCCCTCCTTTCTTCCTTTCTCTCTCCTTTTCTTCCTTTATGCAACATATGTTTACTGAGGCCTCACTGTATGGTCAGCACTTTACCAGGCTCTATATTCTGGCAGATCCTTAAGAGTCCAAGTTCCTTCCTGCCCTCATAGATCTAGCAGACTAATGCAAGAAACAGCAGTGGGCACATATTTATGATTTATAAGAAGCTTTGTGTAGGAATAACAGAGAAGTCATACTTTGGTTTAAATCAGGGATCAGCGAGTGACAGCTGAGGGCCAAATCATGCCATTGTCTATTGAAAATAAAGTTTTAATGGAACAGAACCATGTCCATTCATTTACATATATTCTATGGCTGTGTTTGCTACAATGTCAGAGTTGAAGATGGGTAGTTGTGACAGAGACCTCATGGCCTGCACAGCCTAAGATATTTACTATCTGGCTCTTTATAGAAGACATATGCCAACTCCTGGCTTAGATGGTCAGGGCAGACCTCTCAGAGAGGATGAGGTTTAGCTCAGATCTGGAGGAGAAGTTTAGCTGGTTGAGGGGTTCCATACCCTGGGGTTGGTGGGGAAAGAAGTGATGGCCCTGCAGTGGGGATAAATGTGGGGTGTTCAAGGACCTGGAGGAAGGTCGGTTTGATTGGAAGATGGTGATGGGAGGACACAGGGCCTGGATGAGATGGAAGAGGAGGGAGGGCCATTTTATTCAGAACCTTGTAATCTAGCTCCTGGAAAGGGATTTGGATAAGATTCTGAGTGCACTGGAAAGCTCCTGGAGGACTGTAAGCAGGAGCATGTTCTGATGTAATTTTTAAAGAGCACTCTGGCCACTGTGGTGAAGGTAGCTTACAGAGGTAAAACATTCAGATGTTGGTGGCTTGTATCAAGTTCATATTAGTACCAATGGAGAGTCATGGGCAGATTTGAGAGGTAAACTGACAGGATTTAGAAATACATTAAATGTTGGAGGGGGTAGTTAGGAAGAAGGAGAGGTCAAGAATGATCCCTCCCAGATTTTTGGCCTGAGCTGCTGGGTCCCATTTGCTGAGATTAGGAAGACTTGGACTGGGGTAAAAAGAAGTTTGGGTGGGTGATTTAAGAATTCAGTACTTTTTGTCCTTCTTCAAATTGAGATTCGTGTGAGACTCCCAAGTAAAGGTGACAGGGAGACAGTTGAATATATGACCCTGAAGTGCAGATGAGAGGCCCAGGCTAAAGATAAAAATGTATGAGTCATAGGCATAGAGATGGTATTTAAGCAATGAAGTTGGATGAGCTCACCTAGGGCAGGAAGTAAGGAGAAAGGGAATAGGACCCATAACTGATGATTTTTCGAAGATGCTTAGCTTTAGTTTGTCATATTACTACTCCTTGCTATTTATCAAAGACTGAGAGTAAAACACTAAAATACTAAAGAGACTTAATTAAGGAATATGCTTAAAGAAATTCAATGAATTATTCTTAGGCATATAGGTATATATAGTTATTCATACACTTAAGAATAATTCATTGCATTTCCTTAAGCATATTCCTTAATTAGATGACCCCCCACGAAAATTGGCATCAAATGAAGGGCCTTGTATATTTCTATATAATGAAAATGTAAGTAGAATATGCATTGCATAAATGGTACATGAATCGTTTGCTCTTCTGAACATTTTACATCCTTTTTCAAGTTAACTGCTAGTTGACTTATTTAAAGTGGTGGTTGTCAATCACAGCTGCCCAGCACAATCATCTGACCAGCTGGTTAAAACTATGGACCACTAGGACCCCACCCAGAGAGATTTAGTAGGTCTGGGCTGTTTCCAGGAATCTCTGTTTTTAACAAAGACCCCCAAGGGATTCTGATGGCCATGGTTCAGCATTTGGTAACCCCAGTTTTTCTGGATTATATCAAAGGCAAACTTGAGCTCTGCACCATGCAAATAAATAATCAATTTTCTAAACTGACAGGGATCTAAGTTGACAAGGTTGGGGGAGGATATAAATGTTTTGCTTATACAGGCAACAGGATTATTGACTTATCACATGCTTGCTTCCTTCCTCTTCTTTCCTCTCTTCCACCCCCATTAAGGCCTGAAGATCTTAGTTCACACAAATCTTTCAGCCAGTGCACATATATGTCCTGCTCACATACACACATAACGTCTTTCTCCTTCCCTCTCTCTCCATCTTGCACATACACACACATACTCTCTTCTCTATTTATGTTCACCAACACTGCCTCAGTTCAAGTTCTTGTCAACTTTCACTCAGGCCATGCTCACAGTTTCCTAATTTCTTTCTTTGCCAGACCAGCCACTATCACCTCTAGTCCATTCTCTAGGTGTTAACTGCTGGAATTAACTTTCATAAACTAAGCCTGATTCCCTCAGGCTCCTTCTCTATGAGAAAATTCTCTATTGCCTATTGGAAAAATTCCAAACCTCTTGGCGTAGCATTCAATCACTGTTATAGAGTGATACCAGTGTTCTTTGTCAGTGAGGCTTCCTCCATTACCAATACCAATTCGCTTGAGCCCCATCCATACCTACGAATCCACACTTGTTTCTTCACACCTGCCTCTCCACACCTGCCCTCCCACACCTGTCTAGACACCTCGCCTTTGACACCTGCCTGTACACACCTGTCCATACACACCTCCATGCCTTGGTCGGAAATTCATTCATTCCTAGAACTGCCTGGTCAACTCTTCCTCATCCATTAAGAACCAACTCAGATGTTCCCTTTCCTCTAAAGTCTTCCTCAGCTCCATAGCCAGAGCCTGTTATTTCTTCCTTTATTCTCAGTGTAGCAATTTGCGCATATCTTTATTGGGACATTTACCATGTTTTCTTGTAATTCTTTCTTTCTTTCTCACCAATCTCCTAAATCAAACTGTAAAATTATTCACCATTCTATGCATAGTGCCTAGCTCTATGTCAGGCTTAGAGTTTGGGTCTTCAATAAATACGTGGAGAGATTTTTTTTCTCTTTCCTTGCTGTCAAGCTTTCAATAAGCTGGGTTCTTAAAGTGATCAGTGTTTCTGTCTGTAGCAGCCCATCTTCTGTCTTCTGATTTATTTGCTGATATCTAGGAAAGCACGTAGCTGAGCTTATTAGAATTTCGCAAAAAACAAGAGGTAATAGTTTTCTAGAGGGCACCAGAGTGACTCTCTTTGAATAAAATGCATCGGCTTTAGTATGTGGTCTTCCTGCAGTCTCATATCTTGCTTCTTTCTGGGTTCTCAGTATGTTCTGAAGATTTAGGCTGCTGTGTAGTTATCTATGGACAAGTAAGAAATATATATTATGGAAATTGAGCCATGTTGTTTATTTTTTTATTCCCCAAAATTAAAATAAAAAACAACAGGAAAGAGAGGCCATGAAAATTCACAGAAGTTTCTTTTTCTGTTGCTTATAACAAAGTACCTGAAACTACGTAATTTATAAATTAAAGAAAACATTTCTTACAGCTATGGAGGCTGAGAAGTTTGGGGTTGAGGGCCCTCATCTGGTGAGGGTCTTCTTCCTGGTGGGGACTCTGCAGAGTTCTGAGATGGTGCAGGGGAACACATGGCAAGGAGCTGAGCATGCAAGCTCAGGTCTCTCTTCCTCTTCATATGTATGTATACACACACACACACACACACACACACACACACACACACACACTCATATTTATTTATTTATTTATTTTTGATACAGGGCCTCTCTTTGTCACCCAGGCTGGAGTGCAGTGGTGTGATCACAGCTTACTGCAACCCCTGCCTCCTGGGCTTAGTGATCCTCCCACCTCAGCCTCCCAAGTAGCTGTGACTACAGGTGTGCACCGCCACACCAAGCTAATTTTTTAATTTTTTTGTAGAGACAGGGTTTCATTATATTGTCCAGACTGGTCTTGAACCTGGGCTCAAGTCATCCATCCTCCTCGGACTCCCAAAGTGCTGGAACTACAGCTATGAGCCACTGCACCCAGTACCTCTTCTTATAAAGCCACCAGTTCTACTCCCAAATAACCACCAATCCATTAACCTATGAATGGATTAATCCATTCATAAGGGCAGAGCCCTCACGATCCAATCACCTCTTAAAGGTCCCACCTCTCAATACTACTGCATTGGAGATTAAGTTTCAACATGAGTTTTGGAGGGAATGAATATTCAAACCATAGCAATAGGTGTACTTGACCTGGAGTCCACAGACAGACATTAGGCAATCCATGAGCCCTTGCTGCATTGTATGCAACATGCATGCGCATGCATGTGAATTCTAGGGGTAGGTTCCATAATTTTTATAAGGTTCTCAAAGGGTTCTGACACCCATAAGAATTAGGACCCACTAATTTGGAATATATTTTTGTGCCTTTTGAAAAAATGCTCGTATTTAAAATTAACACATGAATCTTAAAAGGCCTTGGGAATGTGAGTGATTTTAATGCTATATGCTGTTTTTCATGTCCTCCAATCTTCCCAGGAATCTCCAGACTTGCATTCTTCACCCATTATTTTAGCCTCCAACCCAAGAAGAGAGCAAAGTGGTATTATTTCTAATAGGTCCAGTAAATAAACACAGCAACTGTTGCATTGGATCACTACAAAACCATTCCCCACGGCCCCAGGGATTAAATAATAAAAGAAAATGCTTTCTGCTAAACCACAAATCATAGAAAATATTCTCACTGGGATAATTTACACAGATTACTTCTTAACAAATTGGTTGTTTGAGCTGATCACATTGATCACTAAAGCACTGTGCAGACTTTCTTCTGGGTTTGGAAATGTTACAAATGCATCGTGAGGCCCAGGGCCTTTGCCACTGACTGACTCACTAGCTTTCAAATGCAGCTTAAGAAATGCTTGGTGATCTTAAAGCCAGAGTGAGCATGTTTTGCCTACAAGACAGTTGTCTTCAACCTTTCATGTCAACAGGTAGAAATTACCAGGGCCCATCTAACATTCTTTGAGCAGTGCTGCCACCAGAGTCTGCTGGGAAAAGATGAGGCACCACTTGAGGGTGGGTGGCCTTGATGGCTTCATCTCCTCACCTTTCCCTACTGTTCCCAACTTGTTCTTCCTCATATATTTCCATTTCATTGAATGATGATCATTCAAACACTTAACTAAAGAGAAGAATACAAGCACCATCTTATTTCCTCTCTCTCCTTTCTCCTCACCTCTAAGTCTCGTTGAGTCAACCCTCTTATCTTCTTATATCTGTCCATGTCCTTTGGTTTGGGACACTGAAGTCTCTCATCTGGATGAAAGTAGTGGTGTCCTAACTAGTTTTCCTTACTCCCGCCTTGCCCTGACTCCAGTTCAAAGAAATTTCTCAAAGCACAAAACTGGCCATCCCTTTCTTGTCCTCCCTCATGCTCCTTTTCCACCACTACTCCACCCAGAGCTCAGCAAATAAATGTTGAACACACTTCAGTCTGAAGAAGAGTCAGACTGAGAGCCAGCAGGATGCCCAGGGGTCTGGCCACACCTGGTTGACATAGAGCCCACCATTCTCTGGGTAACTGCCTGCTTGGTTGTTGGTCTCTACCAGCTTGTGAACCCTGGGAGAGCGGGAGCTGGGTCTTGTTTATAGCTATAGCTGTTTTCTACCAGAGTGCCTGGCACATGGTAAGTAATCAGTACATATTTAATAAATAAATAAATACAACTTGAAGACAACAAAAAATACTTTTTGATGGCAACATGGATAATGAAAGTACAAGTTTCCTCCTACTAAGGTAATCGATGGGATAGAAATAATCTGAGCATGTCTTTTTCTGATGTTTACTAATCCTCACTTAAGTTCAGTAATTTTTAGTACAAAATACTTTTCCTTGGATCCCAAATACTAGTGAGAGGCACAGCTGGGGTTCTAGACCTCACTTCTGATTCTAACTCCTTGCATTCAATTTACCGTGCTACATTACATAGAGGATAAGCGAAGGGGGCCAGTTGGTGGTATATCTGGAATTAGAATGAGGTTCTTCTCATTCTAAAGAAATGGTGATATTGTATAATTACCTAAGTCATAAATGTGTTATTTTATGCGTAGCTAAGTTTATTACATTAGCTTCAAAGCCTAAGCAGCTCCACACAAGACACCAGACATTCACATTCATCTAGGGCTGGAGGGCATAATTCAACACACCTTGTCTGCCAAATCTTTCCTGTGCTTGAACTAGAGACAAAATGAGGAGCTCCTAAAATAGTTGACAATTTCTAATTCATTCTTTTATTTCCAGTGCCTTTGTCCAAATTGTAATAGCATAATTCTGATAAACAAGTACAGGTATCCTTTCCAGGTATCTAGGTGCCAAGTGCCCATCTGCCTAATGGGCACAGGGTGGATTGGGTAGTATTACATGTACTTTTCCATTCTGCCCCAGGTTGCATGTCCTCATTCATCCTAGGATAGAGTGTTCTTCTTTGCTACAAGTTATGGGGCTACAAAATCCAAATTGAAGCTGAGCAAGAGGTTTAGGAAACTCAATTTGAGAAAAGCCCTCCTTGGTAATAATAAGTTTTTAATTACTTATTTTCAACCTTATTTTTTATTTAAGGAAACTCTTCTTCCATCCTCTGAGGCTGTGGGGGAATAGGAATCATTGTCTCAGCCCCACTACAGAAAAGACCTGTGACCCAGACTGGCCAATCTGTGTACTGGACCACAGTGGCTTGTTCAAATTTTAGCGCAGAATTAGAGTCTTGTAGGATTAATATTTGAACACAAAGAGAAAAATTCTCTTTCCTTTGAGGATACTAAGGTTGAAGCCTGCAGATAGATGACTCCTAGTAAATATTTTGCCATTTGTTCAGATCTTATCTGCAAAATGAGGTTAACAAACACAAATGATGATGATGGTAGTGGTGGTGGTGATGACACAAGACATTTATTGAGTGTTACTTATATACCAATAACTACCCTAAGTGCATTACACTTAAAGCATATTAACTCATTTAATCTTCACAAACCTTATAATTATGATTACTGTTATTATGCTTATAATGATTATTGCTATTATTATCCTCTTTCGCAGAGGAGAAAACTGACACACTGAAGTGTTGAGTAACTCAAGGTTTAAAAACCTATTAAGTGGGAGAGGCACAATTTGAACCCAGGCAGCCTGGCTCTTGAGCCCATGTTCTTATCATTTTACTCTGCTGCCTCTAACAGTACTGGCCAAGGAGGAGGAGGAGGACAAAGAGAAGAACTAGGTTTCCAGGATACTGTGAAGCCCTTGGATCCAGCCGTGTCTGAACCTAGGGCACCTGGATTCTTGGTTAAATGACCCAGTACATCACAATTGTTATTTAGCCAGTTTGAGCTGAGTTCCTATTCCTTGAAACTTGCCTAAAATACTCTACCACCAGCATCTCTCATTCTGATTGTGCCTTATCATACTGCTTTACCATAAAAAAATAATAATTTACAAAATAATACTAGAGCATTGTAGAAATTTGGAAAATGCAAAAGGATACCATAAATGAAAAGAAATTGCATATGATACAGCCAACTTGAGATTATTATTTTTGTTTTCTTCCAGTCTGTTTTTAAATCATGTACATATACACCTGTAAAGTTGTATATGTTTCTTGTCTTTCCTTTTTCTTTTAAGACTACATTAAGTATAGTGTTATTCCCCTATATTAAATAATATGTGTTCCCCTATATTAAATATTTTTGAGACCATAATTTTAATGGCAATATAATTTGTGTGCACACGTGTGTGTGTTCATGTGTTATGCGTGTATGTGTGTGTCTTTCCATCCAACTTCCGTGTGCTTCCTAGTGCTTTACCTCTTTCCTGATTTCACCTTCTGCTCTGGAGCCAGGAAGGATACCAAAGGCTGTAAGAACAATTTTGGCCTCTGCCTGAGCTCCCTGGCCTTTGTCTCAGTGTTCAGGGCCTGAGGACCAGTCCCACAACTCACATCAGCTCATGCCACAACTCAGTTTCTCAGGCAGGAAGGTGACTATGTTAGAGGCAGAGGCTATTTTGCTGTTCCCTGTCCCTCTGCCCATGAGCAGAAGTCACCTGGACTCTGCAGCCAGTAGGTTGGGAATAAGACAGGCTCAAGGAAAGGCCCAAGCCTCTGTCACAGATCAGTAAGCATAAAGCCAGGATGGCTCAGCTGCTCCAAGCACGATTTATTCTAAGGCATGCAGAGTTCCCAGTTAGCACAGTAAGAAATCTTTTGTTCCTGCCTTTTTAACTCCACACATCAATAATAATTTGCTTGGCAAAGCCCAGGGTTCTAGGCCTAAATATGCAAGCCACCAGGGGGAAACACGAGGATAACATTGAGAAATTAGCTTTAAAATACCAATAAACTCATTTCACTGTATTCCTCCCAGTCAGTGCTGTATAAAGGCTCATAACATTTATGAAGCATTAAATGCCACATAAATGACTAGTTATTGATGTGTAGATGAGAAAGAGAGAAAGTGATGGAAAGAGTAAAAATAGAACAACTGTACATGATGCAGATGGCAGTTCCATATTCAATAAATCTCTGGGTGTCACCCAAAGCCATGAGCAGTGGTGAATTAAGATTACAGGCTTTTAAGCCCCAACCAGCATACCTAAGGCAAAAGTTAGAAACAGAAGGGGTGCTAGGTAGTCCATGGTGAAGGAGAATATGAAGCCAGACGAATTTAGGACAGGGTAGTCATAGCAACTCAGGTATGATCGTGAAAGTAAAAGCATCCCTCTATCCTTTCATTCATCCATATTTCATTAACTCTCAGCTAACCTATTACTATTGCAAATATTAATGACTCAGTTTGAGACTTACTACTAATTACTATCATTTATTGAGGGCTAACTTTGTGTCAGGTTTTTCACAAATTGTTTTTACAGGAATCATCTCATGTTTTATGTATGACCATCATAACCATCCTATGAATTGGATGTTTCCATCTCTACCTTATTGATGAGAAAACTGTAGCTCAGAGAGCTAAAGCAACCTGTGGAAGGCCTAGCAGAGGGCATGTGTCAGATCCACAGATCCATCAGTCCAGCCTGTCCTCTCCTCCATTGTGTAGTTATCAAGTTCCTACCATTTACCAAGCTTTGATGAGACATTGGGCTACAAAGGGACATTAGCCATGCCCCCACAGCACTAATTCCTGGCATAGGTAAAGCTGGAAATGAGCGGATGATGCCTCAGAGTCAAAAAATTGATAGTTTCAATGGCTGTCCCTGGAAAACCCAAAAGACAGTGTCCACTGGGTCATGGCAACTTCAAAAAGAGATACTTGACTCTGTTTGAATGGGTTAGGGATAACTCAACCTGGACCTTGAAGAGCGATGAGTCTTGTTCATGAGATAGGTAGGAAACATACTCTAGGTGGGGGCAACAGCACAGGCAAAGACACGGAGACTTGGAAGGGTGTGGCTCTAACAAACAATTTAGAGACCACACAGCAGAGGTGAGAGGATGTGGGAACCAAAACATCACCTCTACCAAACTGCACATGTTTATGTACAACTGACTGCAGCTGAGCCTGAACGTGCAAATAGGTCAGTGTCACTGCAGAGGTGACAATGAGATGTCCAGGGCCTGTTCACAGTCCCCTACCTAAAGCCTCCACCCCACAACCCCAGTCTCATTATACTGGATCTCTTTACTTTTTCACAGCACTTAACACTGAAATGTTATATTGTTTGCTTCTTTACTGGTTTATTGCTTCTCTCCCCACCAGAATATAAGCCTTCTGAGTGCAGAGATTTTGTCCAATTTGTTCTCTGCTCTTTCATCACTACTTAGAATAATGTTTGGCATGTGTTAGACCCTTGAAATTTGCCGGATAAATAAATGCACCTGACAGAGAAAAGGAGGAAGATCTTGCTGCTAGTAAGGGGTAGGAGCAATGGAAGTCCTGTTATAGAACAGGGTCCTGTCACTCACCTGGGACTCATGGTTTCTCTCTAATCACTTTTAAGTGATTTGGAATCAAAACCACTTTTATTCCCCTTGAATGACTTGTAAAGCTTAAAAAGCAGGAGTCCTTTGCTTGCATCCGTGTGCTTTCTCCTGCCCACCTTCAAATGCTGGAAGGCAAATTGCTTGCATTTGGCTACACTTCTCCCTCCTGTGCCCATGGCAGACATTGCAAATCAATCATGGCAATTTTTCTTGTGGCCTTAGAATCCTTGTCAATGCAACACTCCAGACAGACACTGCTAATCCATAGGAGGTGGCATTAGAGATGACATCTACTTTTCATTCTGAGCATGAAAAGAATTAAACAGATGTGAGAAGGGAGCAATATAAGTAGGCACAAGGAGAAAGGGACAAATCCATATTCCATGGAAATATTGTAAGCTTTATGTCTTCAGACTTGCGTAACAGTGACAAACAGAAGAGCTTGCAGATGACACAGCATGGTGATTATGAACATAACTATCGATGTCAAGCTGGCTGGCATCCAGTTTTAGTTTCTATCGTTCCTAACCATGTAGCTGTAAGCAAACCACTTGACCTCTTTAAGCCTCAGTGTCCTCATCTGTACAATAGAACTAATAACTGCATCAAGTTGCCATGGAGGAAACCATAATCCATGTTGGACCTGGCGTGATGGCTCATGTCTGTAATTCTAGCACTTCGGGAGGTTAAGACAAGCAGATCGCTTCAGCTCAAGGGTTTGAGACCAGCCTGGGCAACATGGTGAAACCTCATCTTTACAAAAATTTTAAAAAATTAGCTGGGTGTGGTGGCACACACCTGTGGTCCTAGCTGCTTGGGAGGCTGAGGCAGGAGGATCACTTGAGCCTGGGAGATCGAGGCTGCAGTGAGCCGAGATTGTGCCACCGCACTGCACTCCAGCCTGGGTGACAGAGTGACAATCTGTCTCAAACAAACAAAAAAATCCATGTACAGCACCTAACCCAGTGCCTAGAACACAGGAGGTAATAAATATATATCAGTTATTGTTTTTTTTTTAAATTGACAGATTAACAAGTATAAAGGTCACTAGGGGCTGAGTCTTGAACTCCAGAAATATTTCAAATGAAATGGTCTGCTTCCTGTTAGGAAAATGTAAGACAAGACCACTTTCCACTCAACCCCAAGAAGCTTTCTATTTACTTTGTCCAATTTTTATTCACATCTAAACCACTATTATAAAAACATTAAAGAAAACATTTTAAACAATAAGCATTTACCCATAATCACAGCCCTCATACACAACTCATTTCATTTTTCACATTTCTTTCCAGTCTTTTCTCAAAAGTAGAGTTTTTAAAAATATGATAATCTTGATCTTGTTTTTTTCTATTAATTCTCTGAACCCAGAGATTTTATTTCTAGGCTTCTCTCCACGACGGTTGCCACACGCAGGTAACTTGATCTGTCTTGGGCCCAGTGCCCTTGTCTGTCAAATGGGAATAATAACAGGAGCATTGCTGGCCTCATAGCTTGTTAGATGGAGCAGATGAGAAAATGGATATGAAAATATGAAGTCAAAAACATAACTGTTGTAGTCATCTCAAAGGAGAGTTATTTACAGGAGCCAGTGAAATAACAAATGTGAAGGAACTTATGTAAAGTGGTATTTTTAAGTGAGCAGGGAATAGAGAGTTGAAATGTAAAATTTAAATAAGATTAGAAAATAATACATTAAATTGTAGATATGATTTAAAGTGCTTCAAAAATGATGGCAAATATCACTCAAATAACTCCCTCTGGCAATTATGGTAAATTGTTGGATTTTTTTGTTTTGTTTTGTGTTTCTTTTCCTCTTTTCTGCAATACATTTTAGATTTAATGGCCATTTTTCTCTACCTTCATAAATAATACAGTATCCTCCAGGGTCCTCAAATATTTAGTGAACATATTAAACAAAATCATTTATAAGTTGCACTACGTAGTAAAGAAAAAATAGCAAACTGGAATCACAGGCAAAAGTAGATACCTAAATGGATGTGTATAAAACCCTGACATTAACAGTCACTTCATGGTCCTGGAGCTCGCCCCAAGGAATCTTCTGCCATCAAAGTATTAGTGAGCAATGTTGAATTTACTGAGGATCTCATGGGGGAGATGACGGAGGGTTTATCATATGTTATGGTTTGGATGTCTCCTCCAAGTCTCACGTTAAAATGTAAACCCTGATGTTGAAGGTGGGGCCTGGTGGGAGGTATTTGGGTTATGGAGGCAGATCTCTCATGAATGACTTGGCGCCCTCCTCATAGTAATGAGTGAGTTCTCACACTGAGTTCACGCAAGATCTGGTTGTTTAAAAGAGTGACACTTTCTCTCTCTCTGTCTCACTCTCTCGCGCTCTCCCCATGTGTCACACCTCCTCCCACTTTACCTTCCATCATGAGTAAAAGCCCCCTGAGACCTCACCAGAAGCCAAACAGGTGCCAGAGCCAAGCTTCCTGTACAGCCTGTAGAACTATAAGCCAAATACACTTCTTTTCTTTACAAATTACTCAGCCTCCAGTATTTCCTTCATAGCAGTGCAAGAATGGACTAATGTAGAAAATTAGTAGTAGGGATGAAGCATTGCTATGAAGATACCTGAAAATGTGGAGGCAGCTTTTGAACTGGGTAACAGGCAGAGGTTGGAAAACTTTGGAGGGCTCAGAAGAAGACAGGAAGACCAAGGAAAGTTGGGACTTCTGAGAGACTTGTTAAGTGGTTGTGACCACAATGCTAATAGAAATATGGACAGTGAAGGCCAGGCTGACAAGGTCTCAGATGGAAATGAGGAACTTATTGGGAACTGTGGCAAAGGTCACCCTTGCTCTTTGCTATGCCTTAGCAAAGAGCTTGGCTGCATTGAATCCATGCCCTGAGAATCAGAAGATGTAGGGTAGCTGGTAGAAGAAATTTCTAAGCAGCAAAGCATTCAAGATGTGACATGGCTGCTTCTAACCACCTAGTATCAGAGACAAGAGCAAATAAATGACTTAAATTGGAACTTATATTTAAAAGGGAAGCAGAGCTTACAAATTTGGAAAATTTGTAGGCTGGCCATGTGGTAGAGAAGGAAAAAGCATTTTTAGGGGAGGAATTCAAGTGGGCTGTGGACCAATCACTTGCTAGAGAGATTAGCATGACTAAAAAGAGGAAAGTGCTAATACCCAAGAAAATGAAAAAAAAAAAAAAAAAAGCCCTCAAGAGCATTTCAGAAGTCTTCAGGACAGTCTCTGCCATCACAGGCTCAGAGAGAGGCCTCTAAGAAAAGAATGGTTTCAGGAGCCAGACCCAGGGCCCCACTGTCCTGCACAGCCTCAGGATGCTGCTCTCCACATCCTGGCTGCTCCAGCTCAAAGCAGCCCAGGTACAACTCAGGACACTACTTCGGAGGGCACAAGCTGTAAGCCTTAGAGGCTTCCACGTGGTGGTAAACCTGCAGGTACACAGAATGGAAACATGAAGTAGGTTTGGCAGCTTCCACTTACATTTCAGAGGATGTATTGGAAAGCATGGGTGCCTAGGCAAAAGTCTGCCACAGGGACAGAGCCTCCAAAGAGAGACTCTACTATGGCACTGCCAAGGGAAAATGTGGAATTGAAGCCCCACACAGAGTCTCCACTGGGGCACTGCCTAGTAGAGCTGTGGGAAGGGGGCTATTGCCCCCTAGACCCCAGAATAGTAGAGCCACTGTCAGCTTGCACCTTGAACCTAGAAAAGCTGCAGCCTCTCAATTCTAACCCATGAGTGTAAACTCACTCAAGTAAGCCATAGGGAAGGGACTGCCCAAGGCCTTGGGAGGCCACCCCTTATACCAGTTTGCTCAGAATGCAGGATATGACGTCAAGGATTGTTTTGGAGCTTTAAGATTTAATGTCTGTCCTGTTTAGTTTCGGTCTTGCATGGGACCTGTTGCCCTTTTCATTTGGCTAATGTCTTCCTTTTGAAATGGGAATGTTTATCCAATGCCTGTACCACTATGGTATCTCGGAAGTAAATAACTTGTTTTTTTGTTTTTTAATCATACAGGCTTATAGGTAGAAGGAGCCTGTCTTGGGACTTTTATGAGATTTTGGACTTTGGATTTTTTATTTAGTTGATGCTAGAAAGAGTTAAGACTTTGGGGGACTACTAAGAAGGGATGATTGTATTTTGCAATGTGAGAAGGACATGAGATTTAGGGGGCAAAAGGTGAAATAATATGGTTTGGATGTTTGTCTTCTCCAAATCTCTTGTTGAAAGGTAATCCCCAGTATTGGAGCTGGGGCCTGGGGAGAAGCGTTTGTGTTATGGAGGCAGATCTCTCATGAATGTCTTAGTGCCTGTCTTGTGGTAATGAGTGAGTTCTTGCTCTGAGTTCATGCAAGATCTGGTTGTTTAAGAGTGTGGTACTTCCTCTCTCTCTCTCTCTATTCCTCTCTCTCTATTGCTCACTCTCACCTCACCATGTGACACACCTGCTTCTGCTTCACCTTCCACCATGAGTCAAAGCTCCTTGGGGCCTCACCAGAAGCCAAGCAGATGTCAACATTATGCTTCCTGAACAGCCTACAGAACCATGACACAGTTAAACCTCTTTTCTTTATAAATCAGCCTCAGATATTCCTTTATAGAAATGCAAGAACCGACTAACACACCATAGCAGACAACCTGAAATATTCTATATCAGTCAGTTGAGGTTAGGTAATGTTGCAGTAACAAACGTTTCCAAATCTCAAAGCCTTAGCAAAACAAGTGTTTATTTCTCCCTTGCTCTAAATATTCAAAAATGGGTTGACAGGAAGATGCTGCTCAACGAGCTTGTTCAGGGATAAGGCTGATAGGGACTCCATTGTCTTTTCCCTTGCCATGATCAACTTGGCAAGGGAAAGGAAACAAGATCCAGAAGTAACAAATGTCTCTTCTCATCACTTCTGCTCCCATCGTTGACAAAAGCCAATAACACGGTTTCACCTAGCTTCAAAGGAGGTGGTGAAGTATAATTCTGCCTGTACCTGAGAGGAGAACTAGAAATGTTTGGTGCACAGCAATAATGGCTACTGTGTAGTCCTGAGATACTTCTTCATCTCTTAGATCCTTTTATCTCTGTTCTTTCCAAGTTGGGTTGGAGAACAAAGGGAAGTAAGAGAAGAGGTGAAGGGCATTCTTTTGTTCTTCATTTCTTGTTTGCAGTACCCAGTCTCCCAGGCTTCTATGCTCTTCTAGATTATTCTCTATAAAAATACAGAAGTTGGGGAGGCTAGGTACTGCAAATACCTTCCCTCCAAATTCCTCACTTTAAAAAATTATGATGAGTAATTCTACTGTGGCACACAGTGTCATTGGTCACAAGTTTTCATACCAAAGCTATCACTGGCCTCAGCTAATAAACTTTCTGCTATCAGATTCCACCTTCCTCAGAAAGGTGTGTCGGTGTTTATTTTCTCTCTCTCTCTCTCTGTCTCTCTCTCTGTGTGTGTGTGTGTGTGTGTGTGTGTGTGTGTGTGTGTGTGAAGCAATAAAATAAAACTATTTTTCAAATATCCAGATAGTTATTGATAAAGTAGGAATTTCTCTGAATTTTATCTTGGAAAAGCTTTAAGTAGAGAAAAGAGTTCAGTTTCAAAGTCAAGAACATGAGATTTAATATTGAATTCAAATTTGGCTCCTTCACTCATCAATTGTGTGACCTTAAGACAAATTTTTAATCCTTGTAAGCTTCAATTTCTAATCTGTAATATGAGGGAATAATATTAACTTCTATCTCAACATAGAACATAGAGTTGTAATGAGGGTTTAATGAGCACAGTGCCAAGCATATAGTAAGCATTCAATAAATTCTGGCTCCTATAATAATAGTCTTTTCCTCTTCCAACGAAAAACTCCTTTTTAACCTTTGTGACCAGCACAGAAAACAATGAGATCATCACCATCTTGAATGTGGCCTTTTTTACTTTTATTAAATCACAAATATTCACTAGGGAATATTCATTCCCTAGAAATTCATTATTTGGTTAAAAGGGTCAGAAAACCAAACACAAAATGTCTTAAGCAAAAAGATAAAATTTACCTGATGTATATAAATGAAAGGCTTTAGGCACAGCTAGATCTAGTTGCTCAAATAACATCACCAGATTCAATATCTGTTGTCTTTATTTTCCCTTCTTTGGTTTTATTATCAAGCTTTCTTTCCTCTCATAGTGCTAAAAGGATTGCCAAGCAGCTCCGCAGTTTTATCTTATTC
The DNA here is from genome assembly GCF_000001405.40 of Homo sapiens. Taxonomy (NCBI): domain Eukaryota; kingdom Metazoa; phylum Chordata; class Mammalia; order Primates; family Hominidae; genus Homo; species Homo sapiens. The sequence continues at coordinate 159,675,512 of NC_000005.10, forward strand.
TCTCAATAACCATGCTGAATAGTCATAGTGAGATTTCCTTTTTTAAAACATAGCAAAAATCTCAGAATTTCATTTCATTGATTCTGCTGGGACCACCTGATCACCCTTGAAACAATCATGGTGGCCATGGGAATGTGGTGCACTGGTAGGGCAAACCTGGTCCTCTCCTGTACACCAAATTGGTAGTAGAGTCAGCAACGCTGGAATTATTTGTGTGGGGAGTGGTGAAGGCTTATATATCCAAACAAAAACAGGTTTCACTTACCAGAAAAAGAGTATAGGGATGGACACTGAGCAAGAAAAAACCGGGTGACTACTACACGTTTTATGAATATACACACTTTTGGAAACAGCAGGGTCCCACCATTGACTTAGAGCAAAAAATGCAGTATCTCCACTGGCACCCTCCCATTCCTTGCCCATAGCTAACACTGCTAATCATTCATAGCCCTCTTGTCCATGGAGTTCAGAAAATACTTCAGAATCCTCCTTCTTCATGTTTTCTTGTTTATTTTTTTATTTTACATTTGTCTTTAGGCTTCTAATCCACAAGCACAAGCTAGTTTATTTTGTAAGTTCAGCACATGCTGTTTATACTTCTTACACTTTATCTAGTCTCATTTGGTCTGTTGTCCTGGTCTGTTGAGATCTTAGGTGAGCACTCATAGTACCCGGTTTTAACTTCATATTGCTGACAGAGCCAGTGAAGAGACTGAAAAACAGTCCTGAATCTCTAATGCCACCCCGAGCAGCTGTGGTGGCATGGCATGGAGAGCATATCTGGTTGCTGGTGGAGAAAGAACACAACAATTGTGAGGCATTGAAATCACCGCCGTCCTGTTGGAGCACGAAGGAAAACTGGACCAAACTCAGCTGACACTTGTCCATGGAGGGAGCATTTAAAACCAGCCTTACCCAAAGGGGAATCTCCAATCCTAGTGGTCCAAACTTGAGTTCCCACAAACCTTGCCACCAAGGACTACAGTGCTCTGTGTCTCCAAGTAAACTTGAAAGGCAGTCTAGGCCATAAGGACTGCAACTCTTAGGTGAGTCCTAGTGCTGAACTAGGCCCAGAGACAGTTGACTGGGTGTTGGGGGCAGGGCGTGTGACATACTGAGACACTAGCTAGGGCAGCCAAGGGAGTGCTGGCATCACCCCTTCCCTAACCCCAGGCTGCACAGCTCTTGGCTCCAAAAAAGACCCCTTCCTTCTGCTTGAGAACAAGAGAGGAAAGAGTGGGAAGGACATTGTCTTGCATCTTGCATACCAGCTCAACCACAGCAGGATAGGGCACTGGTCGGGGTCATGAGGCCCCCATCGAAGCCCTAGCTCTCAGATAACATTTCTAGATATGACCTGGGCCAGAAGGGAACCCACTGCCTTGAAAGAAAGAACCCAGTCCTGGCAGCATTCATTACCCGCTAAGTGAAGAGCCCGTGGACCCTGAACAACCTTCCTCAAGCAGAAGGAAGGTGTCTCTTTTGGAGCCAAGAGCTGTGCAGCCTGACATTAGGGAAAGAGTGATGCCAGCACTCCCTTGGCTGCCCTAGCTGGTGTCTCAGTATGTCACATGCCCTACCCCCAACACCCAGTCAACTGTCTCTGGGCCTAGTTCAGATACCTAGGTACTACCTTGAAGGCCTCAGGTGAACCTCCAAGACTTGCTGGCTTCAGGTACCAGCATGGCCACAGTCGGGTAGAACACCAAGCATGCTCTTAGAGTGCCCAAGTCCAGGACTTGACTCTTGGATAGCATTTCTGGACCTGCCCTCGGCCAGAGGGGAGCCCACTGCCCTAAAGTTTGCATCTCAGGCCAGGCAGCATTCGCCACAGGCTGACTTAAGAGCTCTTAGGCCTTTAGGGAACATCAGCAGTGGTCTGGCAGTACTTGTTGTGGCCCGGAGTGGCAGTGGCTGCAGGGTGAGACTTCTCTGCCTTTGGAAAGAGGAGGGCAGAGTGGGAAGAACTGCATCTTGTGATTGAGTGCCAGCTTAGTCTCAGTACAATAGAACACCAGGTAGTCTTGTAAAGTTTTTGACTCTAATCTCTGACTTCCAGGTGGCACCTCTGGACCCACCCAGTGCCTGGGGAACCTTGTTTCCTTATGGGGAAGGACATAAGCAATTTAATTTAATTTAATTTAATTTAATTTCAGCAATATGAAGTTAAAACCAGGTACATAAGCCTGGCTGACTTTGTCACCTGCTTGTGATGGAGCCCCAGGTCCTTGAGTGAACATAGGCAGTAGTCAGGGAGTAATTACAGCAGACCTTGGGTGAGACCCAGTGCTGTGTTGGCTTCATGCTTGATCCAGCAAAGTCAAAGTCATGGTGACCACAGTGGTGCTTGTGTCACTCAATCCCCAGCTTTAGGTGGCTCAGAACAGAGAGACTCTATTTGTTTGTGAGAAAATAAGGAAAGAAAACAAGAGTCTCTGCCAGGTAATCCAGAAAATTCTCCCAGATCTTGTCCAAGACCATTGTATTAGTCAGTTCTTGCATTGCTATAAAGAAATGTCTGAGACTGGGTAATTGATAAGAAAAGAGGTTTAATTGGCTCACAGTTCTGCAGGCTTTACAGGAAGCATAGTGGCTTCTGCTTCTAGGGAGGCCTCAGGAAACTTACAATCATGGCAGAAAGTGAAGCAGAAGCAGACAGTCCTTATATGGCCAGAGCAGGAGGAAGAGAGCAAGTGGGAAGGTGCCACACACTTTTTAAAAAAATCAGATCTTTGAGAACTCACTCACCATCATGAGAACGTCACCAAGATGGTGCTAAACTATTCATGAAGGATCCACCTGCATGATTCAATCACCTCCCACCATGCCCTACCTCCAACACTGGGGATTACAATTCAACATGAGATTTGGGCAGGGACACATATCCAAACCATATCATTCTGCCCCTGGCCCCTCTCAAATCCCATGTCCTTCTCACATTTCAGAATACAATCATGCCTTCCTGTAAAGCCTTAACTCATTCCAGTCTTAACTCAAAAGTCCACAGTCCAAAGTCTCATCTGAGACAAGGCTAGTCCCTTCTGACTATGAGCCCATAAAACAAAAAACAAGTTATTTACTTCCAAGATACAATGGAAGTATAGGCATTGGATAAATACTCCCATTCCAAGAGAGAAATCAGCCAAAAGAAAAGAGCTACAGGCCCCATGCAAGTCCAAAACCCAGCAGGGTAGTCATTAAATCTTAAAGCTCCAAAATAACTTCCTTTGACTCCATGTCTTGCATCCAGGACATACTGATGCAAGGGGTGGGGTTCCAAGGTCTTGGGCAGCCCCACCCCTGCGGCTTTGCAGAGTTCAGTCCCCATGTCTGTTGTGTTGGGCTGGCACTGAGTGCCTGAAGTTCTTCCAGGCAATAGTTGCAAGCTGCCAGTGTATCTATCAGTCTGGAGGCTGGAGGCACTCTTCTCACAGCTCCACCAGGCAGTGTTCCAGTGGGGACTCTCTGTGGGAGTTCTAACCCCACAGTTCCCCTCCACACTGCCTAATATGGTTGGGCTGTGTCCACACCCAAATCTTATTTTGAATTGCAGTTCCCATAATCCCCATGTGTCATGGGAAGGGCCAGGTAGAGATAATTGAATAATGGAGGTGGTTTCCCCCATCCTGTTCTCATGATAGTGAGTTAGTTCTCACAAGATCTTATGGTTTGATAAGGGGCTTCCCCCTACACTGAGCTCTTATTCTCTCTGCTGCCACCCTGTGAAGAGGTGCCTTCTGCCATGATTGTAATTTTCCTGAGGCCTCCCCAGCCATGTGGAACTGTGAGTCAGTAAAACCTCTGTTATTTATAAATTACACAGTCTTGAGTATTTCTTCATAGCAGTGTGAGAATGGATTAATATAGTAGATTGATACCTCAGGGTGTGGGGTACTGCTATAAGGGTACTCAAAAATGTGGAGGCAGCTTTGGAACTGGGTAACAGGCAGAGGTTTGAATAGTTTTGAGGGCTCAGAAGAAGATAGGAAAATGTGGCAAAGTTTTGAACTTCCTAGGCACTTGGAGGGCTCAGAAGACAGGAAGATGTGGGAAAGCTTGGAACTTCATAGAGGCTTGGTGAATGGCTTTGACCAAAATGCTGATAGTGATATGGACAATAAAGGTCACACTGAGGTGGTCTCAGATGGAGATGAGGAACTTATTGGGAACTGGAGCAAAGATGACTGTTATTATGCTTTAGCAAAGAAACTGGCGGGATTTCATCCCTGCCCTAGAGATCTGTGAAACTTTAAACTTGAGAGAGATGATTCAGGGTTATTTGGTGGAAGAAATTTCCAAGCAGCACAGCATTCAAGAGGATGCAAGGCATGAAAGTTTGGAAAATTCACAGGAAAAAAAAATTTCTGGGGATAAATTCAAGCTAGCTGCAGAAATTTGCATAAATAATGAGGAGTCCAATGTTAATCCCCAAGACAATGGGGAAAATGTCTCCAGGGCATGTCAGCCACCTTTGTGGCAGCCCCTTCTATCACAGGCCTGGAGGCAGAGGAGAAAAAAACATGGCTTCATGGGCCCCACCCAGGGCCCCCACTTTTGTGTGCAGCCTAGGAACTTGGTGCCCTGCATCCCAGCTGCTCCAGCTGTGGCTAAAAGGGGCCAAGGTACAGCTTGGTGCAAACCCCAAGCCTTGGCAGCTTCCATGTGGTGTTGAGTCTGTAGGTGCAGAGAAGTTAAGAATTAAGGTTTGGGAACCTCTGCTTAGATTTCAGAGGATGTATGTAAGCACCTGGATGTCCAGGCAGAAGTTTGCTGCAGGGTTGGAGCCCTCGTCAAGAACATCTGCCAGGACAGCGAAGGAGGGAAATGTGGGGTCAGAGCCCCCACACAGAGTCCCCAGTGGAGCACTGCCTAGTGAAGCTGTGAGAAGAGGGCCACTGTCCTCTAGATCCCAGAATGGTAGATCCACTAACAGTGTGTGCTGTGTCTCCGGAAAAGCTGCAGGCACTCAATGCCAGCTTGCAAAAGCAGCTGGGAGTGTGGCTGTACCCTGCAAAGCCACAGAGGCAGAGCTGACCAAGGCCATGGGAGCCCACCTCTTGCATCAGTGTGACATGGATGTGAGACATGGAGTCAAATGAGATCATTTTGGGATTTTAAGATTTAATGACTATCCTGTTGGATTTTGGACTTGCGTGGGACCTATAGCCCCTTTGTTTGGGCCAGTTTCTCCCATTTGGAATGGGCATATATGCCCAATGCCTGTACCCTCATTATATCTAGGAATAACTAACTTGCTTTTGCTTTTATGAAGGTCCTAGGTGGAAGGGACTTGCCTTGTCTCAGATGAGACTTTGGACTTGGACCTTTGAGTTAATGCTGGAATGAGTTAAGATTTTGGAGAACTGTTGGAAGAGCATCATTGTGTTTTGAATTGTGAGAACATGAGATTTGGGAGGGGGCAGGAGTGGAGTGATATGGGTTGGCTGTGTCCCCACCCAAATCTCATCTTGAATTGTAGTTCCCATAATCCCCATGTGTTGTGAGAAGGGCCAGGTGGAGATAATTGAATCATGATAATTGAATAATTGAATAATAACTGTTTCCCTTATCCTCTTCTCATGATAATGAGTTAGTTATTGTGAGATCTGATGGTTTTATAAGGGGTTTCCCCCTTCACTGGTCTCTCATTCTCTCTCCTGCCACCCTGTGAAGAGGTGCCTTCAACCATGATTGTAATTTTCCTGAGGTCTCCCTAGCCATGTGGAACTGTCAGTCAATTAAAGCTCTTCTATTCACAAATTATCCAGTCTCGGGTATTTCTCCATAGTAGTGTGAGAACAGACTAATTCATTGCCCTAGTAGAGGTTCTCCATGAGGGCTCTGACCCTGCAGCAGGCTTATGCCTGGACACCCAGGCTTTTCAATACATCCTCTGAAATCTATGCAGAGGCTTCCAACCCTCAACCCTTGCACTCTGCAACCACAGGCTTAACACCACATGAAAGATATCAAGGCTTTCTGTTTGCACCCTCTGAAGAAGTGACCTGAGCTGTACCTAGGTCCCTTTGAGCCACCACTGGAGTTGGAGTGGCTGGGATGCAGGGATCAGTGTCCTAATGTAGGGCAGGGTGGTGGAACACTGGACCTGGACCACAAGACTATTCTTCCCTTCTAGGATTCTGGGCCTGTGATGGGAGGGGCTGCTGCTAAGGTCTCTGAAATGCCTTTGAGGCCTTTTCCCCATTGTTTTGGCTGTCAGTGCTTGACTCCTCTTTACTTTTGTAAATTTCTGCAGCCCACTTGAATTCTTCCTCTGAAAACAGTCTTTTCTTTTGTACCACATGGCCAGGCTGCAAATTTTCCAATCTTTCACATTCTGTTTCCCTTTTTAATATAAGTTTCAGTTTCAGGTCATTTTTTTTGCTCACCCATATGAGCAAAAAAACTCATATGCTCACTGTTAGAAGCAGCCAGGCCACATCTTGAGCACTTTGCTGCTTAGAAATTTCTTCCACCAGATACCCTAAATCATCATTCTCAAGTTCAAAGTTCCACAGATCCCTACAGCAGGAACACAATGCAGCCAATCTCTTTGCTAACACATAACATAAGTGACCTTTGCTCCAGTTTCCAGTAAGTCCCTCATCTCCATCTTAGGCATCCTCAGCTTGGACTTCACTGTCCATATCACTATCAACATTTTGATGACAACAATTTAACAACTCTCTAGGAAGTTCCAAATTTTTCCTCATCTTCCTCTCTTCTTCTGAGTACTCCACACTTTTTCAACCTTTGCCTGTTACTCAATTCCAAAGTAGCTTCCACATTTTCAGGTATATTTATAGCAATACCCTACTCTTGATACCAATTTTCTATATTAGTCTGTTCTCACATTGCTATAAAGGAATTCCTGAGACAATTTTCAAGGGCAATTTACAAGAAAAGAGGTTTAATCTGCTCATGATTCCACAGGCTGTACAGACGTCATTGTTGCTTCTGCATCTAGGGAGACCTCAGGAAACTTACAATCACGCCAGAAGGTAAAGGGGAAGCTGGTATGTCTTACATGGCTGGAATGGGAGGAAGGCAGTGAGGGAGGAGGTGCTACGCACTTTTAAAGCAACCAGATCTCATGAGAACTCACTCGCCATCATGAGAACAGCACTGAAGGGATGGTGCTAAACCATTCATGAAGGATCCACCCCCATGATTCAATCACCTTCCACCAGGACCCACCTCCAACACTGGGGATTACAATTCAACATGAGATTTGGGCAGGGACACATATCCAAACCCTATCAACCATCACGGCAGTACTTCTATGAGTCTATAAGAAACACAGCATCCCTGGGCTTGTGGTGCCCCCTAAAGGAGATACAGCTTAGATCACAAAATCCAAGTTCTTTTAAATATCTGAAAAGCCCCCCCAAGAAGGACAGGTACAAATAAGCCCAGACAGTGAAGATTACAATATATACCTAACTCTTCAATACCCAGACACCAAAGAATATCTACTAGCATCAACGTCATGCAGGAAAACAAGATTTCACCAAATGAACTAAATAAATAAGGTGCCAGGGACCAACCATGTCAGATATGGGAACTGTCAGACAGAGAATTCAAAATAGCTATGTTAAGGAAACTGAAATAAATTCCAGATAACACAGAAAGGAAATTCAGAATTCTATGAGATAAATTTAACAAGGAGATTGAAATAATTTTAAAGAATCAAACAGAAATTCTGCAGCTGAAAAATGCAACTGGCATACTGAAGAATGCACCAGAGTTTTGGTTTTCTTTTCCTTTTTTTATTATTATACTTTAAGTTTTAGGGTACATGTGCACAACGTGCAGGTTTGTTACATATGTATACATATGCCATGTTGGTGTGCTGCACCCATTCACTGGTCATTTAGCATTAGGTATATCTCCTAATGCTATCCCTCCCCCCTCCCCCACCCCACAACAGTCCCCGGTGTGTGATGTTCCCCTTCATGTGTCCATGTGTTCTCATTGTTCAATTCCCACCCATGAGTGAGAACATGCAGTGTTTGGTTTTTTGTCCTTGCGATAGTTTGCTGAGAATGATGGTTTCCAGCTTCATCCATGTCCCTACAAAGGACATGAACTCTTCATTTTTTATGGCTGCATAGAATTCCATGGTGTATATGTGCCACATTTTCTTAATCCAGTCTATCATTGATGGACATTTGGGTTGGTTACAAGTCTTTGCTATTGTGAATGGTGCCGCAATAAACATACGTGTGCATGTGTCTTTATAGCAGCATGATTTATAATCCTTTGGGTATATACCCAGTAATGGGATGGGTGGGTCAAATGGTATTTCTAGTTCTAGATCCCTGAGGAATCGCCACACTGACTTCCACAATGGTTGAACTAGTTTACAGTCCCACCAACGGTGTAAAAGTGGTCCTATTTCTCCATATCCTCTCTAGCACCTGTTGTTTCCTGACTTTTTATTGATCGCCATTCTAACTGGTGTGAGATGGTATCTCATTGTGGTTTTGATTTGCATTTCTCTGATGGCCAGTGATGATGAGCATTTTTTCATGTGTTTTTTGGCTGCATAAGTGTCTTCTTTTTTTTTTTTAGGTTTTTTTTTATTATTATACTTTAAGTTTTAGGGTACATGTGCACAATGTGCAGGTTTGTTACGTATGTATACATGTGCCATGTTGGTGTTCTGCACCCATTAACTCGTCATTTAGCATTAGGTATATCTCCTAATGCTATCCGTCCCCCCTCCCCCCACCCCACAACAGTCCCCGGTGTGTGATGTTCCCCTTCTTGTGTCCATGTGTTCTCATTGTTCAATTCCCACCCATGAGTGAGAACATGCAGTGTTTGGTTTTTTATCCTTGCGATAGTTTGCTGAGAGTGATGGTTTCCAGTTTCATCCATGTCCCTACAAAGGACATGAAATCATCATTTTTTATGGCTGCATAGAATTCCATGGTGTATATGTGCCATATTTTCTTAATCCAGTCTATCGTTGTTGAACATTTGGGTTGGTTCCAAGTCTTTGCCATTGTGAATAGTGCTGCAATAAACATACGTGTGCATGTGTCTTCATAGCAGCATGATTTATAATCCTTTGGGTATATACCCAGTAATGGGATGGCTGGGTCAAATGGTGTTTCTAGTTCTAGATCCCTGAGGAATCGCCACGCTGACTTCCACAATGGTTGAACTAGTTTACAGTCCCACCAACAGTGTAAAAGTGTTCCTATTTCTCCACATCCTCTCCAGCACCTGTTGTTTCCTGACTTTTTAATGATCACCATTCTAACTGGTGTGAGATGGTATCTCATTGTGGTTTTGATTTGCATTTCTCTGATGGCCAGTGATAATGAGTATTTTTTCATGTGTTTTTTGGCTGCATAAATGTCTTCTTTTGAGAAGTGTCTGTTCACATCCCTTGCCCACTTTTTGATGGGGTTGTTTGTTTTTTTCTTGTAAATTTGTTTGAGTTCATTGTAGATTCTGAGTATTAGCCCTTTGTCAGATGAGTAGGTTGCAAACATTTTCTCCCATTTTGTAGGTTGCCTGTTCACTCTGATGGTAGTTTCTTTGCTGTGCAGAAGCTCTTTAGTTTAATTAGATCCCATTTGTCAATTTTGGCTTTTGTTGCCATTGCTTTTGGTGTTTTAGACATGAAGTCCTTGCCCATGCCTATGTCCTGAATGGTATTGCCTAGGTTTTCTTCTAGGGTTTTTATGGCTTTAGGTCTAACATGTAAGTCTTTAATCCATCTTGAATTAATTTTTGTATAGGGTGTAAGGAAGTGATCCATTTTCAGCTTTCTACATATGGCCAGCCAGTTTTCCCAGCACCATTTATTAAATAGGGAATCCTTTCCCCATTGCTTGTTTTTGTCAGGTTTGTCAAAGATCAGATGGTTGTAGATATGTGGCATTATTTCTGAGGGCTCTGTTCTGTTCCATTGATCTAGATCTCTGTTTTGGTACCAGTTCCATGCTGTTTTGGTTACTGTAGCCTTGTAGTATAGTTTGAAGTCAGGTAGCGTGATGCCTCTAGCTTTGTTCTTTTGGCTTAGGATTGACTTGCTGATGCGGGCTTTTATTTGGTTCCATACGAACTTTAGTTTTTTCCAATTCTGTGAAGAAAGTCATTGGTAGCTTGATGGGGATGGCATTGAATCTATAAATTGCCTTGGCCAGTATGGCCATTTTCACAATATTGATTCTTCCTACGCATGAGCATGGAATGTTCTTCCATTTGTTTGTATCCTCTTTTATTTCATTGAGCAGTGGTTTGTAGTTCTCTTTGAAGAGGTCCTTCACGTCCCTTGTACATTGGATTCCTAGGTATTTTATTCTCTTTGTAGCAATTGTGAATGGGAGTTCACTCATGATTTGGCTTTCTGTTTGTCTGTTAGTGGTGTATAAGTATGCTTGTGATTTTTGCACATTGATTTTGTACCCTGAGACTTTGCTGAAGTTGCTTATCAGCTTCAGGAGATTTTGGGCTGAGACGATGGGGTTTTCTAGATATACAATCATGTCATCTGCAAACAAGGACAGTTTTACTTCCTCTTTACCTAATTGAATGCCCTTTATTCCCTTCTCCTGCCTGATTGCCCTGGCCAGAACTTCCAACACTATGTTGAATAGGAGTGGTGAGAGAGGGCATCCCTGTCTTGTGCCAGTTTTCAAAGGGAATGCTTCCAGTTTTTGTCCATTCAGTATGATATTGGCTGTGGGTTTGTCATAAATAGCTCTTACTATTTTGAGATACATCCCATCAATACCTAATTTATTGAGAGTTTTTAGCATGCAGGGTTGTTGAATTTTGTCAAAGGCCTTTTCTGCATCTATTGAGATAATCATGTTGTTTTTGTCTTTGGTTCTGTTTATATGCTGGATTACTTTTATTGATTTTCTTATGTTGAACCAGACTTGCATGCCACGGATGAAGCCCACTTGATCATGGTGGATAAGCTTTTTGATGTGTTGCTGGATTCGATTTGCCAGTATTTTATTGAGGATTTTTGCATCAATGTTCATCAAGGATATTAGTCTAAAATTCTCTTTTTTGGTTGTGTCTCTGCCAGGCTTTGGTATCAGGATGATGCTGGCCTCATAAAATGAGTTAGGGAGGATTCCCTCTTTTTCTATTGATTGGAATAGTTTCAGAAGGAGTGGTACCAGCTCCTCCTTGTACCTCTGGTATTATTTGGCTGTGAATCCATCTGGTCCTGGACTTTTTTTTTTTTTGGTGGGTAAGCTATTAATTATTGCCTCAATTTCAGAGCCTGTTATTGGTCTATTCAGAGATTCAACTTCTTCCTGGTTTAGTCTTGGGAGGGTGTATGTGTTGAGGAATTTATCCATTTCTTCCAGATTTTCTAGTTTATTTGCGTAGAGGTGTTTATAGTGTTCTCTGATGGTAGTTTGTATTTCTGTGGGATTGATAGTGATATCCCCTTTGTCATTTTTTATTGCATCTATTTGATTCTTCTCTCTTTTCTTCTTTACTAGTCTTGCTAGCAGTCTGTCAATTTTGTTGATCTTTTCAAAAAACCAGCTCCTGGATTCATTGATTTTTTGAAGGGTTTTTTATGTCTCTATTTCCTTCAATTCTGCTCTGATCTTAGTTATGTCTTGCCTTCTGCTAGCTTTTGAATGTGTTTGCTCCTGCTTCTCTAGTTCTTTTAATTGCGATGTTAGGGTGTCAATCTTAGATCTTTCCAGCTTTCTCTTGTGGGTATTTAGTGCTATAAATTTCCCTCTACACTCTGCTTTGAATGTGTCCCAGAGATTCTGGTATGTTGTGTCTTTGTTCTCGTTGGTTTTGAAGAACATCTTTATTTCTGCCTTCATTTGGTTATGTATCCAGTAGTCATTCAGGAGCAGGTTGTTCAGTTTCCATGTAGCTGAGTGGTTTTGAGTGAGTTTCTTAATCCTGAGTTCTAGTTTGATTGCACTGTGGTCTGAGAGACAGTTTGTTATAATTTCTGTTCTTTTACATTTGCTGAGGAGTGCTTTACTTCCAACTATGTGGTCAATTTTGGAATAGATGTGGTATGGTGCTGAAAAGAATGTATATTCTGTTGATTTGGGGTGGAGAGTTCTGTCGATGTCTATTAGGTCCGCTTGGTGCAGAGATAAGTTCAATTCCTGGATATCCTTGTTAACTTTCTGTCTCGTTGATCCGTCTAATGTTGACAGTGGGGTGGTAAAGTCTCCCATTATTATTGTGTGGGAGTCTCAGTCTCTTTGTAGGTCACTAAGGACTTGCTTTATGAATCTGGGTGCTCCTGTATTGGGTGCATATATATTTAGTATAGTTAGTTCTTCTTGTTGAATTGATCCCTTTACCATTATGTAATGGCCTTCTTTGTCTCTTTTGATCTTTGTTGGTTTAAAGTCTGTTTTATCTGAGACTAGGATTGCAACCCCTGCCTTTTTTTGTTTTCCATTTGCTTGGTAGATCTTCCTTCATCCCTTTATTTTGAGCCTATGTGTGTCTCTGCACATGAGATGGGTTTCCTGAATACAGCACACTAATGGGTCTTGACTCTTTATCCAATTTGCCAGTCTGTGCCTTTTAATTGGAGCATTTAGCCCATTTACATTTAAGTTTAATATTGTTATGTGTGAATTTGATCCTGTCATTATGATGTTAGCTGGTTATTTTGCTCATTACTTGATGCAGTTTCTTCCTAGCCTTGATGGTCTTTACAATTTGGCATGTTTTTGCAGTGGCTGGTACTGGTTGTTCCTTTCCATGTTTAGTGCTTCAGAGTTTTTTAATAGCAGAATTTATCAAGCAGCAGAAAGAGTTTGTCAGCTTGAAGACAGGCTATTTGAAAATACACAATCAGAGGTGACCAAAAAAAAGAATAAAAAACAACAAAGCACACCTACAGAATCTAGAAAATAGCCTCAAAAGGGCAAATCTAAGAGTTATTGGTATTAAAGAGGAGGTAAAGAAAGAGACGAGTAGAAAGTTTATTCAAATAGATAGTAACGGTGAACTTCCCAAATCTAGAAAAAAATTACTATCCAAGTATGAAAAGATTATAGAACACAAAGCAGATTTAACTCAAAGAATACCTCAAGGCATTTAATAATCAAACTCCCAAAGGTCAAGGATAAAGAAAGGATCCCAAAAGCAGCAGGAGAAAAGAAACAAATATCATACAATGGAGCTCTGATATGTCAGGCAGCAGACTTTTCAGTGGAAACTTCACAGGCCAGGGGAGACTGGTGTGACATATTTAAAGTGCTAAAGAGAAAACCTTTTACCCTAAAATAGCACATTTGATGAAAATATTCTTCAAACATGAAGGAGAAATAAAGAAGTTTCCAGATAAACAAAAGCTGAGGGATTTCATCAACACCGAACCTGTAGTTCAAGAAATGCTAAAGGGAGTACTTTAATCAGAAAGAAAAGGATATTAATGGAGCAATAATCACCTGAAGGTACAGAACTCACTGATAATAAGAAGTACACAGAAAAACACAGAATATCATAACACTGTAACTGTACTGTGTAAACTACTCTTATCCTAAGTAGGAAGACTAAATGATAAACCAATCAAAAATAATAACTACACCAACTTTTGTAGACAAAAGACATAGACAGTGCAATAAGATATAAATAGAAACAACAGAAAGTTAACAAGCAGGGGGATGCTAGGTGCCGTGTCTCATGCCTGTAATCCCAGCACTTTAAGGCTGAGGTGGGCCTCTCAGGAGTTTGAGATCAGCCTGGCCAACATGGTGAAACCCCATCTCTACTAAGAATACAAAAATTAGCTGGGCATGGTGGTGTATGCTTGTAACCCTAGCTACTTGGGAGGCTGAGGAGGGAGAATGGCTTGAACCCAGGAGGCGGAGGTTGCAGTGAGCAAAGATAAAGCCACTGCACACCAGCCTGGGTGACAGAGCAAGACTCAGTCTCAAAAAAAAAAAAAAAAAAAAAAGCAGGGGATGAAATTAAGGATTAAGGTGTAAAGTTCTTATTAGTTTACTTTTTGCTTTACTGTTTGTTTATACCGACAGTGTTAAGTTATTATCAGGTGAAAATAATGGGTTATGAGATGATACTTGCAAGCCTCATGGTAACCTCAAACCAAAGAACATATAATAATTACACAAAAAATAAAATGCTAGAAACTAAATCATACCACCAGATGAAATTACCTTCATTGAAGGAAGATAGGAAGGAAAGGTAGAAGGAAGAGAAAACCGCAAAGCAAACGGAAGCCAATAACAAAATGGCAGGAGTAATTCCTTACTTATCAATAATAACATTGAATGTAAATAAACTAAATTCTCCAATCAAAAGACATAGACTGGCTAAATGGATGAAAAAAAACAAGACCCACCAGTCTGTTACCTACAAAAAACACACTTCATCTGTAAAGACACACATAGACTGAAAGTACAGGAATGGAAAAAGATATCCCATACCAATAGAAACCAAAAAATAACAGGAATCACTATACTTATATCAGGCAAAATAGATTTCAAAACAAAAACTGTAAGAAGAGACAAAGAAGGTCACTATATAATGATAAAGGGGTTAATTTAGCAAAAAGATATAACAATTTTAAGTATATATGCACCCAACACTGAAGCACCCACGTATAAAGGAAATATTAAAGAGAGAGATAAGCCTCGTTACGATAATAGCTGGAGACTTCAACACCCCACTTTCAGCATTAGACAGACAGAAAATTAACAAAGAAACATCAGACTTAATCTGCACTATAGATTGAATGAATCTAATAGACACATACAGAAGATTTCATCCTGTGGCTATAGAATACACATTCTTCCTCAGCACATGGATCATTCTCAAAGATAGACAACATGTTAGGTCACAAAACAAGTCTTAAAGCATTCAAAAAACTGAAATAATGTCAAGAATCTTCTCTGACCACAATGAAATAAAACTAGAAATTAATAAGATGAATTTTGGAAACTATACAAATACATGGAAATTAAACAATATGCTTCTGAATGACCAGTGGGTCAATGAAAAAATTAAGAAGAAAATTGAAGTTGTAGGGTATGGTGACTCATGCCTATAATCCCAGCACTTTGGGAGGCCAAGATGGGTGGGTTGCTTGAACCCAGGAGTGTGAGACCACCTTGGGCAACATGACAAAACCCCATTTTTACAAAAAAATACAGAAACTAGGCAGGTGTGGTGGCACACGCCTATAGTTCCAGCTACTTGGGAGGCTGAGGCAGGAGGATTTCTTGAACCCAGAAGTTGGAGGTTGCAGTGAGCCATGATCATGCCACTGCACTCCAGCCTGGAAGACATAGAGAGAACTTGTCTCAAAAAAAAAAAAAAAAAAAAAAAAGGAAAATGAAAATGAAAGATTTCTTGAAACAAATGATAATGGAAACACAACACACAATAACATATGAGATACAGCAAAAACAACACTAAGAGGGAAGTTTATAGCTACAAGTGCCTACATTACAACTGATACTGAAGAAATTCAAAGGATAATCAGTGGCCACAATGAGCAACTATATGCTAATAATTTGGAAAATCTAGAAGAAACGGACAAACTCCTAGACACATACAACCTACCAAGACTGAAACAAGATGAAATTCAAAGCCTAAACAGATCAACAACTGACATACGTATGTATGTATATAGCAAGAGATAGGAGTCTAGTTTTATTCTTGTACATATGGATACCAGTTTTCCCAGGACCATATATTGAAGAGACTGTCTTTTCCCCAGTGTATGTTCTTTGCACCTTTGTTGAAAATTAGTTCACTCTAGGTGTGTGGATTTGTTTCTGGGTTCTGTATTCTGTTCCATTGGTCTATGTGTCCTTTTTTTTTACTTTGTTTGTTTGTTTTTTCCAGTCCCATGTTGTTTTGGTTACTATAGCTTTGTAGTATAATTTAAAGTTAAGTAATGTAATTTATCTAGTTTTGAAACTGAAAAGGGCATCAAAAAATGGAAAAGTAATTAATTTTCATGTATTGGAAGAATCAATATTGTTAAAATGTCCATACTATCCAAAGCAATCTACAGATTCAATGCAATCCCTATCAAAATACCAACAATATTCTTCACAAAAATAGAAAAAAATTCTAAAATTAATATGAAACTATGGAAGGCCCAGAATAACTAAAGCTACTCTAAGCAACAAAAACAAAGCTGGAGGATGCACATTATCTGACTTCCTATTATACTATAGAGCTATAGTAACCGAAACAGCAAGGTACTGGCATAAAAACATTCAATGAACAGAATAAGGAACCTAGAAACAAATCCACTCATCTACAGTGAATTCATTTTTCACAAAGGTGCTGAGAGTATATACTGGGGAAAAGATAGTCTTTTCAATAAATGGTGCTCAGAAAACTGGATATTCATATGCAAAGGAATGAAATTAGACTCCTGTCTCTCACAACATACAAAAATCAAATCAAAATGGATTAAAGACTTAAATCTAAGACTGCAACTATGAAACTACTACAAGTAAACATTGACAAAAATCTCCAGGACATTGGATTGGGCAAAAATTGAGCAATACCTCACAAGCACGGGCAACTAAAGCAAAATGGACGAATGGGATTATATCAAGTTAAAAAGCTTTTGCACAGAAAAGGAAACAACCAACAAAGTGAAGAGACAAACCACAGAATGGAATAATGTATTTTCAAACTAACCACGTGACAAGGGATTAATATCCAGAATATGTAAGGAGTTCAAACAACTCTACAGGAAAAAAAAAAATCCAATAATGTGATCAAAAAGTGGGCAAAAGATTTAAATAGACATTTCTCAAAAGAAGACATACAAATGGAAAATAGGCATATAAAAAGGTACTCACCAGAGAAATGCAAATCAAAACTACAATGAGATATCATCTCACACCAGTTAAAATGGCTTATATCCAAAAGATAGACAGTAACAAATGCTAGCAAGGATGCAGAGAAAAGGGAACCCTTGTACACCGGGAAGGGTGGCAATGTAAATTAGTACAGCCACTATGGAGAACAGTTTGGAGGTTCCTCAAAAAAACTAAAAATTGAGCTACCATATGATCCAGCAATCACATTGCTAGGTATACACCTGAAAGAAAGGAAATCAGTATGTTGAAGAGATATCTGCACTCCTATGTTTGTTGTAGCACTGTTTATAATAGCTAATACTTGGAAGCCACCTAAATGTCCATCGACAGATGAATGGATAAAGAAAGTGTGATATGTATACACAATGGAGTACTATTCAGCCATATAAAAAGAATGAGATTCATTTGCAACAACATTATGGAACTGGAGATCATTATGTTAAGTGAAATAAGCTGAGAACAGAAACACAAAAATTACATGTTCTCACTTATTTGTGAGATCTAAAAGTCAAAACAATTGAACTCATGGATATAGAGAGTAGAAAGATAGTTATTAGAGGTCGGGAAGGGTATGGGGGCATGGTGAGGAAGTGAGTGTGGTTAATGGGTTAAAAAAAAGTTTTAAAAAAATGAATAAGATCTACTATTTGATAGCATAACAGGGTGACTATAGCCAATAATAACTTAATTTTACATTTTAAAATAACTCCAAGAGTATAATTGGATTGTTTGTAACTCAAACAATAAATGCTTGAGGGGATGGATACCCCATTCTCTATGATGTGCTTATTTCACATTCCATACCTGTATCAAAACATCTCATGGAACTGGAACAAGACAAGGATGCCCTCTTTCACCACTTCTATTCAACATAGTACTGGAAATCCTAGCCAGAGCAATCATACAAGAAAAAGAAATAAAGGGCATCCAAATCTGTAAAGACGAAGTCAAACTGTCGCTGTTTGCTGATGACATAATTGTATTCCTAGAAAACCCCAAAGAGTCGTCCAAAAAGCTCTGAGAACTGGTAAACAAATTGAGCAAAGTTACAAGATACAAAATTAAACTACACAAATCAGTAGCCCTGCTATACACCAACAGTGACCAAGCTGAGAATCAAGAATTCAACCCCTTTTACAATAGCTGCAAAAATAAAATAAAATAAAATACTTAGGAATATACTTAACCAAGGAAGTGAAATACCTCTACAAGGAAAACTACAAAATACTGCTGAAAGAAATCATAGATGACACAAACAAATGGAAACACATCCCATGCAATATTGTGAAAATGACCATACTGCCAAAAGCAATCTACAAATTTAATGCAATTCTCATCAAAATACCACCATCATTCTTTACAGAACTAGAAAAAAAACAACCGAAAATTTATATGGAACCAAAAAAGAGCCCACATAGCCAAAGCAAGATTAAGCAAAAAGAACAAATCTGGAGGCACCACATTACCCAACTTCAAACTATACTATAAGGCCATAGTCACCAAAACAGCATGGTACTGGTATACAAACAGGCATATAGACCAATGGAACAGAATAGAGAACCCAGAAATAAAGCCAAATACTTACAGTCAACGGATCTTTGAAAAAGCAAATAAAAACATAAAGTGGGGAAAGGACATCCTATTTACCAAAGGTGCTCAGATAATTGACAAGCCACATGTAGACGAATGAAACTGGATCCTCATCTCTCACCTTATACAAAAATCAACTCAAGATGGATCAAAGACTTAAATCTAAGACCTGAAACAGTAAAAATTCTACAAGATAACATTGGAAAAACCCTTCTAGACATCTGCTGAGGCAAAGACTTCGTGACCAAGAACCCAAACGCAAACAAAAAACAAAGATAAATCGATAGGACTTAATAACTAAATAGCTTCTGCAAACCAAAAGAAAGAATCAACAGAGTAAACAGACAACTCACAAAGTGGGAGAAAATCTTTGCAATTTATACATCCAACAAAGGACTAATATCCAGAATCTATAAGGAACTCAAACAAATCAGCAAGAAAAAAACAAACAATTCCATCAAAAAGTGGGCTAAGGACATGAACGGACAATTCTCAAAAGAAGATATGCAAATGGCCAACAAACATATGAAAAAATGCTCAACATCATTAATGATCAGAGAAATGCAAATCAAAACCACAATGCGATACCACCTTACTCCTGCAAGAATGGCCATAATCAAAAAATCAAAAAATAATAGATGTCAGCATGGATGTGGTGAAAAGAGAACACTTTTACACTGTTGGTGGGAGTGTAAACTATGTACAACCACTATGGAAAACAGTGTGGAGATTCCTTAAAGAACCAAAAGTAGATCTACCATTTGATCCACCAATCCCACTACTGGGTATCTACTCAGAGGAAAAGAAGTCATTATATGAAAAAGATACTTGCACACACATGTTTATAGCAGCACAACTCACAACTTCAAAAATGTGGAACCAGCCCAAATGCCCATCAATCAACAAGTGGATAAACAAAATGGTGTGTGTATGTATATATATATATATATATATATATATATATATACACCCACACCATGGAATACTACTCAGCCATAAAAAGGAAAAAAATAATGGCATTCGCAGCAACCTGGATGAAATTGGAGACAGTTATTCTAAGTGAAGTAACTCAGGAATGGAAAACCAAACATCATATGTTCTCTTTCATAAGTGGGATGCAAAGGCATAGGCATGATACAATGGATTTGGGGGACTTGGGGGAAAAGGTGGGAGGGGGTGAGGGATAAAAGATTATACACTGGGTACAGTGTACACTGCTCAGGTGATGGGTGGACCAAAATCTCAGAAATCACCACTGAAGAATGTATTCATATAACCAAACACCATCTGTTCTCCAAAAACCTATTGAAATATTTTAAAGGAGAAAAAAACCTCTCATGTACCCCATAAATATATATACCTGCTTTGTACCCACAAAATTAAAAATTAAAAAAAGATATTCAAGCTTGACTCTGGCATCTAAGTTTCATTTATTCTCCAAGTTTCATGCCTCTCATAAAGGCATCCCATGTCTGTTTGATTAATGTTGAGTGGAGGGGCTAATAATAACAGTTCTTGGTGTGTCTCAAAACATCACTCTTCAGCTGCTTCCAGTTAGATTATAAACAACAGAACTGGTTGGCATTTTAGAATGAGAAAAAGTTCAAGGTAAATGTAAACTCACACACACATACATTAAAGTGATACTATATCTTCTCTTTTTTTTTCTATTTTTGATAGACTTGGTAAAACTGCTCCTACCCAAATTTAACAAATTTCAATCAAGACATAAGCAATTCTCTAACAAAGAAGGGAAAGAACTTTGACCTATCTTAACTAAATCCATCATAGCTCCAAAATAGAATATTTTTCTTTGCCCAACATGGCAAGTTTCAGGGAGCACCAGGGCCCCGGAAAACAATCTACTTGGGTGAAGCAGAAACAGTTTGTTTCATGTCAACAGTTTGCTTAGCTTGCTGTAGGAAGAATTCAGAGGCATACATGGATTGGGAGAAATGTGTCCCGCCTCCCATGGGAATGCAGATATGCAGAGCGGAGAATGTAACTCCACATATTAAAACAAGCTCCTCCTGGTATTTGGGAATCTGCCTCTTGCTGCTTAATACAGACTCTGTTCTCACACCCCAGGCTGGGACCTTCATCTGGGATGCCAAGGGACAGGACCTTTGTGGGACATTTGAGTCCTATTGTAGGAGGTTAGTCGAGAAAGTTCATTTTTCTGGTTTTGCAAGAACACATGGGACTAAAGGCTAGGCTGGTTGTTTGGACAGACCCCATCAGTTTTGTTCTTTGGCCCCCAGCTGCCTGAAGAGGCTTTTGAAAGCATCATCTCTGGGACTCAGCAAACGAGAAGCACAAGTGATGTCTTGCTTCCTGTTAGTTGGCCTGAAACCACCCTGCTGTCTTCCAGTTGACCCTGCTTGTCTCTCCAGCCAAGATTGTTCCTTACTTTTCCAACAACATCATGTGTCTTCTATCCCTCTTTTTCAGTCCTACAAGTGAGACAATACTTTTCCTGTGGTATGTGGAGGTCTCCAACATTGGAGCAACTGTATTAAGCACTTTGTTTACATCTACTATTGACTCATAAATACTCACAATAGTCCTAAAAGATAAGTGTTATTGTAACTTTCTTTTGCAAATGAGGACAGTGAGGTCAGATAAACCAGAGATCCATATTACAGGGGCAGAAGCGAGAATCCAACCCAGCTCTGGCTGACTCTCCAGACAGACTCTTACCAGCATGCTAACTGACCCTTTACCTCCTAGTGGGCAATTCCACAGACATTGACTGTGCTATATTGTGCTGGCCTTCTGGGGACATAATGAGAGATGGGACACTGTCCCTTAAGAAGCTTTCGGGCATTACTTGAAACACTGATTTGGAGCAAGGGGCTTGTATCCAGCTGAAAATTTCTTCCTGATCAAAAAAAAAAATGCTTCCACTCCTGAGTAGGATCCAGAGCCAGCCTTAAATGTGCTATGAATGCTTCTTGCCAAGCACCTGCAGATGCCTCCCCAAAGGCATGGCATGCCTTTGTTAGAGATGTGGGCCTTTGGGCAAAGGCACCTGTGACAGCACTCAGCACAGAGTCTTGGGAGTCTCCTGTGGCCTAAGCCAACTTTACCCTAGTCCCCAGAGAAGCAAACGCTGAGTCTACACAGACACACGGATGGAGGGTTTGCAACCAGCCTTGAAAAGGCATCTATTGAGTCCTGAGTATGATTTGGGGAACAATGTAGGGAGGGCAGAAAGGTCCCCAGTAAAAACATTGCCTCTGGGGAGGGTGGAATGAGAGTGACTGCTTCATAGGTATATTCTCCCTTGGGGGTGATGGAAATGTTGAGAATTAGAGCTGATGGTTGCACAACATTGCGAATGTATTAAACCGCCACCAAAATGCACACTTTAAGAGGGTTAATTTTATATGATATTAGTTTTACCTTGATTTTTAAAAAAAGTTAAAGAAAGTCACCTCTGCCGAGTGCCATAGTTCCTGAAGTGCTACTGTTCAGAATAGGACTATTCTCTCCCTCCACTTCCCTCCTGCCCCTGTTTTCACCTGGACCTTCTGTCTTGTCTGAAGCTGTGGGAGGGTCACTTTCAGGCCCCTTTTTGTCTCTTATGTGCTCTTCCCTCTAGGAAGAGGTACACCTTCTGAGGTTGGTGAGGCTCAGAAAAGAAAGAGGACCTTTTCATGTCTTTGATCTAAGGGTGTCCATGGACCTAGTTCTCAGCTCTGGATTGATATTGTTACCAAGTATAATAAATATGTGAAGAGACTGAGGCCTTCCCAACACTGCCTAGAGCCACCTCCTCCCTCACCAGCTGCTCCCTGAGTCACTGATCACCAGATCCAAGGGTACCTCTCTCTAAACATGTTCATGATCTTGCTTGCAGGAGTAAGTTGGCCTTTGTTTCTCTATGTAGGGCTTTTCTTTAGGAAACATCCTACCTACTTTCTTGTCCACCTTGAAATTCTTTGTGTTCAACAGCCACCACCAGAAAAATGACATGAAACTATTTTTGTAGCAAAAATGTACTTATTGATTTCCTTTACATCAGTTTGCATTTTAAATTCAAGTCAAAGGACACCTCTCACTGTCAATCACCAGCTGCTTGGCCCCATTTGTCCTTCTAAGCTGGAGGAAATGTGAATAAACATTAGAAGGACAAGTAAGATTGTTTTTGCAAAATCTGCCATGTTCAGGAATCTGGAACTTCAAAAGAAAACAAAAAGACCTTTTCATCTCCTTTCTTAGTTTTAATTGTTTCTTCTTTGGAAGCTAATTTCTAACTGTAATCACAGGAGAAAGGAGGTTTGGGCAATTATGCTGCAAATCTGATCTGCGGAGGCAGCCCACTGGGATGCTATTTTCCTCAGGAGCTGGAATTTTGGCCAAAATCATCTGGGAAACTTTTCTCTTCTTCTAATTTATTCTGCCTATGGAGACCTTGTTAATAATGCCAAAAATGCTTCACATTTGTATAGCCATTTTAAATTTTTTCCAAACCCTTGTCACATTAATCATCTTACATGATCTTCACAAGTCTCTTGGGAAGTGAGTGGAGAAAGGACTGGGATTCATATATTATGGATAAGAGAAGTGAGCTCAGAGAGGTTAAGCAACTTGACCAAGATCACACAGCCAGTCAGTCAGAACAGAGTCTAGAGATCTTATTTCTAACCTTGTATTTTTAGAAGTAGACTGGGTCACAAACACAGATTACTGCCCTCCTGGCCTACATCAGAAACCCAACCATGCATGTCCCAGGAAGTATAATTCCACCCCTGGATATATTTGGTTCTCTCTTCTCATTAATATTTGACTTGAGCATCACAGTTGTTCTTTGGAGCTATGTTTATCATTCTCGTGACTTGTTGTTCTCTTCACTGTCTGCCTGATGCTTGGAGAAATCAGTGGATGAGGGAGTGATTCAGTAGATCTTTCTTTGATCTGTTTTAAATGAAATCCTATTTACAAGATACACTTCACTTCTTTTGATGTGCAGCTCACTAATTAGCTCACATCTGAGAGTAGGTTCCCTGGAAGAAAAAAAAAATTAATTAGCTCATTCCATCTCAAAAAGACACAATTCTTGAACTAATTACGGTATTTGAATGATTAATCTCCTTTAAATACACGTGTTCAGAAGCATTACAGTTAGGAAGAATTGAGAAAGAAGACAGAAAGCTAAGGGAAGTGAAACCAAGTGGCAGCTCGAGGCAAAAATCCTGCCCTTGAGGCCCAAGGTAGAGTTTAGGGATTCTTTATTATCCAGGTGGAATTTCATTGGCATGCAAAATGGTGGAGCAGGCAAAAGTTGGTTCTGAACCCTCTTCAAATCTTTCACTTTCTGCTTCTTTGCCAGCTCTTGATGCCAATGTCTTAAGATCAAACTACGTATGTAAGCCTGCTGCCAAGAAAAGAAGTTATTTAATTTACAGTAAAGTGTTAATGACTGATCATTAACTAAATTACCTAAATTAATTGATTAACTAAAGTGTTAATCACGTTCTATCTAGTTTTGCTCCTCCCACAATTATGTACTTTTGAATAGGAAGCTACAATTCTACTCCAATGAATGATCCTCTACTTGTGGATTTTTAGGAGACGACATATGGGTTTGATTCAAGATCCCTTTCTGACTTATTGGCAGTGGCTGTGTGCTTCATGCCACAACCTGAATATAATCAGTTAGTATAAAATAATACTGTGGTACATTAGTGACATCTGCCATGGGCACAGAAATTGGGATTGGTCATATACAAATTATGTACCTATCATCCTGACTATAGTTTGTAGGAAAATGATATTTGGGGTACTAGGGAGAGATTTCAGGGGCTCATGAAATCACATTGTATGGGGTATCACCCATTCCACTCAAAAGGTTGGTGGCCACTATTGATCACCTGGCCAGTTAGTAAGTGTTTTTCTTCACTTCAACATTTATATTGTCAATCCCTTGAGAATAGAAATTATTACTTTTTTATCTCAAGGGTATGGCTCTTACTTGGTCTTAAATAAATATTTGTTGAATAAGTGCAAAGAAGACAGCACTGTAAGTGTGAAAAGAAATGTATTACTAAACGTGAACAATTACTATAAATGTTTAGAGCTAAGTGAGACTGAAGGAAAGGCACAAATATGATAGAACCCTTAGATAAGCTGGTTACCAAAATTAAGCACAGACCTCATAAAATCAATAAACCAAGCAACATGTTGGCTTGTAGAGTTCTCACTATAGGATTAAAAAACACTATGCAAGTCCATCTTGAAGGGCAACATTTTTTCTGGCACTTAGTCCTAGAAGAAATGTATCATGTGACTTATCCCTATGAAAGACCAATGAGTAATATAATGGCCAATGAGTTTAAAAAGGATTTTGCAAAAACTCAGCAATATTCCTTAAATGGAGTTTTTTGTACCAACCCTTTGAGATGCAGTGAGCATAGCATTAAACTGTGACACAGTGAAGCTATTTTTGAAATAATGTGTAAGAAAATTGTATGGTAGGCTGGTTATCATAGGAACTCCCTCCTCCTGCCCCACCAAGGTGGGTTCCTGCCTTCTCTGTGATCTTTTTCCTTGTGCCTTGCCCTCTCTTCAGGGCCTTCCTGTGCCCTTGATGGAGATGAGTGACTCATTGTGAAATGGAAGCTGAGTCCATGCTGATAGGTAGAATCCCTTTTACCGTCTCACCCCATTGAGTAAACTGAGGTGCAATGTACTGCAAGGAGCAGGTAAGGGGTGAAGCCCTGCCCCATTGTGGAATGTTCACGTGCCTTTGAGTCATTTTCCCTCTCTG